>NC_000006.12:20969090-21272121 GCF_000001405.40 Homo sapiens
TGGTGACTTTTCTGAATTATAGTTCAGACCTTTGAACAATGCACGGCTTAGAGGTACCCCCTCAGTGCAGTCAAAAATCCATGTATAACTTTTGACTCCTCCAAAAGTTTACTAATAGCCTACTGTTGATAGGAAGCCTCACCATTAACATAAACAATCAATTAATGCACGTGTGTTATGTGTATTATATACTGTATTCTTACAACCAAGTAAGCTAGAGGAAAGAAAATGTTATTAAGAAAATCATAAGAAGAGAAAATATATTTACTATTCATTAAGTGGAAGTGGATCATCATAAAGGTCATCATCCTCATCATCTTCATACTGAATAGGCTGAGGAGGAGGAAGAAGAGGAGCTGTTGATTTTGCAGTCTCAGGGGTGGTAAAGACAAAAGAATATCTATGTATAAGTGAATGCACACAGTACAAACCCGTGTTTTTAAGGGTCCACTGTAATTCTGTAAAGTCTGTATTCTTTGTCATGTGTGACCAGTGAAATCTCTACCCACTTAGCTTAATAGTCAGCTAATGATTGGACAGAGATTTCCTTAAATGCCTGGAACTAGTAAGTCTCTCAGTTTTTGCAGGGAGGCCTGATTGTATATGTTGGAGCTTGCCTGGAATGCTCCATCAGGTAGCTTATAACTCCACCTTTGCCTTTACTTCCTGTTTCTGCCAAGTATCAGGTTTAGCCAGAGGTGAGAGTTTAGCACGTTCTCAGATATTTGGTTCTCAGCATGTGCATAACCTAAACACACACCCAGCCCTATGCATACATGGAACCTTCTATATTCTAGGAAATATGTCAGTGTTTTTTAGGCTTTGTATGGATATCACATTCCCTGCCTTTTTTTTTTTTTTAAGCTTTTTGATTTGCTTATTGTTTGTCCCAGCTGTTATCACAGCCTGAGGCAGCCCTGATGTTAAACAATTGCAGCTGATTATTTTTGACAAATGTCTTTGGGCAAAAGACTGTTCTCACTGGGTTAGTGCCAGGTCAGGTTAAATAAGCAAGCTGTGTGAGTGGAGCCTTCCTTGGAACCACTAGTGAAGTCCAATAATGATAGTTTTTCTGGGAATGGGGCTTTGAAGAAGTTACAACTCTATTATGCCCCCTCAAGTGGCTTCCAGGCTGCTGGTTTTCATGATTGAAGGCTGTTGGTTTTCAAGGCTACCATGGAACTAGAAAGTGGGAGGTGAGATTAGGATAGGCCAAACACACCACATAGCTCCATGTTCTTACCAAGATTTATTTGTTTTTTAATGAACACCACCCAGATTGCTGCAAACCTTTAGTTAATTTCCAGAGTTCTGAAAAAGTTGACTGACAATTTTTGTCAGTGTTCTCATTGTTTTTATGAAGGAGAGGATTTTCAGTCTTTACTCCACCATTCCTGCTGAGGTCAATAAAAATTTATGCCTGAAAAGGGGCTGCCTTGTATCTATCAGACCATCAATATGTGAAGTTGAATCACTTTTCTTGCTTAATTTTTGTGCTGCATGTCAAAGGTGCATCAATCACTTATGGTGCTGTCTTCCTCATAAAGCTTTTGAGGAAGAACTCATGTCATTAGCAGGTTATTGACAGCAAATGATCACTATTAATTGAGTCACCATCACAGAAAGCATGGAGACTTACAGACTAAAATGTATACTTCTTTAGATACTTCTGGCTTTGGATACCACACAAGAAATAATATGGCATAGATAGACTGAATCTTGCCTATGATGGTTAATTGCTTCTTTCTGTTTTTTGTTTTGTTTTGTTTTGTTTTTTGAGACCAAGTCTCGCTCTGTCACCCAGGCTGAGTGCAATGGCATGATCTCAGCTCACTGCAACCTCTGCCTCCCAGATTCAAATGTTTCTCCTGCCTCAGCCTCCCGAGTAGCTGGGACTACAGGCACGTGCCACCACACCCGGCTAATTTTTGCATTTTTAGTAGAGACGGGGTTTCACTTTGTTGGCCAGGCTGGTCTCTAACTCCTGACCTCGTGATCTGCCTGCCTTGGCCTCCCAAAGTGCTGGGATTACAGGCATGAGCCCACCATGCACGGCCTCTCTCCCTGTTAAAAACTGATACTTTTATTAAGAACCAAATCAAATATTATGTTGTTATTTCTATTCTGATAGATAATTGAGTTCCACAATTACTGTCTTTCATGATGTCAAAGCTGCTGTTGGTCTAGATTCACTAAAGAAGCTTTGTTTTCTTGATAGATGATGTCCCCTTCACTATGCCGTGTCACACCATCAGCATAGTCTTCCAAAAGCTGTGCACATCAGGTGATTGGACATTTGTTGATCGGAAAGATATTTGCTTTTGATGCTGCATTGCTAAATTAAAAAGATAATCAAACTTAAAATTAATAGATATAAACTCTAGAATTTGCAACAGATCACTAGAAAAATATTGATATTTCAGGGATAATCAATTTCAAAACTTAAAGAGTCATTTTGAAATCTGCAGTACATTGTGTTACTGTCATAGAAGTAACAGATTTTAGAATATAACAATTTTATTACTAACATATTTGTTATAGCTTTATTATTTTATTCTAGTATCCTTCAAATCAAATGGGTCATTATTGTATTGAAGTGTTTACAGAAGTAGAAGATTTAAATCTGAATCAGTTTTATCATTAATCTGGCAAATTAGTTGAATCGTGATCATTCCATTCACATGTAAGTCATCTGAAAAGGGAGCACCATTTTGAAGAGTTTAAGCTGAATGATGTAGATTTTAAATTTTCCACTTGCTCTCTAATTCCAGGCCTTCCAAAATATTTTTAAACTCATTTTACTTGATGTGACCTTGAATTAAAAAAAATAACGTGAAAAAACTGTTGTTCCATTTTATTATCTGATATTTGGTGTGAAATAATCATCTCAACACTTGCTTTGACAGTGGCATATCATTTCTATAATCCTAAGTCAGAGAGGCCTGAGACACCAAGGGCTTCTGTTTCTGTAGTGAGCCTAGAGACTCACTTGAATTGAGTCCTCCATTCAACACCTGAGAAAGAAACATTCTTTTGGATAGAATGGCCTTCCTCACTTGCAAGTGTTTTTCATGCTGTAAATAATACAGTGTAAAGTGAAATTTACAGAAAATCATATCACAAGATCTCTCTATTGCCAAAAATGGATTGTTCTGCATACTCTTCTTGTTCCACACTGGTGGCCCTGTAGAAGGACTGGAGATCATTTTGGTGGCCAAGTTCATGAGGCCTCAGACACAGCCCACTGGCAGTCACTCTTATCACCCAGGCTTGAGACACTCTTAGCTCTTCCTTAGCCTTTAGTTAAGTTTCTCAAGGCACCAGCTATTCTTCTTTTAGACACTCAGTTTTATCCGTGGAAGCCTATCAGTTTCTTTTTATGTTTCAACTTCCCAAGTCCTTCAGATTTTTTGAAGAAAGTTTGAAACAGAAAGCAGGATAAACAACTTATTTTCATTTCTCTTTTGCTCTTCCACCAGCCTAGCCCACGTTCCTAAGGGAATGAACAGCCCATCTCTGTTAATTCCCTCAGTTTCAGGCACATTTCCTGTTTGGAACGTGGGTCATCAGTGAATTAATCCATAGCCCTTGGAATTATGAAGCTTATGGACCTCCCTTCTCTTAGGAAAGCATGCTTGATTTTAGAACTCAGAGACCGTGAAAGGAGAACTGAGCATTGTTGATTGTTTGCTGTCAGGGCCAGTCTTTGACATGGGCCTGGATGTTCTGCTGATTTTTGTGGAGCACTGGACAGATTTTCACATTTCTATGGGTTTTGATGTTTTCACATATCAACTGGGCATATTAGCAGTTACCCTATACAAAGAATATTAGATAACATATCACTAGTGCTTTCTGGGATGCTATATAAATTGAAGACTTTAGGCCGAGGCAGGAGAATTGCTTGAACCCGGGAGGCAGAGGTTGCAGTGAGCCGAGATCGCGTCATTACTCTCCAGCCTGGGCAATAAGAGCGAAACTCCGTCTCAAAAAAAAAAAAAAGACTTTAAATAATGGAGTATCATTATTTAGCTTATAATAGAGTAACATTGGTAGAACAATGAATTGATATATGTAGAATGCTTAGAATAGTGTCTGGCACATAAAAGGTGCTCAAGAGTTATCAGCTATAATTATTATCATTGTTACTATACTGAGATTTTGGAATTTTACCTTAAAAACAATGTATCACATATGTAAATATAAAGGTATCTTTTCTATATAAAGGTATCTTTTGGGTCACATATTCCTAATGTTTATTTTCTCATGATTGATAGGGTAAGCCAAAGTCAAAAGTACCTGTGGGGAAGGAGAAAGCTAGCCAGTGAGCGGGGAGTGAAGTAGGACCCATGGGGAAATGTGAGACTTTCCAAAGGCTGTGGAGGGAAAGGTGGCTCTCAGTGCCAGTCACTGTGAACAGCAGTAGAGGCATGCCAGTGTTCACTGGGGTCTCTGCTTCAGCTGCTGCCATCCTGCCAGGTGATCCAACATAGGATCATAAGCAACATGGGTCATCTTTTGTTTGTTTGTTTGAGACAGGGCCTTGCTCTGTCACCCAGGCTGGGGTGCAGTGGTGTGATCTCGGCCCACTGCAACCTCTGCCTCTCGGGTTCAAGTGATCCTCCCACCTCAGCCTCCCAAGTAGCTGGGACTACAGGCATGCACCACCATGCCCAGCTAATTTTTGTATTTTTAGGAAAGTCATGGTCTCCCTATGATGCCCAGGCTAGTCTCGAACTCCTGGGCTCAAGTGATCTGCTCACCTCAGCCTCCCAAAGTGCTGGGATTATAGGCGTGAGCCACCCTGCCTGGCCTGGGTCATCATTTCTGACTAGCAATGACTATAAACAATTTTTAAGAAATTATTGTTGTAGACGATATATAACTGTGAAGTATTATATAGAAAACGCTTACATTAGGGAAAACGTGAAGAGGATAAAACAAAGAGGCCCCAAAATATGGTGGCTTATAGAAGTTTACTTCTCTCTTTCACAGTCCACAGATGGGTGGTCCAAGATTCTCTAGAGGATTTGCTGTCTTCAGTGTGTGCCTTCCCTCTCTAGGTCTAAGATGGCTCTTCTTTGTCCTGCCGTCATGTTAGCATCCCAGGCTGCAGAAGCAGAAAAGACAATGGAAAGACATGGCATGCATTTCTTCTACTGGCCTGACCCAAAAGTAGCAGATCTCTTCTAGTCATATTAAATCCAAGCTTTTGGCTTTGCCCAAACTTTGTTATTTGACCATATGAGCAATTAATCTCCAGCTTGGTGGTCAGAGGTGTAGTTAAAATTTGGGAATTTTATTACTGAAGAAGAGAGAAGGGATATTAGGGCAACCAGCAATCTTTGCCACAACTTCACATTGGATAGGGAAAATGAAAAGAACATTGTGTTTCTTTTGTCTTGTGATAGTGATTAATATCTAGCTATTCTTTATTCTCAGGCTCACTTTAATATTTGAGAAATCAGAGTTATGCTCTACAAATAATATATAACATTGATATCGTAAGGTTTCTATTTTTCTGGATTTTGTTTTCTCCTTGAAAGGCTGTTATCGAGTTGATGGTGTGGTTTACCATCAGTTGCATCTTAGAAATAAAATATTTGGGCCAGGTGCAGTGACTCGTGCTTGTAATCCCAGCACTTTGGGAGTCCGAGGCTGACAGATTGCTTGAGCTCAGGAGTTCGAAACCAGACTGGGCAACATAGCAAGACCCAGTCTCTGCAAAAAAAAAAAAAATTAGCTGGGCATGGTTGTATGCTCCTGTAGTACCCCCTACTCAGGAGGCTGAGGTGAAAGAATCACTTGAGCCCAGGAGGCAGAGGTTGCAGTCAACTGAGATCTCAACACTGCACTCCAGCCTGGGTGACAGAGGCAGACCCTATCTCAAAAAAAAAAAAAAAAAAAAAAAGGAAAGAAACAAATAAGATATTTGGACCATGACTCCAAAACAAGAAGACTGTTTTTAGCAATGCTTTAATATAGATATTTATCTTATGTCCCTGTATCTACCTCAGAAGTTCCATTTGTTTGTAATTGGAGCTGATTGGGAGGAAAAATACCAAATTAGAGCCAGATCTTTTGGCCATCCGGCTAACTACGAACCCACTGACTGACCAGTTAATCTCTGCCGTCTCCAGGTGATAGATATCCTTGCCTTGTAGATATCAATGCTGCAATTACTCAGATTCAGTTTATGTTCCAAATTGCCTAATTTCACATCTAGACTGTGCTTTTCTTGTGCTTTCATTTTCGAACAAGTTTGCTTGGTATTTAGTAGTCCCTTTTTTTTGAAACTGTGTCTGTGATATGCCCTGATACATAATTGATGTTACTAATAATTCTATTTGATTTTACTACATTAGGTAACTACATACATAGTACATATGCTTCATGTATATGCTTATTATATATTTCATTCGATGTCTTTGCATACATAACATCTATTCAATAACATCAGGGCATTTCTTCTCTAAGGTGTGTGAATATAAAGTGATATTTAAGCAACACGTATTATTTTCAAAGTAAAAATAGTCTCTTTGACTTAGTTATTTCATAAAATGAGCACTGATTCTACAGATATTCAATTATACATTTGAAAAAAATGGCTAAGCATGGACAAAATGAATGCTTCCCACGGATGTTAATAATTTTAAGATACAAAGCTTTCAAAGAATATTTGACTGAAACCCAAAATATCTAAGAGAATTTAATTTACTTTTTGATTTGTTCCCTAAAGGGCCAGGATTCTTGGCATTGCTGTACTTTATGGCACTCTTACTAGGTTATTATCACTCAAAGCCCATTGTTTTCATTAAGGTTCACCTTTGATGTAATATATTCTTTGGGTTTTGACAAATGTATAATGACACGTACCCACCGTTATAGTATCATACTGAATAGTTTGACTGCTCTAAAACCCCACATTATTCCACCTATTTACCCCTCCCTTCTTCTAGCCCCAGACAACCCCTGCTCTTTTTACTGTCTCCATAGTTTCGCCTTTTCCAGAATGTCATATAATTGCAATCATACCCTTTTCAGATTAGCTTCTTTCTCTTAGTAATATCATTTAAGGCTTTTCTATGCCTTTTTCTGGCCTCAGAACTCATTTCTTTTAGTGCTGAATAATATTCCATTGTCTGAATGTATCACAACTTATCACTATAGTAGAATTCTCATTTTGAAGACATTTATGATTAAATATTATTAAAATGTATTCTTTGTTAAGTGAAGTGATGTTTACAAAGGGGGTAAATACTGTAAAACAAGAAAAAGTTCCTGAAATTGAATTCTGTGACTGAAATTAGAATAAATGAATCCATTTGTTCCTTCATTTATGATGACTGGACCGTAGCTCCTTGACTTTCATCTAGATCTTAAGCTTTGCCAACCACTGCCTCCTCCCCAATTTTTAAAAAACTTTTTATTGTGGTATAACATAAATACCATAAAGCGCAATGATCTTAAGTGCACAATGAGCCTTTACAAATGTGCACTTGGATGTGACTATCACCTGATCAAGAAATAGAGCATTTCTAGAATCTCATGTGATTGTCTCATGTTCCTTCCAGTTCACACATCCAAGAGACCTCTATTCTGAATTGGAAAATTTGATCACTGTTAATTTTGCTTGTTCTCGAATTTCATGTAAATGGATTCATACAGTATGTACTCTTTTGAATTTGATTTATTTTGCCCAACAGAATGTCCATGAGCGTCACGATGTTGTTGCATATTTCAATAATCTGTTTTTATTTTATTGCTGTGAAGTGTTGTTTTATAAATATATCACAGTTCACCCATTCTCCTGTTAAATATTAGGTTAATTTCCAGATTTCAACTATTGTGAGTAAAGCTTCTGAGAACATTCTGTACATATCTTTTGGCAGACATAATACACTCATTTCTCTTGAATATTCCTGAGTGGAATTGCTGGGTCAGAGTGGGCATATGTTTGGCTTTAATAAAATTGCCCATCATGTATAAAAGTTGCTGCTATTCTATTAAATAGATTTTGGATAGGAAGTAGTAAAGACCCTTAAAGAAATGACCTAGTGTAATTAATATCCCTCTTGAAAAGGGGAAATATTTGGGATTTGTTGCAGGTTGTTTTTTTCCCATGAGTAGTGAACATAAAGCTTATTCAAGAGAATGAGGTAATTTGGAATATAAAGATTTTATTTATGTTAGATATATGATAGCAGATTAAATAATTGGGCCACATATTCTATTAGAATACACTTTGGTACAGTTTAGTTAAATTGATAATAAAAGGCACAAATTGTATATAAGGAGGACATTGTTCTTAACATCTGAAGACCTTGGTTCTAACTCTAATTTTAGCACTATGTAACCATGTGAACTTAGGCAAATTATATAACCCCTTTAGGTCTTTGTCTTTGGAAGTAGAAGTGATGAGAGAAGAGTTTGGTCTATATTATCTCCTAGGTTCCTTCCAGTTTCCTCATTCTATGATTTTTAAAAAATAATTTATATAGGCTGGGCATGGTGCTTCATGCCTGTCCTGTAATCCCAGCAATTTGGGAAGCCAAGGTGGGCGGATCCCTTGAGCACAGGAGTTTGAGACCAGCCTGAGCAACCCAGCAAAATCCCATCTCTACAAAAAATACAAAGATTAGCTGGACGTGGTGATGCACATGTGTAGTCCCAGCTATTCTGAAGACTGAGGCAGGAAGATCACTTGAGCCCAGGAGGCGGAGGCTGCAGTGAGCTGGAATTGCTCCACTGCACTCCAGCCTGAGCAACAGAGTGAGACTCCGTCTCAAAATATTAATGATAATAATAATAATCATTATTTATGTAAAGTTAATGTTTTGTTAATATCTAATTAATGAATTAATCTAATTTATTAAATTTCACTGACTTAAGAGAAAATAAGCAATTGTAGACTCAAAGTCATAGGACTGAATCTAAAATTTGATACTACTCAAATTTTGATATAGGGAATACTAAACTAAAATTGTATGCTTTTTAAAATGAAATATTAAAAACTTTGCTGGCAACTTCTTTGGTTTTGTAACGTATCACAGATGTGCCTTCCCAGCTACTATGTAGTCAGAATCCTAAAGGACATTCCACATAAAATGTTGCAGAGGTTCCGCTTTGGAGGGTTTTGTAAAGTCAGCTTGAAACTGATTCAACCAATGAGTAGCTCTTCAGATCCTACACTGATTCAGAGCTTCACATGTGGCGGGTGTTTTTCTTAAGTTATTAGTAAGTGCCACAGTGCAGGAAAAAGGGCAATCAGCTGTTTCTGTTATGATTAAAGGTAGACGTTTCCTTTCACAGTCTTGCCATTTCAAAATTTGGTTCTTTTATTACATCCAGATGAGACTGAAGGAGGCTATTTGATACTTCTGCTTACTGCAGAAATATATAATTATGACTAATAACGCAAAATACTATGTGAAAAATATAAACAGGAAACAGATGTTAGGTGAGACATACAGATGCTGTAAAGTTGAGCTGTATTTGAGATGCTATAAACGAGCTATATTTGAGACTAACAGATTTTCATACTCTCTTTGGACTACAAGCTAATAATTTATTACTGAGTGATGAAATACAGTATATTTTCTTTGAAGTGGCCTGTAGGAATTTTTCATTTGCAAATTTTAATTTTCAGTGAAAAATTAAAATGAAATTAATCATCATCCTGTAAATGGTAACAAGAATGGTAAAATGAGTATAAAATGGCTAGTGAATGTGGGATTGCTTTGTTGTTGAGAATATAGAGTTTTTGTTTGTTGGGGCACTAGCATAGTATTAGTACACTATCCTCCACTCTTCCACTGATTTGCCTCATTATGTGACCTCCTTGCATCTTATTTATCTTAAAAAGGATTTTAATTTTAGGCTCCTATAATTTAGTCATATTCATAATTAGTCTTTCATAATTGCAAATGATGAAAAATTACTTTTGGTTAACTGATCATTAAAAAATTCTCCTGTATAAAAAGTAAGAGTGTAATCTTCAAGTTTAAAATGCAGAAATGTAAGTATAAACAATCTAGAGTTGAGGTTTCCCTAGCGGCATATACCAGGTCATTGAAAAAGTCAAAATGAAAAATTGTGTGTCTGTGTATATTGAAACTATGGCTTGTTTCACTTGAGCACATTGACTCTTGGTAAAATTAGCTGTTATTCAACTCAATTCAACAAAAAGTTATCAAACATTATGCTAAACAACTAATAATGTACAATGTGGTAATTGCCTGATAGAGACACAAAACACTCTAAATGAGAACAGGAAATAAATAATTAATACTTTGGGTACATTGAGAAACAGGAGGAAGTGATAATTGAAGCATGGATGGGATTTTAGTAGGCAGGGTTGGCTTAGAGGTGAGCAATTGCATTCTAGAGTGAGGATAACATTTTAATAAGGGTAAAAAGCCAGGAGCATGTTCTGGGAAAAGCAGTAGGTCTGCTTTTGATAGGAACATGTTTCCCGGGGGTTCGAGGGTGAGCAGGGGCATTGTGACCTGAAGCCACTGACAGGAGATAGGAATGGAAAGAGTCTAAGTCTGGGAGCGGAGTGCGGCCGACGAAGTCCAGACTGCATTTCTTGCTGAGTGGTATTGACACTTTTGTTTGCTGTTACCTCAAAATAATTTTTTAAATGATTTATATTGATATTAAAATTTTTTCATAGTATCTTTTTTTTTTTTTTTTTGGGACAGCATCTCACTTTGTCACCCATGCTGGGGTGCAGTGGCATAATCCCAACTCACTGCAACCTCTGCCTCCTGGGTTCAAGCAATTCTCCTGCCTCAGCCTCCTAAGTAGCAGGGATTACAGGCATGCACCACCACACCTGGCTAATTTTTGTATTTTTAGTAGAGATGGGGTTTCATCATGTTGGCCAGGCTGATCTCAAACTCCTGACCTCAGGTGATCCACCCTCCTGAGCCTCCAAAGTGCTCGGATTACAGGCGTGAGCCACCACGCCTGGCCAATTCAATATATTTATAAGCTTGAAAGTCTTCTATTGATCATTGTATCATCCTTCTGTGTATCAAAATATATGTATAAAATAAAATACAAACATTATTCTGATTAGAAGCCTCCAAAGATAGATAGATATAGATATAGATATAGATATAGATATAGATATAGATATATAGATATAGATTTTTTTTGAGACGCAGTCTCGTTCTGTCGCCCAGGCTGGAGTGCAGTGGCGCGATCTCGGCTCACTGCAAGCTCCGCCTCCCAGGTTCACGCCATTCTCCTGCCTCAGCCTCCAGAGTAGCTGAGACTACAGGCGCCCGCCACCATGCCTGGCAAATTTTTTGTATTTTTAGTAGAGACAGGGTTTCACCGTGTTAGCCAGGATGGTTTCAATCTCCTGACCTCGTGATCCGCCCGCCTCAGCCTCCCAAAGTGCTGGGATTACAGGCTTGAGCCACCGTCCTCCAAATATTTTTAAGAGAAACATTTCCTTTGGATTGTTATTAAATTATTACTAGTATACATTTCACCAAAACAGCATAAATATTAAAATTGTTTGAAATGCAGTCTTTAACGGCATGGATGTTGGGGGTGAATAGGCATGAGAACTCCTTATGTTGCTTAAAAAAGGCAACTTCACGTGTTCTGTGTTTGGTGACCTGATGCCATTCAGTAAAGGGGAGAGAGAGGGAGGTGTGAGAGGATACACAACATCAAGCCTTCACCACAGACAATCCAGGTTTAAGAAAAACTACAAAAGAAGTTGAAGACCTGGAAATGGACCTAATTAAAAATACTCTCACCGCCGCTTTGTTCCCTCCAGGTCTACCTACCCTTTGCCCATTTGAAGACTCAGACTTACGTTATGGTTTGTAAGAAAAAATTGTGAGACCTGGATAGTGCAAAGTTACACTCAAGAGATGGACTTAGAAAATAAGAGACTTCTGAGGGTTGGGTAGCACCAGAAATACATATTATTTGATGGGGTGTAGTGGATGAGGGCAAGAAATTCAGAGGTTTTGAAACTGGGTAACTGAGCAGGAGGAGGCTGTCATGCTCTGACAAGGAAATATTGCGTTCATTTTTGAACTTCTTTTATATAATCAGTGATTATGAGAAATCAAGTTTATTTAGGAGAAAATAAAATCAAACACCCAGATGGGAGTATTCCATTTGTTTTTAGTTTTAATGAGTCGTTTTGAATGTGTAATCATTGAACTTGTAAGGGATTGAATTTCCCTTTCTTCATTTCACTCAGCCGAAGACGTTTTAAAATGTTAATTTTACTCAGAGTAGCTTCATACTTGGTATATGTTATTTCATCTGGAATGCGTTCTTGCACTTTCTGAGACTAAGTCTTAGATACCCCTTGCAAAATAATTCCCAGTTTTCTCTGATGAATCGTGCCCATTAGTGAATTCTGTGGAGAGATGATCCTATGAGGATAGGGCAATAGCAATCATCTAAACATTATATAGAAAATTTTTGATGAGGCCGGGCACAGTGGCTCACGCCTGTAATCCCAGCACTTTGGGAGGCCAAGACGGGTGGATCACGAGGTCAGGAGTTTGAGACCAGCCTGGCCAACATGGTGAAACCCCGTCTCTACTAAAAATACGAAGAATTAGCTGGGCGTGGTGGCAGGTGCCTATAATCCCAGCTACTTAGGAGGCTGAGGCAGGAGAATTGCTTGAACCTGGGAGGCAGAGGTTGCAGTGAGCCAAAAACGTGCCCCTGCACTCCAGCCTGGGCAACACTGCGAGTCTGTCTCAAAAAAGGAAAAGAAAATTGTTGATGGTCCCCATCACTCTCCTTCCTTCCTAGTTCACTTCAGCATATTACACATTTTGTTAGACTCATCTTTGAAATATCTTTTTCCCTAGCTGTCTTCTATATTTGCAGTCTCTAAGTTTGAAACATTAAAAAGTCAGAGTACTTGATGTGGAAATCACTTTTTCTCACCTAAGATAGAAGGAAATTCTTATTTATTTATTTATTTATTTATTTATTTATTTATGAGACAGAGTGTGTCTCTCTTGCCTAGGCTGGAGTACAGTGGTGCAATCTTGGCTCATTGCAACCTCCACCTCCCGGGCTCAAGCAATCCCACCACCTCAGCCTCCTGAGATTACAGGGGTGCACCACCACTCCTGGCTTATCTTAGTATTATTTATGGAGACAGAATTTCACCATGTTGCCCAGGCTGGTCTCAAACTCCTGGGTTCAAGCAATCTGCCTGCCTCAGCCTCCGAAAGTGCTGGGATTACAGACATGAGCCACTGTGCCTGTTCTGAAGGAAATTCTTAGCATATAAATAAATAAAGTGTACTGGATTTCCTTAATCATTGTTATTTAGGCTTATGCTTACCTAGTTCTTTAGCCAGGTTAACATAAGGTATTAATAATGTAATTTACAACACATTTGCTCATTGGAAAGATCTGATCATTGGAAACACAAAGAGAGCACTGCAAAGCCTGCTCTTAAAAAAAATCAACTATAAAAATAAAAGACAAAAAACCCCAAAAGAACAAAATCCAAAAAAAGAAAAAAAAAACCAACTGTGATGTTACAAAAATTACAAAATTGAACATTTCAAAATGCTTCTGTATCAAATGACTTCTTCTGTTAACATTGGGCAAAACCTTGCAAAAAAGGGTAAGTTAGATTTTTTTTTTATTTGTAGAGACCACAGACTGCCAGAAAGGGGAATTTAAAATTACAATTTCCCCCTCTAATATAAATAAATCTATATTTTTAATGCATAAAATTGTGACTTCTATTTCATTTTAAAAAAACAACATTTTTTAGAAAGCTCAAGTCTTAAAAGTAAATTTGGCTTCCCAAATGGAACTTTTTCTTCATCTCTCTTTACATGCTAAAGGAGCTGTCTGATCCTATAGCTTTGGAGCTCATGTGTTTAAAAAAGCAGATTAAAATCTCAAGATACTCTGACAAGGTGTACTTAGACAAGCTGGCTTACCATGTAGTAACTAGAAATGCTTTTATTTACGTTCCAATTAAAGAACTGACATGTGAAAACAATTTTACCAAGTGAAAACAATTTAAGTAGAACAGGGATGGAATATGTCTCTTGTTGCCTTATAAAAAATATATGTTTATCAGTTTGTACTTAAAATCCATATTGATCAGTAGCAAAAGACTGCAAAGATCCCATTAATTTATTATTTAATTTTAAGTAATGTAATAAGAGCTAGTTAACTTAGTTTAAACGCATGAGACTTTTTTAAAAAACCCACCCATTTCTGACATAACCAAACTGAGGAAAATTTTGCAAATTATGAAAATTAAAAATTACCTTTGACATATATAATATTACATGTATTTTATATATCAGAAACTATACAATATAGGCCGGGTGCAGTGGCTCACGCCTGTGGTCCCAGCACTTTGGGAGGCCGAGGTGGGCAGATGACCTGAGGTCAGGAGTTGGAGACCAGCCTGGCCAACATGGTGAAACCCTGTCTCTACTAAAAGTACAAAAATTAGCCAGGCATAGTGGCGCACATCTATAATCCCAGCTACTCGGGAGGCTGAGGCAGGAGAATCGCTTGAACCCGAGGGGCTGAGGTTGCAGTGAGCTGCGATCATGCCACTGCACTCCAGCCTGGGCAACAGAGCGAGATGCCGTCTTAAAAATAACCCAAAAAGCTACATAATATATATCAGAGACTATGTATAATATACATAATACCTATATATTTTATGCCTTGTTTTAGAAAGACTACTTTCTACTCTTCTCCCACTCCCAGAAATGATTTATTGTTTGTTAACACCTTTATGCAAATTAGTTTGTGCTATTCCTCAAGAATTAGTGTATGTATAGAGAGGATTACAGGTAGATCAATCCATAGGAATGATGCTCTTGTGAGAGACATTTGATTGAGCAATGTCGAGGGCACTGGGTTTATATTCCATTGCCACCATTGTGCTGTGGTCATGGCATTTAATTTCTCTAAATCTAAGATCGCGTGAAGTAAAACTACTACGTTTTTTTCTGAAGTCTAAATGAGACAATGAATGTGACTCAGCACATTGTCTAGCACATACAGATGCAAACTGCTATCATTACTGTTGCTATTTATGCTACTACTACTGAAGCAGGATATTTCCCTGATCCCTTTGCAGGCAGGAACTAGAGTGCACAGGCACTAGAACTAGCCAGCCACTTCAGTGTCAGCAGGGGCAGAGTCTACTTGCTTGGTCCTGCTGTGTTCCACAGCTCATGGGTGGGGGAGTGCAGGTGAGCGGGTGCAGGAGCTGGGGCAAGTGCTTTTGGGTGCTAGCAGGCAAAAATCTCCATGGAGGCCCTGCAGCAGTTTCTAGGGAGGTGCCCGAGACCCCTGAAGCCCCAGAAGGAATGTTACAGTGCCATTTTAGCTTTGCCATTCGTGGACGGCTTAAGTGTTAACAGCTAAGTGGAGGGTGCACACACACTCGTGGCACCCAAATTCTTGTCTGGCTTCCAGGAGGAATGAGGTTGCATGATCGAATTAGAGATGGTAAATGCAGAGGATTTTTATTACTGATGAAGGTGGCTCCCAGCGGGAAGGGGAGCTGAAAAGGGGACGGATTGGGAAGGTAATCTCCTCTCCGAAGCTACGCCTTCAAGCTGTCCCTCTGAAGTCAAGCTGCTTCTCTCTGACGTCCAACTACAATCTCCAGTGTCCAGCTGCTTCTCCTTTGTCTGCTGGCTGAGCCTGGGGTTTTTATGGGCACAGTAACGGGGGGGGGTGGGGAAGGCTATGGGTGGTTTTGGAAAGGACAACATTTGAGCAGGAAAACAGGGATGTAAGTTCTCATTTTGGGCTGCAGTTCCAGGCTTGAGGATGGAGCCCTCACCAGGGACCTGCCCTTTTCTACCCAGAATTTCCCTGCCTCCCCTCCCTATCACTACTACTGTATCACTAATAGTGCCGTAATTTGGAATGGGCTAGGGAGCCTTATTAGTTCCTCTGTAATCATTCCAATTAAATGACTTCTTATGGCCCATTTTTCAAATACTTTTTTTTAGGTCGACGACTTGTAATTATACATATTTATAGGGTACAGTTTGACATTTCCATTCATATGTATGTTGCATAATGATCAAACAGGGTATTTAGCTTGAACATCACTTTACGTGTTCATCATTGCTTTGGGTGTGGACATTCAAAAGCCTCTCTTCTAGCTATTTTGTAATTACGTTCCATGGTTTTTTTGTTTGTTTGTTTTTGGTTTTGTTGAGACAGAGTTTCACTCTTGTTGCCCAGGCTGGAGTGCAGTGCTGCGATCTCGGCTCACTGCAACCTCTGCCTCCCAGATTCAAGCGGTTCCCCTGCCTCAGCCTCCCAAGTAGCTGGGATTATAGGCACCCGCCACCACTCCCAGCTAATTTTTTGTATTTTTAGTAGAGATGGGGTTTCACTATGTTGGCCAGGCTGGTCTTGAACTCCTGATCTCAGGTGATCTGCCCACCTCTGCCTCCCAAAATGCTGTGATTATAGGCGTGGGCCACTGCACCCCACCCTGTTCCATGTTCTTAAGACCTAAAGTCTTAAAATAACTTTAAAGCTAGGCATGGTGGCTCACACCTGTAATCCCAGCATTTTGAGAGGCTGAAGCGGGAGGATCCCTTGAACTCAGGAGTTCACTTGAACCTAGGAGGTGGACTCTGCAGTGAGCTGTGATCATGCCACTGCATTCCAACCTGGATGATGGAGTGAGACCCTGCCTCAAAAAAAAAAAACAACTTTTAAGACTTCCCTTTCTGTACAATGCATTTAAGAGGTGGGGGAGAGAATTGCCTATTCCTCTTTTCTTCTTTTACCTTCTTTCTCATTTTTATATGCTTTTCAAATGAAGAAATTTTTTCTTTTTGTATCTATTTATTTTTTCCATTCTCTCATCATAGCTCCAGGGACAACATTGTTCTAATGGTAATAACTTGTTCAGGAATGAGTCTAAGATGTTTTGCTGATTCTTATCTCTGATTCTCCTTTGTTTGTTGTTTTCATATTCAGATTTCTCTCTCCTGTTATGCTAATGTGGAAGTATTATGATCCCCTTGAGTCTAAGTGCTTGGGTGATTTGGACCCTGCTTAAAAGAAAGGTTTTCTTCCTTCGTTTTTGAGGAAATTGGGCTCAGACCTAATGATCTACTGTCAAGAAATACTGTTAGCTTTATATGTTAGTCTTTGAAAATCATTTCATTTTTCTCAAACTCACTAGATAGTATCACATATAATTTTATAATTTAGTTGTTTCAAGATGATAGCAAGAGTAATGAATCCTTCTTTTAATAATGGTTGTTTTCAGCAATGATTAGTTTTTTATTCTATTTTTCTCAATTTTTCAAAATTTAAAGAAACATGCATTGCTTTTAATAGAGAAAAAATGTATATTTTTAAAGAACAATGGAGATATTTTTTCATTACTTTATGTGCACTACTTATTTTATGCGTTTTTTTTCTAAGGGAATGGGACAGGTTCAGCCTTATAAGATACTACAAGCCCAACCCTCAAATGTACAATTCTCTCTTTAGAAGGACTTTAACAAAATGTGTAGTAATTGGTATATTTAATAAAAAAAAAAAAGTAAATAGAGAATCATTAAGTGATCTCCAAGTATGCTTATTTTTCTAAATATACTTTTAAAGATATATAAGTGGTATTATTAGACTTAGAAAAGCCAGAAGAACTGATATGGCAGGTCACTAGATTATTTTATAAAATATGCAGCCTTGTTTGTATTTTAAGACACTAGGTATATTATGTGTGTCAAAATCAGATCAAGTTAGAATTTTGAGAGTTTACTATGCATGCAAAAGAAAAGTTTATGAACCAGAAAGACCTCAAACTGAAAAATGGCACGAAGTCTCAATTTTACAGCCATTAAGACAGCACAGTTCATAGACTGTAAAATAGGAAGTATTTTGACCTTTCCCATGATTGGCTGTCCTATATTCTTCTTTAAGGCAAACAAAGATGTGTAAGCTGATTTGTCTATAGTTGATTGGTTTAACTTCACTGACTCAAAAGGACAAGAAGTTTATGTTTGTGTTTGGGGTTATTGTTCTGTGGAAATCAAGATGCCTTAAGTTTTGGTTACCTATGTACAGTGGCCTTGTGTATCTAAACTGTGTCCACCATTTTTATTTATTAAACCTATGTTATCTTTGCAGTTTGTCTGGAAACTTTTTTTTTTTTTTTTTTGAGACAGAGACTGTGTCACCCAGGCTGGAGTGCAGTGGCACAATCTCAGCTCACTGCAACCTCTGCCTCCTGGATTCAAGTGATTGTCCTCAGCCTCCTGAGCAGCTGGGACTATAGGTGTGCACCACCAAACCCAGCTAATTTTTGTATTTTTAGTAAAGACGGGGTTTTACCATGTTGGCCAGGCTGGTCTTGAATTCCTGACCTCAAGTGATCCGCCCACCTCAGCTTCCCAAAGTGCTGGGGGGTTATAAGCGTGAGACACCGTGCCTGGCTAGGAAACGTTTTTATCTTTAAAAATTGAACTCTACTTGGGGTAAAACCTTTTGTTGCTCTTGCAACAGTTAACTTCTTCTTCCCGTGTTTTACCTTCATAATTGATAGGCACTTCCATCCTAATATTTATTGAAAAATAGTTAAGAAAAAGGATGCTGTGCTATGACAAGATTGGGTTCTAAATCCAGTTATTCCACTTACTGCTCTTGACTATAGACACATCATTTTATTTTATTTTTTTGGGACAGGGTCTTACTCTGTTGCCCAGGTTGGAGTGTAGTGGCACAATCACGACTCACTGCAGCCTTGACTTCCTGGGCTCATGTGATCCTTCTACCTCGGCCTCCCAAGTAGCTGGAACTCCAGGCACACACTACCATCCCCAGCTTTTTTTTTTTTTTTTTTCACCTGTAGACATGGGGTCCCACTAGTTGCCCAGGCTTAACTTGAATTCCTACATTCAAGCTATCCTCCCACCCTGGCCTCCCAAAGTATTGAGATTACAAGTGTGAGTCACTGCATCCAGCCAGACATATCATTTTAAACATCTCTAAACTTTGGTGTTTTTATCCGTAACATGAGAATGCATCAGTGGATTAATCAAAGTCCTTCAAAGAAACATAATATGTGTGTGTGTGTGTGTGTGTGTGTGTGTGTGTGTGTAGTGAGGGAGAATTCACTCTTGCTCTGCCATTTTGTTTAATTTGAGCCCTCAAAGGATTGGATGCTACCCACCCATTGATGAGGATGGATCTTCTTTTACTCTGTCTGCTGATTGAAATGCTAATCTGTTCTGGAAATACCCTCACAGACACCCAGAAATAATGTTTTATCAGCTATCTGCGCATTCAGTAGCCCTGTCAACACGTAACATTCACAATCATAGTAAGGATAAACTAAGTTATGTTGTATAGTAAAATCGCCTCCAAAATCTCAGTGGCTTATACCAACAAACATTTATTTCTTGTTCATGTTACACACCCATCATGTACTGGCTGAAGTTCTGTTCTAGTTTTCTCCACTTCAGAACTTAGACCATGGAGTTAGGGGGGAAAAGAGACTGAGAGAATCACTGGTTTTTTTGTTTCTATTTTTATTTATTTATTTATTTTGAGACTGAGTATCGCTCTGTCGCCAGGCTGGAGTGCAGTGGCACGATCTCAGCTCACTGAAATCTCCGCCTCCCGGGTTCAAGCAATTCTCCTGCCTCAGCCTCCCCAGTAGCTAGGATTACAGGCACGCACCACCACTCCCAGTTAATTTTTTTTCTTTTTTGTATTTTTAGTAGAGACGGGGTTTCACCACGTTGGCCAGGATGGTCTTGATCTCCTTACCTCATGATCCATCTGCCTCGGCCTCCCAAAATGCTGGGATTACAGGTACGAGCCACCGTGCCTGGCTGAGAACCACTGGTTTTAAGTCTTTTATCCTGAAGTAGCGCGTGTCATTTCTGCCCACATTTCATTGGCCATCCCAAGTCATATGGCTACTCCTGCCTATAGGCAGGGGTTATACTACTCCCACAGAGACAGAAGCCAGAATACTTACTGGCAAACAGTAATACGGTTTACCGCAGAAACAGTAAAAAAAAATACCTATGTCATAGCATCAGGAGTCAAATGAGATGCACTCAAACTGTTCCGCAGACTGCCTAACACTGAGTAAGTGCTTCATTGACAAACAAGGCAATTAGATGCTTACACGTTTATAGAATGCAGAGGAGATTATTGTCTACTTTGCATCCCCAATCCCAGAAAGATAGTTTGATGTTTAGTAAGTATTTGCTTAGCTACATCATTTACATACCAAGGAAGTCTTAACTAAAGCAGTTAAATCACTAGGCCATTTTTCTGTGTACTGCTTAAACCATGGAACTAAAGTTACCTAAGGTAAGCCTCAGTTTGGATAATCAGGTCATAGATAAATGACTTAAATATTTTAAGATAAATCTTTAACATCTGCCTTTCCATTGGATTCCTCAATTATGTATATCATATTTAAGAGAAGCCAATAAAACTCTCTGAGCTGACGGTACAGCCTGAGCTGCCCTTTCCCCATTAAATTGATCAGCTATTGATTCGTTCTGTTGGTGTGTAGCAGTCTTTTCTTAAATGGAACAAAGGCAATTGTGTGTGGATTTTAAGGCTTTTTATAGCGTATACCTGTTCATATAATGTTTGTTTGAATCACCAAAGATTTTGCTGTTAGTTTTAGTTTTTCTCTTTGTTATTTTATTTCAAAACTAATACAGCAAAATTGAGTTTTTCATATGTGTTCCATTCTATGAATTTTAAAATATATATATATAGATACATGTAACCACCACCACCATCATCATTAGACAAAAACTCTATTTTGATTTCTTGTCCTTAACAGAGCAGAATAATAATTTAAAAATAAAATAGGCTCGGCGTGGTGGTTCACATCTGTAATCCTAGCACTTTGGGAGGCTGAGACAGGCAGATCACCTGAGGTCAGAAATTCGAGACCAGCCTGGCCAACGTGGTAAAACCCTGTCTCTACTAAAAATACACAAATTAGCTGGGCGTGGTGGCACGTGCCTGTAGTCCCAGCTACTCAGGAGGCTGAGGCAGGAGAATCTCTTGAACCCAGGAGGTGGAGGTTGCAGTGAGCCAAGATCGCAACACTGCACTCCAACCTGGGCAAGAGAGCAAGACTCTGTCTCAAAAATAAAAAATAATGAAAAAAATAAAACACTGATAATATTAGTTGAAAATAAATGTGTTTGTGTGTGTAATTATAACTGTTAGCATTTTATCATTGGTTTCAAGATGTGTATTTCTATCTTCATAATGTAAAGCCTGATGATTGTGACACTAAGATGAATTGGTAATGGTAAGGGAACACTGAAGTCCTTTTACATTTCTGTGAACGCTAATTACAACAGATGTTTTGTCTCAACCTGTTTTAGCACAAATACTGAAAACGTTAACTCTTAGCAGTTTAGAAGAGAATTTCCTGTTACAGTTAAGTTATAGATCAAATGTAAATTAGAATCTGTTCACAATATCTAATCTTTGTCATTTGGGTCGTAAGAATTGGAAAGTTTCCTTTCTTGCGCTCCCTCATTCACTTTCTGATGCGATTAATGAAAATGTATTAGTAATTGCTAGAGTAAATACAGATACTGGTAATTTACTTAGTAGCTGTTACAGTGCCATTAATGAAGTAATGGATGAAATATGTTTCTGGTCTTATTCTATCTTATATGACTTGGTAAGTGTCGAAGGTGAATCCAGAAATAGGATTTCCTAGAACACTGGCATTGGTCTTTCGAACATTGCCTAGAAGTCTTTGTAGGACTTATGCCAAAATAACCATACTGATTTATTGGGACATTCAGTCATTTATACATTCAACTACAATGTAAGTATTTGGGGCCAGGAATTGAGCAAGGGAATAGGGAAATGAACATAAACAAGATATACCTGTGGGATATGAGGATGTATGGTTTAATTGCAGGATAGGGAAGTAAGTGCTAATACAAATCTATACATTGTGCTTTGGCATTGAGAGTAGAGCTATCAACTGTCTGGAAAAAGATATAAAAAACATAATATCGTTACAGCAGGGATGAAAGCATTATGCTGAGTGAAATAAGCCAGATACAAAAGAACAAATATTATATGATTTCAATTGCAGTAGTTAAATTCATGGAGACAGTAGAATTGTGGTTATGAGAGGCTTGAGGAGCAGTTATGGGAGAGTTGTTTAATGGGTACAGAGTTTCAGTCTGGGAAGATCAAAAGGTTCTGGAGATGGACAGTGGGTGGTGGTTTGTCCAACATTGACTGGACTTAATGTCACTGAACTGTATACCTAAAAATGGTTCAAAATCAACCAGTCTTGCCTGGGCACGGTGGCTAATGCCTGTAATCCCAGCACTTTGGATGGCAGACGTGGGTGGGTCATTTGAGGTCACGAGTTTGAGACCAGCCTGGCCAACACGGTGAAACCCCATCTCTACTAAAATACAAAAATTAGCCAGGCATGGTGGCGGGCGCCTGTAGTCCCAGCTACTCGAGAGGCTGAGGCAGGAGAATTGCTTGAACCCAGGAGGCAGAGGTTGCAGCGAACGGAGATTGTGCCACTGCACTCCAGCCTGGGTGACAGAGTGATATTCCCTCTCAAAAAAAAAAAAAAAAAAAAAAAAATCAACCAGGCTCAGTGTCATGCATCTGTCGTCCCAGCTACTTGGGAAGCTGAGGTGCGTACATGGCTCCAGTTCAGGGGTTTGAGTCTAGCCTGGGCAACATAGCGAGACCCTGTCTCTTTAAAAAAAAAAAAAAGTTTAAAATGGTAAATTGTATGTCTGTTTTACCACAATAAAACAATAAAAGTAGGAATTTTAAAAATATAATATCATTATCATTAATAGTCACATTCTCTTCATTTTAAGAGATTCTTAATTTAAGGAATTTTTATACTTTTCCCCCACCTTTTTTTTTCTTTTCTTTTTTTTTTTTTTTTTTTTTTGAGATACTCTATCACCCAGGCTGGAATGCAGTGGCGCAATCTTGGCTCACTGCAACCTCCAACTCTTGGACTCAAGCAATTCTTGTGCCTCAGCCTCCTAAATAGCTGGGATTACAGGCACACGTGACCATAGTCAGCTTTTTTATATATATATATATGTATTTTGTATTATATGTATATAAGTATTTTGTATTATTAGTAGAGATGGGGTTTCACCATTTTGGCCAGGCTGGTCTCAAACTCCTGACCTCAAGTGATGTGCCTCAGCCTCCCAAAGTGCTGGGATTACTAGTGTGAGCCACTTTATCCAGCCCACTTTTCTCCCATTTTTTGTCTCTGTTATAATTTTTCTAATAAGATCTTATATGTACCAGCTAATCTCTAGCAAGGCTATGCCATTAGAATGTTTGTGTTAGAGCCAGGAAATGTGGGTGAAACTTGCTTTGCCACCTTAGTCAAGCTAATATAATTCAGAACATCTGAAATAGTTTTGCATGAAATGATATATTTAATAAATTCTAAATTCCCATGTTTTATTATTTAATTGAAATAAGGCTAGGCATGGTGGGCATGGTTGCTGATATCTGTAATACCAGCGCTTTGGGAGGCTGAGGCAGGAGGATCATTTGAGTGCAGGAGTTCAAGATCAGCAAGCGTGGGCAACATAGTGAGACCCCGTCTCTAGGAAAAATGTAAAAATTAGCCTGGCGTGGTGGCATGTGCTTGTCATCCCATCTACTCGAGAGGCTGAGGTGGGAGGATCACTTGAGGTGAGGAGGTCAAGGCTGCAGTAAGCCGTGATTGCACTTTTGCACTCCAGCCTGGGCAACAGAATGAGACTCTGTCTCAAAGAAAAAAAAAAAAAGAAATAAATCCTTAGATGTTACAATATGGTTAACCCTTGAAACCAATAAGTGAAAGAAGCCAGTCAGAAAACAAGTCACATATTATATGAGTCTATTTATATAAAATATCCAGAATAGGCAAATCTGTAGAGTTAGGAAGTAGACTAGTGGTTGTTTTAGAGCTAGGAGAAGGGTTCATGAAATGAGGGAAAATGGGAGTGGCTGCTAATGGGTACAGGGTTTGTTTTGGGGGAAGGAAAATGTTCTAAAATTAGATTGTGGTAATGGTTTTACAATCCCGTGAATATACTAAAAAATGTTAATTGTATATTTTGAATGGATAAATTGTATATGAATTATATTTCAAACTATTTTAAAAATATTTAAAGGGAATGGTATAGTTTGTCTTTTTTTGGAGGTTTTTTTTTTCTTTAGCATTTAACTTAAATGAGCTGAAAACAACAGAGCAGTGTAAAGTTTAGCATTTTGAACATGCATGTACTTCATAACAAAGCTATCATCTGAGAGGGCTTTCTGTTTGATCGCTATTGGTGTGGATGTAAACGCATCTCAATGCAAGTGTCAACATATTCTTCACATACTGAGTGATTGCACAGGGGCCATGCTAGTGTCATTCCAATTTTAGTATATGTGCTGCTGAGGCAAGCACATACTGAGTGATTTTGTTAAGCCAATAGTACATATATTCAAAACTAGGTAGAATGTAATGATGAATTTGATGACTATAGGGCAATAAAAATGAAATTTAGCAGTTCTTTTAAAAACGTATCCATACATAGAACTGCTTTTTAAAATTAAGTCTGTTTTCATTCAATTTATTTTTTTCTTTATATTTTAAGTTCAGAGAAAAATAACAAACATTGAGATGATTATCACTTTGTAAGATGAGGATTCCATGGAATAGTACCAGATGGAAACACTGTTTTTTAATCTGGTTAGCCATTCTGCAGTTCCTGCCTGTAAAATGGTTAATATCTATATTTTAAGCAGCCTTAATACATCAGCCCTTCCATTATAAATGACCCAATATTAAAACACATACTTTTTCCATGCTCGCTGCTACCAGAGCTCCTCAACTGCTCCCCCTCCCATGTGAGCAGATACATGCCCACCAAATCTGCCCTTCAGCTCAGACTCACCCAGCTCAGAGCACCGAGCTGCTCATGACTGCCCTTCTTTCATCAGCCACAATTTGAGCTAAATGCTTCTTTTTCCCTTGGTAAACCTGAGACCCTTCCCTTCACTTGTAAATTACTTTCATAAGAAAATGCATTGTGGGCTGGGAGCAGTAGCTCATGCCTGTAATCCCAGCACTTTGGGAGTCCAAGGCAGGGGGATCACCTGAGGTCAGGAGTTCGAGACCAGCCTGGCCGATATGGTGAAACCCAGTGTCTACTAAAAATACTAAAATTAGCCAGGTACGGTGGCAGGCACCTGTAATCCCAGCTACTCAGGAGGCTGAGGCAAGAGAATCACTTGAACCCAGGAGGTGGAGGCTGCAGTGAGCCCAGATTGTGCCTCTGCACTCCAGCCTGGGTGACAGAGTGAGATGAAAAGAAAAAAGAAAAGAAAAGAGAAAATGCACTGTGGTTTCAATCTCAAGCTTCAGCATACCTTTAGAAATATAATCCATGATGGGGCTACCTTTATTTAAAGTGTCTTCATTGTTACAGGCATACCTCAGAGATACTGCAGGTTTGGTTCCAGACCTCTGCAAAATAGCAAATATCACCATAAAGCAAGTTACGTGAATTTTTTAGTTTCCTAGTGTATGTAAAAGTTATGTTTATACTATATTATAGTCTAGTAAGTATACAATAGCGTTATGTGTAAAAAATGTACATACCTTAATTTTAAAATACTTTATTGCTAAAAAATGAGCCTTCAGCGAGTTATTATCTTTTTGCTTGTGATGGGTCTTGCCACGATGTTGATGGCTATGGACTTATCAGAGTGGTGATTGCTAAAGGTTAAGAAAGGAGCTGTGGCAGTGCAGCTTCTCTCAAAATTGGAGTCAACCCTGTCAAACTCTGCTTTATCAACTACATTTGTATATTATCATAAATACTTTGTTGTCATTTCAACAGTCTTCACAGTGTCTTCAACAGGAATACATTCCATCTCGAAACCACTTTCTTTGCTCATCCATAAGAAACAACTCATCATCTGTTCAAGTTTGATGATGAGATTGCAGCAATTCCGTCATATCTTCAGGCTCCACTTGTAATTCTAGTTGTTTTCCTGTTTCCACCACATCTGCACTTACTTTCTCCATTGAAGTCTTGAACCCCTCAAAGTTATCCATGAGGGTTGAAATCAATGTCTTCCAAACTCCTGTTTATATTGATATTTTGTTCTCCTCCCATGAATCATGAATGTTCTTAACAGCATCTGGAATGACGAGTCCTTTCCAGAAGGCTTTTAATTTACTTTACCTAGATCCACCAGAGGAATCACTATGGCAGTTATAGCCTTACAAAAATGTATTTCTTATATAATGAACTTGAAAGTTGAAATTACTCCTTGGTCCATGTACTGCAGAATGGATGTTGTGTTAGCAGGCACGAAAACATTAATCTCTTTGTACATCCCCATCAGATCTCTTAGATGACCAGGTGCATTGTCCATGAGCAGTAATATTTTGAAAGGAATCTTTTTTTCCTGAGCAGTAGGTCTCGATAGTGGGTTTAAAATATCCAGTAAACCATGCTGTCAACACATGTGCTCTCACCAGGCTTTGGTGTTCCATTTATAGAGTACAGACAGAGTCAATTTATCATAATTCTTGAGGGCCCTAGAATTTTCAGAATGGTAAATGAGAATTGGTTTCAACTTACAGTCACCAGTTGCATTATCCCCTAACAAGAGAGTCAGTCTTTATGTCCTCTGAAGCTTTGAAGCATTGCTTCAAAGCCTTTTGTATTTACTTCTCTTCTCTACCTATGAAAGTCCTAGATGCCACCACTTTTTAATAGAAGGCTGTTTTGTCTACATTGAAAATCTGCGGTGTGCCATAGCCATCTTCATCAGTGATCTTAGCTAAGTCTTCTGGATAATTTGCTACAGCTTCTACTTCAGCACTTGCTTATTCAGTTTGCACTTTCATGTTATGGAAACAGCGTTCCTTAAACCTCATGAACCAACCTCTTCTAGCTTCAAACGTCTTCTGCAGTCTCCTCACTTCAATCAGCCTTTATAGAATTGAAGAGAGTTAGGGCCTTGCTCTGGATTAGGTTTGTGCTTAAGGGAATGTTGTGGCTGGTTTGATCATCTATCCAGACGACTGAAACTTTCTCCATATCAGCAATAAGGCTGTTTGACTTTCTTATCATTCATGAGTTCACTGGAGTGGCACTTTTGATTTCCTTCAAGAACTTTTCCTTTGCATTCATAATTTGGCTGACTGGTGCAAGAGGCCTAGCTTTTAACGTGTCTCAGCTTTTGACATACCTTCCCCACTAAGGTTAATGCCTTCTAGCTTTTGATTTACAGTGAGAAACGTGGGACTTTTCCATCCACTTGAATATTTAAAGGCCTTCGTCAGGTTATTAATTGGCCTAATTTCAATATTGTTGTATCTCAGAGGATAGGGAGGCCCAAGATGGGAAGAGCCAGTTGGAAGAGCAGTCAGAACACACACAACATTTATTAAATTTGCCATCTTATATGGGCGCGGTTTGTGGCACCCCAAAATAATTACAAGAGTAACATCAAAGATCACTGATGACAGATCATCACATCAGATACAGTAATAATTTAAAAAGTCTAAAATATTGCAAGAATTACCAAAATGTGACACAGAGATACGAAGTGAGCACATGCTGTTGAAAAAATTTGCCAGTGCACATGCTTGACACAGGGTTGCCACAAACCTTCAATTTGTAAGAAACACAATATTTGGGAAGCACAATAAAATGATGTATGCCTGTACTTATGTATATACCTATAGATTTACATATAATTATTCATTTGTTCCAGAAATTAAGGCAGGCTGATTAAATGCCTGTTTACCTACTTGAATATATGTTTGTTTACCTGGTCGAGCCAAACTGAAATATTACTGAATGAAAGTTTGTCTTCCTATTGAAATTACAATTTACACCTCTTTTCGTGTATGTTGATGTAGTTGTAACCCATATCTGTATTTAAATGTTTAGTGGTGTGCTTAGCACAGTATAAGCTATTGTAGAAATGCAGAGGGAAGAGTAAAATATAATTTCTGGCCTTGTAGCAGCCTTGTAGCATTCAGTTCTGGAGATTCATTATTGTATTGCCAGGAAGAGCTAAGTAAACACTTTGGTAACACCAGGAACAAGTTGCTGAGAAGTCATAAAGGAAGAAGATTCTGAAAGATGAAGAGAACACAAGTTGTCCTAAACTAAGAGTGCTGAGCAAGGAGAGGAATGGAAGAGAAAGCAAAACAAAAAATACATACTTTGTCTCCTTGGGGACATTAATCTGTGTTAAGTCATGATTCTCTCAGTGGTAGAAACATGGACTTTAATTAAGGGGCAAGTGTATTTTTATTTTGTGTTCTAGCAGTATAAAGTTGCAAGGCCTGTAGTATGAAGCTAAAGATAATTACTAGTGGGAAGGTTTATTTTGAGAACCACGGGGGTGGCGGGGGGAGGGGGAAACCACTACATTTATCCTACTTGTTTGCTATTAACATTTTAATTTGTAAATTGGCATACTGTAGCAGGGCAAAGTTTCATCTAGCTCAGTATCCTGTTTATAGTAAGAGGCCACCCTGAGTGTTTCCAAGAGAAACTGCACCACCCTCTCTGGCCCGGGGTCATGTTTGCTGGTAAACCCCTTTCAAATTTATGTCATGCAAATCAGTACCAGTTATTTCTCCTTCACTTGCTAGTTCGGGAACTAGCTTATCAGAAAGCTGTTTTATTTATTGATAGGTTCCCTGTAATCCATATAAAATTGTGATACAGGGAACTTAAAATACTTACCAAAAGAAAAAAAATAAAAAATTAGATGATTTACATATGGAGTGCTTACTCTATTAGCATATACTGGATTATCTTAATTTATTTTCACAATAGCCCAGTAGCCCTATGAGGTGAATATTATCCTTCTCTCCATTTTATAGATGAGAAGAAGGTACACAGCCTGAGTGTGAAGTTTCATCTCGCAAAGTGTATTACATGTCAAGATGTCATTTCTCACCGCAATAGATATGTCTAAAGCTGTGAGTGCTGCCACTTTAGAAAACAAAGATCTTTGTACAGTTATGTTTCTTAAATTTGGGGGGGATTTTGATGTTCAAGTGTGAAGAACCTGAAAGGCAGAGTATTCTAGCATAAGGCCAGCATATTTACTGTAGGATGCGTAATGTGAGTGTGGCTCTGCCTCGCCCAGCTCCAAGTGTGCAGTATGGCTACAAAGAGGCTGCTGAGGCCAGGCGCGGTGGCTCACGCCTGTAATCCCAGCACTTTGAGAGGCTGAGGCAGGCGGATCACCTGAGGTCGGGAGTTCAAGACCAGCCTGACCAACATGGTGAAACCCCATCTCTACTAAAACCACAAAAATTAGCTGGGCGTGGTGGCACATGCCTGTAATCCCAGCTACTTGGACGCTTAGGCAGGAGAATCACTTGAACCCGGGAGGTGGAGGTGGCAGTGAGCTGAGATCGCGCCAGTGCACTCCAGCCTGGGTGACAGAGCAAAATTCCATCTCAAAAAAAGAAAAAAGAAAAAAAAAAAAAGAGCCTACTGAATACCCAGCCCAGAAATGTAACAGTTTCATGAAAGTGTATCCAGCTGCTTTTCTACTAAATAAGAAATTCTTCAACTCCAATTCCAATTTAGTAGTCTATATGTAACAAGGTTAATAAGGTATATACCTATTAATTCCTGGTAGAGAAAGTGTGGATAAAGGATATCTATGAGTAATTGTATTTGATAATCTTAGTGAAAGGATTATTTTAAACAACCGCTGCTAAGAAGGTGACTGATTTGAGTTCATCTCTGGGCTTCCCCTTTGGCTAAAATGCTAATGTTCACAGTCAATGAAAAGAAAATGGAGAAACACAGGGCATGGTTGATCCGTATGCATGACTAACTCTTGAAGAGCTGAGAGGTAACTGGACGGAATTAGCTGGCTCTTTGATTCCATAAGATCCTTCAAAATATTTTTTGAAGGATGAAATGAGGTAACAGATGTGAAAGTGCAATACTTTGAAAACTAAGAATCACTGGACACATGCAACTTATTAATGAGCCACTCCCTTTATGACATTTTTATTCACTACTGGACTCTGAAAGGCCGTATGTGCCTGCTGTCTCTTTCTTTTCACTTTTCTTTTTCTTTTTTTCTTTGTTTCTTTTCTTTTTTCTTTTTCTCTTTCTCTCCTTCCTTTCCTCCCTCTCTTTCAAATCGATGACCTGACAGCATGCAGCAGTGGAGAAGGGCCACATTAGTCATCTTACCTAATGCTTACATGAATGGTGACATTACAGAACTTCACCTCTGTCACTCTTTCTTATTCGCCCCCTTTGTATCCTTGGAGGAATTTTTAAACACTCTCTGAGTTTTTAATGTTTTTCACTTAAATGTATTCTCTTTCGCTTGGCAAGATACGTTCTTCTTAATCTTCATCTCTTCTTTCTCTTCTTTTTATGCATCTTAAGTATGAAAGTTAGTAGGTGCCCAGTGGTGAAGTGGCTGGCCTCACTGTCGGGTCATGTGCCTTTTGCGTAATAGATACTCAAAAAATATGTGACTGAAATTAAAAAAAAAAAAAAAAAAAAAAAAGAAAGAAACAGGTGAGTTGTAGAGTTTTTTTCCTGATTTTTTTTGTACAAATATGTCATTTGTCTTGGCAATAATATTTGTATTAAAAAATGTGTTAACCTAAATTTGGAAACTTTCTGTATTCCAGTATAGGGGATTATGGGATCTCAAGTGTTTGCCTTAAATACTGATGTTTTTCCCACAAATGTAACAAGGCAGAATGTAAAACTCCTTGGAAGTGAAGTAGAAATGGTGTTTGTTTTGGAATCCTGAAAAATCTTTTTACTCTTTAGGCATTATGTGACTTTATCTCTGTTTTGTCACCTAAGAGAAACAGCGAGCATGAGGAAATAATTGTTGTGTGGAATCCTCTGAAAGTGATATTGAATTCCCAAATCTCATCATAGAATATTACCAACTGATGTTCACTTTAAGAGCCTTGATGATTGGTCTGTTTTCAGCTAGTATGTTTATTTGCTTGCGCTTGTGGTGTTGATGTGAGGAAAACCATTCCACAATTTGTTAAAATGATTAGTGTTTTCTCCTTCCATTTTTTTAAGGAAATGGCAAAAATCCTTAATCACCCCAGAGTCTACGCTTTTCTGCACATACCAGTCCAGTCTGCCTCCGACAGCGTACTCATGGAAATGAAAAGAGAATACTGTGTGGCTGACTTCAAAAGAGTAGTGGATTTTCTGAAAGAGAAGTAAGTCTGTTAGTACTTAAGAAAATAACCATTTCTTTTTTCTTTCAAAAGCTTGTGGCAAAAATGCACTTATTGCAGCCTTACAATTAAAGGTACAAGAGAGAAGGCGAGACTTTCGAAGCTTTCAAAGCCTTTAAGTCTCCTTGGCACCTTTGATGTGGTTTTTTCTTTCTCCTCAGTTTATATCCACCTTCCATCTGTACATGACACACCATTAATTTGTGTAAGATTGCCAGTCTTTTTAAGGTAATGTGAATTGTGATTATTTTTATACCTGACCTGGTGGATGAAAACTGCTTTAGCTTTGCTCTGTGTAAATCTCCTTTAATGTGGCTTTTTGAAGTTATGAGCTGGTTTTGACATGGACAGAGGCCAAATTGTGTCACTACAAAATAGATAATTTTCTACTAAACAGCATTTTTTAAAGAGTATCTGGAATGTCTATGCTTTTACACACGAAGCCCTGCAGTTTGCTTAAAGAATTGTGATTTACAAGAAGGTTTGAGGATTCTACTTTTTAAAGTTCAAATTGCTATTGACCAAAATTAAGGCATATTTACACAATGTCAGACATGAATGATAATTTTGTTTCCACAGAAAATACTTTCAGCCCTTAATTATGTTCTTCAAAACCCTGCTCCTCATCATCACCAAACATTGACTGCCTTCTGTGATTATGCTAGGCAGGAAATGGAAGTGTTGGCCCAGGTCACACAGAGCCTTCTCAAGTCTACATCACTGTTCTCCCCTCTGGGGATATGTCATTTGTCTTGGCGTATTTGTGGCCTGGGTCTTCCTACTTTTCATACATTTTTTCCATAGCCTTTTCCTTTGTTGTTTTTCTTAATTAAGATACAACTTTTTATTTCCATCGTCTTGTTTATAATTATGTACCTTTGTACTATGTCAGAGTACTGCATGGATACGATTGCTTTATACAAATTGTAAGCAATTATTTTTTCCACCTTTAATTAGTCATTTATCCTAACTGCATATGATCATTTTAAAAATCTTTTTCTTTTTTTTCCTTTTTCTATTCTTCCATACCTTTCCATTACATATCTTTCTAAGTTTTTTTTTAACCTCTAGGCATTCTTGATTATCCTAACCACCAAGAATAAAGCTACTTAGTGTACATTCAGACAAATACAGCTAATTGTCCAAATATTCAAATCAGTGCATAGAAGCTGTATTTGTTAAGTGCTACAGCCTTCAAAGTGGAAAATGGAAAATAGATCTCTACCCTTTTTAATACTTTCAAATCTTGAACAGAACTGTGTTAGGCTAAAGAATATAGATTTTTATTTGTTTAAGTATCTGCTGTTGGCCTATAGCCCTTTCTTGCCTTTCTTCTATTATTGCAGGCAAATTTGTCTCATATAAAAGAGTTCTTTTGGGCACTCTGGCACTGGTAAATGGAATATTTTCAAAATTTCAAGTCAGTTGCACTTGTGAAATTTCTTCCTTCTTTGCCTATTACAGCAGTAGCCAATAAAAACTTGATACTTGTTACACAATATTTTCCCAAGTATAAACATGCATCCCGGGTGCAGAATAGACTAGAACACTTTCCAGATAGTTTGTTGCATTAGTGTGATTAAACGAGGTTAAGGAATCAGCACCTCTCTTTTATCTTTATTTGGTTGAGGGCTGACTCAGTTGTTGGAGGAATTACTGTGGCTACTTAAATGGGCAACAATTTCACAAGTTACGTTGTTCTGGAGGTCTGTTAAATCTGTTCCATCTTGGACAGTTCCAACAGCCTCTATGAGCTATATAGAGGTAAAAAGATGATCATGTCAGGTATTAGGAAATAGTCTCTTGGATTTCTTTGGATCTGGGTCCTTTCGTTGGATTCTGAGTTATTGTGAGGCATCTATGTAGTTTTTCTAGAAGTATTCAACCAACTGGAGGATCCTAGAACCAACTATGTTTCCCAGGGATCTCTAGTATTTCTAGCAATGAAAATATTAGACATACCTGGAGAAGATATTGGAGATGCCTGGAGATCACACTCCATCCCATACCCCCCCATATATAGTTTCAGTTTCAAGTGCCATGCGTCAATTAGATTGTAGAGTATGAGTCTAGTCAGTTAGCATCTCTGAGAGATTTTTAAATTAACGCTGTATTGTGTATATGCAGCAAGGGCAGAAGCAACCCTGGTATATAATTTCACATTTAGATTATAAGTAAGATATATTGCAAAACTGTAGTAGGCAGCCAATATGATATACCTGCTTATGTATAGCAGATGACTGAGAAAACTTCAGGTAACCTATTTTAAAAAAAAAAAAAAAAATCAGATTATCACTGCCAATAAAGTGATCCTAGGCCCAGTGCGGTGGCTCACACCTGGAATCCTAGTACATTGGGAGGCTGAGGTGGATGGATCTCCTGAGCTCAGGAGTTCAAGATCAGTTTGGGCAACATGGTGAAACCCCGTCTGTATCAAAAATACAAAAAATTAGCTGATCGTGTTGGCTCGCACCTGTGATCCCAACTACTTGGGAGGCTGAGGTGGGAGAAACAATTGAGCCTGGGAGGCGGAGGTTGCAGTGAGCCAAGATTACGCCACTGCACTCCAGCCTGGGTGACAGAGTGAGACCTATCTCAAAAAATAAAAAAGTGATCCTTGCATAGTTTTAGACAGTTCATCAGAACCATAAAATTGTGTATTTTGTCTAGTCCATCTGTTGTGAAGAATAATATAGACTTACTCCCATGAGGACAGTATAATCAGCTTTGCCATTTAGCGAAAAAGAGTTTTCCTGTCCTCTTGGGGAAGTCCATCTACCTGGTGAGTAATTTCCAACTATTATGGACATTTAGAAGTAGATGAAATATTTTAGACTAGGCACAGTGGCTCACACCTCTAATCCCAGCACTTTGGGAGGCTGAGGTGGGTGGATCACCTGAGGTCAGGAGTTTAAGACCAGCCTGGCCAACATGGTGAAACCATCTCTACTAAATATATATATATATATATATATATATATACACACACACACACACACATATATACACACATACCTACACAAAAATTAGCCAGGCATGGTGGCACGTGCCTGTAATCCCAGCTACTGGGGAGGCTGAGGCAGGAGAATCACTTGAACTCGGGAGGCAAAAGTTGCAGTAAGCTGAGATCGTGCCACTGCACTCCAGCCTGGGTGACAGAGTGAGACTCCATCTCAAAAATAAAAAAAGAAAGAAAAAAGAAATAAATGAAATATTTTAAATAGTTCTTATGTTTGACCTACCTTCCGCTATAAAAACTAGTATAGCTTTATGCCAAATAGATTAGTGCTCATTTTGGAAACACCAAAGTTTCAGGGCTTTCTTTAGAGCCACTAGCCTGGATAACTGATCCAGCACAAAATTGTCTTGTCCAGCCTTTATTAAAATTCAACACAGTATTTTCACTCTTGGAGGGGCCTAACACTATCATGTTGCCCTGATTTGTGCCTAACGCTCATTCATAAAATGATCCTGACTTAAAGTGGTATGTTTGGTGCTTTCTTTTTCTGTTTGCTTTTTAAATCCTTTCTAAATGGCGGCCCATTTCATTTACATCTCTCATTTCCCCTGAAGTCTTTGAAGCCTTTTTTGTAATGTGCCTTTAACAAATAAGTCTCTCTTTTTTCTCCAGCAGTGTGAGGCTTCTCAAATATTTGTGTTATGAGTTATGGACAAGGCATTTCCTGATCTGTTTCCTTAAAAAATCCATTTTTTAAGACAACCTATAGCATTTAAGATTGAAATCCAAACTGTGGGAGTTTACCTGAAGCTGCAAGCTTTCAAACTGCTAATTTTGTGGTATTGGTAGAGCCATGAAAGTGGAAGTGAAATCTTTTTAATTAATTTTCTTTGCAGTTGAAAATGGCCCATGTTTTAGCTGGTAGCAATGTAAGTTTACATATGAGCCAACTAAGCTGGTTCATTATTCTCTTCAGTTGTTTGAAAGTTGGCAGCCATCATCACAACAGCAGCTGGATACAAGATAACCTAGCAGTGTTGGCACATGTTGAGGCATATGGGAATTTATTAAATCATGCAACCTTTGCAAAGAAGAGCGTCTAAATGACTTAATATACTAATTTAAAACAGCTGGCCATGAGCAATCATATGACTTAAATTATTCTATTCAGATTTATTAATCCAATTGAACATTAACTGAGTAATTTGATGTTTTTATCTAAATGGATAAGATGATTTTTTGAAGTATAAAATGGGATTTGTAGGGATAGGGGAAGAAACTATATAGAACAAAGCAAGCGGTGCAATTCTGGTTTTAGAAATAATCTGTGTTTGGCTGGGTGCAGTGGCTGACACCTGTAATCCCAATACTTTGGGAGGCTGAGGTAGGAGGATCACTTGAGCCCAGGAGTTCCAGACCAGCCTGTGAGACCGTATCTCTACAAAAAAATAAAAATAAAAAAACTAGCTGAGCATGCTGATGTACACCTGTAGTCTCAACTACTAGGGAGGCTGAGGCAGGAGGATCACTGGAGCCTGGAAGTTGGAAGTTACAATGAGCTATGATCATGCTGCTGCACTCCAGCCTGCGTGACAGAGCAAGATCCTGTCTTTCAAAAAAAATTTGTCTTTGTATTTTAAAATATGTATCTTATATATTTTACTATCATTCATTGTCACATAACTGATGTTTCTGTTATCTTTTAAACTTATTACTGAGATGTTTTTTAAAGTATAAAACATGAATGATTCTTTTTTCTTTTTTCATGTGTTTTTGAGAGAGTTACTTCCCAATTCAATGATTTTTGTACTGCGTTATGTTGGGGATGATATAATTAGGGTTCCCAGGGCCTTGAGGCATTAGACAATTACTTTAATTGGGCCTCTATCATTTGAGCAGCAGTGAATGTATAGTCACTCCCCAACATAAACCATGCATTAACATATATTCAAAAAATGACAACATGCGCAGTTCTTAAGCATATGTTTTAATGCTAAGTAAAAGAATCTTTAAGTCCTCAAGTTCACACATTAAAATGTGAAAGAAACATGTAAGAATATCCTACGGATAGATATTTAGGAAATGAAACAGTTTATATATTAAAAGACCTAACTCTTTAGACAGAGTATTTTGTTAGAAGTCCAGTAGCTTTTTAGTTTATGTTAACTAGACCTTAAATAGTTAACATCTCTATCTTTCTCACTTGGTAAATACAATTTGAATGAATTAATAAACGGTTTTGTTTTTACCTGCAAGTTGCATGGATCTAACGTTAAGTTGCATCTTACTGTGGCGTCTCCATGTTGATTTTTAATCCCATGATATTGTTCATTTTAGAATTTGCCATTATCATTTCTTAAGGTACTGTGCACTTCAGGGTTAATTTCCCTTGTTGCTTATAGAATATTAACCATTTTAGCACTGTGATATTTATTATTATTCCCGTAAGTTCACTATACCCAGAGATTGCCCAGTGAAATACCACAGCTAATAAGCAATGAGCACTCATGGGTAAAGGGGAATCTTTTGCAGGGCGAGGAGAGAACAAACTAGAGGGGAAGTAGCAGACTTGCAGAGGAAGTTTCATTCTGTGATCTCTCCGCTGTATACTCATTCAATGGAAGGGGCACAAGGGCATAAAGCCAGTATTACTTGGCTTTATGGCAGGATGATGACTGTGAGTGAGTCATTGAGCTAACTTATATCATCCAGCCCATCCTATGACCTACTTTTCCAGTCTATCTGCAAAAAGGATGCTAAATTATTAACATCCTGAGTAATTTTTCTTTCCTATCATTAGTCCTGGTCATTCATGTGTGCTTATTGGAACACAATCTGATAAAGCTATGTTACATTAAATTAGTATTTTATTCTGCCTTATTCATCTAGTTTTAGTCCTAGTGGCTTGGAAACATAAGTAGAATATTTATCAGAAGAAAAGAAAATAAATGCAAAAGAAAAAAAAAGAATGATTCAGCAAGGATTAGATAATTATATTTTCTTCCAGATGCATTCCCAGATGTGTTTCTGTTCACTAAGTAACCACCTCCAAAATACTTTAGGCAAAATGCTTCCCTGAAAAATGTTTTCTGGCTTTATGTCATCATTTCTAGTATCTTTAGCTAAGTTGTTATTTTGGGTAGCACTAAGGTCGTGTTCACTGTTTTTATCTTTTGCCAAATTTCTTTCTGAGGTAGTGAAGTTCTTTTCCCTTCTCTCCATTGCTACTTTTAGAACTTTTCTAATGAATACATATATATCATTGGATCAGTTATTTAGCAGAAAAACATATTTACTTTTTTTTCCTTCTCCAGTGTGTTGTTATATTTAGAAGATTATATGCTAAATAGATTATGACACAATGTGCTAAATACCGTAGGATTCTGGGACTACCCCAAATTCGATTCACTGGTTTGAAGGCAACTGTTACTTTATGTTGACTTGCTTTCCATTTCCTTGTAGTCTGGTCAAGAAAGGAACCTCATTTTTCCTAAACTTCATTCACTTTATATCCTTCCTTTACAATATGATTATGTTATTCCTTTCAGAAATCATCGTCTCTTAATCTCTTGTGCATTTTTCCTGCCTCAGTGGTATATCATAAACATAAAGGTCCAATCACATATACATGAAGTAGTAGAATAATAACGTTTTTCTTTTTTTGACAGAGTGCTTTCATATTCCACAGAGCTTGCATATTAACTCATTATGTTACCAAAACTTAGCAAAGTACATAGGGTTAGTATTTTTAATTTGCATTTTATAAAACAAATGTCAGGGTTCGGAATGGTTAGAAAGAGTTGTTGAGGCCAGGCATGGTGGCTCATGCCTGTAATCCCAGCACTTTCAGAGGCTGAGGCAGACAGATTGCTTGAGTCCAGGAGTTCAAGAACAGCCTGGACAACATAGCAAAACCCCATCTCTACAAAAATTAGCCAGGTGTGGTGGCACTCGCCTGTAGTCGCAGCTACTTGGGAGGCTGAGGTGGGAGGATCCTGGGAGGCACTCGCCTATAGTCCCAAGTAGTCGCAGCTACTTGGGAGGCTGAGGTTGAGCCTGGGAGGCAGAGGCTACCATGAGCCGAGATCACACCACTGCATTCCAGCCTGGGCAACAGAGCAAGACCCTGTCTCAAAAAAAAAAAAAAAAAAAAAAAAAAAGCCCACAATGAATTAATGCATACTGGAACTATATACCCTCAGTTTCTACTGTGGTTCTTTTTACCAGTTCCAATAGCATATATTAATTAAATGATTTCTATTTTTATCGGTTATGTGTCCAGACTAGTAATAAATGCAATGGTAAGTATACCGATAATACTTAACATGATAATCATAATAAAACAATTATCTAATATTTTTGGGTGTTTACTTTCATGCCAAGCACTACTGTTAAAGCATTGTATGTCTTAGATTGTTTAATCCTCAAGGCCCAAAGATGTTAAGTAATTTGCCCAAAGTCATGCAGTTAGTGATAGAACCTTGATAGAATCCAGGCCAGGGGATTACCCAGCCAGTGCTCTTATCCATAGTGTTGTACTGCTGGTCTAATCTAAGGCATTTTCCTCTAGCACTGGAGACAATAAAGTGGATTCAGCAAATATTGAGGAGAAGAAATTTACAATGTACACTTAGAAGAGAAGATGAGGAAGGCATGCATGGGTGTCAAAAGTAGCTCCTTGGTATCTTAAGTAAGGCATAATAATAGAAAATCATATAGTTAACCCAGATAGGGAAATGAGAAGGAGGAGGAGTTTAGGTAGGAAAGATGAGTTTGATGTTAGACATGCTGAATTTGCAGTGACTGCCTGGAAAATCTAGGATAGAGCCCCCCTTAGGCTGTAGAAAATGTGGGTCAGGAGCCAAAAAGAAAGATGAGGGTCTAGAGATAAATGCTTGGGAGTAATCAGCATTTGAGTAGTAGATGAAGTTATAGGTAATGAGATCATCCAGAAGGAAAAATGGAAGGGTAAGAACAGAAGTCTAGGGAACACCAATATTTCAGTAATAATGGGAAAGGAAAAAGGATTCTGTGGCAGGTTAAAAAGGCAGGGTCAGGCCCGTGGAGGTGGAGACCCAGGAGGAAATAATACCACGGAAGCCAAGAGACAATACAGTTGTAGGAAAAGGAAGGGAAGAAGGGCCAAGTGTTATTGAGAGTTGCCTCTTATAAGCAAGCACTGGGCTGGGGGCTCTGGAGAATATGAAAAAACAAAAAATATTGTTAGATTGCTTTCTTTTCCAAATTTCATGAGTATTCAAAAGCTATTGAGTTGTACTAACGTCTAAAGTTAGAAATCTTCATGGTCCTTTTTTGACTGCAGCATCCCCAGTTCCTTGCACAGTGCTTGGTTTGTCCTCCTTGACACCCCCACAACTCTGCACCGTATATATGGCAGGAAGGGACTCAAGAGTAAGAAGCAGGGATAATACGTGTCTGTTGAATGAATGGCACTTAACTCTGGAACTAACAAGAGTAAGGCTTAGAGCAGTATTTCTTGGTCTGTTTTAATTAAAGTTCTCTTTTCGTAGACAAGAAAATCCTCTTCTCTTTGCAGAAAAAGTGATACATTCCTTTTAATAGCACATAATACTTTGCCTTCTTAGAGATTCTGTGGACCCCCGCTGGCTAATAGCTAAGAATAATTATTAGGCAATATTTATTGAGCCTATAATATGTTGAAATCAGTGTAGTTTACATGGTACTAAGTGGTTTACATGAATTAACTCATTTAATTCTCACAATGGCACATATTATATACAAAATCTTATCCCCATTTTAGGGTTAAGAAATTTAGGTACATAGAAGTTAAATAACTTGCCTGAAGTCACAGTGCTAATAATTGCCAGAGTTCAGATTCAAGCTCTAGCTTGTGGATCTCCAAATTTTATTTATTGCTATTATAACTTCCAAGTAGGATAGTTTTTGGAAACAATAGGGATGATAATTTTCCAATTGAAAATTATACTACACTATTGAATAGAAATGTTATATTATACATGCCATCTCCTGGACATTTAATACAACATTCTATAGTCAATATCGCCTCCTTTTTACCTTCACTCTCCATCCAGTCACTGGGTGAGGGGATCAATAAAGAAGCTGTGTTTGTTAAAGCAGAATGACTATGTGCTACAGCAGTCCCACTACTAGCTGTTTATCCAAAGGAAAGGAAATCAGTATCAAAGAGATACCTGTTCCCCCATGTTTATTGCAGATAAACTATGCCCAATAGCCAAGATAAGGAATCAGCCTAAATGTCCATCATCAGATGAATGGTTAAAGATATAGCACACACCAGAATACTATTCAACCATAAAAAGAGTGAAATTTTGTCGTGGCAGCAACATGGATGGAACCAAAGGTCATTATGTTAACTGAAATAAACCAGGCACAGAAAGACAAATACCGCGTGTTCTCACTCATATGCAGGAGCTAAAAAATTGATCTCATGGAGATGGAACATAGAATGATGCTTACCAGAAAGTGGAAAGGGAGGTAGGTGGTGATGAAGAGAGATTGGTTAAGGGGTACAAACATATAGCTAGATAGAAGGAATAAGTTCTAGTGTTTGGTAGCACAGTAGAGTGACTATAATTAACAACAATTTATTGTATATTTCCAAATAGCTAGAAGAGGAGATTTGAAATGTTCCCAACACAGGAAATGATACATTTTGAGTAACAGATATCCTAAATACTCTAATTTGATCATTACGCATTGTGTGCATATATCAAAATACCACATATACCTTCCATAAATATGCATAGTATTACGTATCAATTTTTTACGTAAAATGTTTAGAAAATGAAGCTATGTTTGAATGTGACCATGAGGAGAAAAACTACAAATAAAAGTAATGAGTGTTTTATCTGTAATAACATCTTTAATTATAAAACTGCAGAGTTTCTTAATGAAGTATGTGTACGTGTTTTAAAATGAAATGCTAATGCCAGTGGTTGTTAACATGTTGTGAAGCTATTATCCATTCTAAACTACATTTCAAAAACTTTAAGCCCTCATGTCTTCCTCCTACTTATCTTTCTTTCTTAAAGCCAAGTATATTAAATCTCTAGCTTAAACTCCTGCCCATAAGCACCCTGTATTCCTAACCAGAGATCCATTTCATCACTTGCTGCAGGCACAAGGAGAAAGAGTCAATGATGGGTCACTGTTGCCTCCTTGTACTCCTCCTTATCATCATTCTCACATTCACTGAGCCCTCATTATGTGAATGGGCCACTCTAGGACCTTATATTCCTACTGAAAATCAGGAAGAAATCAAGGGAGCATGTACAGTATGTGTACTTTTGAATGTTCTAGTCGACTTTGCAGTAATATCGAAAAGGTGCCCTAATTAAGTCCTCAGAAAAAATGAGAAAAAGAAGACTGGGTAATATAACCAATAATTTTTTTAAAAGGCTGAATCTCAGATTATTAAGATCTGACCAGGGCTGGGCGCGATGGTTCACGCCTGTAACCCCAGCACTTTGGGAGGCCGAGGCGGGCAGATCATGAGGTCTGGAGATCGAGACCATCCTGGCTAACATGGTGAACCCTGTCTCTACTAAAAATACAAAAAATTAGCTGGGCATGGTGGCGGGCACCTGTAGTTCCAGCTACTTGGGAGGCTGAGGCAGGAGAATGGTGTGAACCCGGGAGGTGGAGCTTGCAGTTAGCCGAGATCGCACCACTGCACTCCAGCCTGGGTGACAGAGTGAGTCTCCATCTCAAAAAAAAAAAAAAAAGCCAGGCACGGTGGCTTACACCTGTAATCCCAGCACTTTGGGAGGCCAAGGCGGGTGGATCACAAGGTCAGGGGATTGAGAGCATCCTGGCTAACATGGTGAAACCCCATCTCTACTAAAAAAAATAGACAAAAAAATTAGCCGGGCGCGGTGGCGGGCACCTGTAGTCCCAGCTACTCGGGAGGCTGATGCAGGAGAATGGTGTGAACCCGGGAGGCAGAGCTGGCAGTGAGCTGAGATCATGCCACTGCACTCCAGCCTGGGTAATAGAGCGAGACTCTGTCTCAAAAAAAAAAGAAAAAGATCTGACCAATTTGAATTCTGGAAATAAGATCAAAATGTCCCTGTGAATTAACATTAATTTCAAAAGAGATTAAATTTTGCATTTATTCTACTAGTATTTATTGGTTATAGACCGTGTGTCTGGCACTTGTTAGGTATAGAATATTAAGAGATTAGTAAAACTTGGTAACTGTCTTTTAGGGACGGATATTCTTAAGTTGTGGTTAATATTAGGTAGATGTTTATAAGCCAGAATGTTTGGTAAGAATGGTAAAACCCCAGTGTTAAATCCAGTATGCAAGGAACATAAATGTTTACTATAGGCTTTTTATGGATGAGAAAGAAATACTGAATTTACAGGTCTTCCATGAAAATCAATCCCCTTTCTTCACACAATTATACTTTATAGGTTTCATTTTATCCGTGATATCATTAAATCTACCAGTATAGGGAAAGGTTTTAACTAGGTTACATACATACATGCACACGTTTGCATGCATATATATTTATGTATATAAAAGTTGTAGTTTGATTCATCTGCAAGTGACAGAAAAAATATGGCATAAAAAAAAAGTTTATTTCTCAGTCATGTAAATGAAGTCCAGAGCCAGATGGTGGAACTCTGTAAGGCTCCAGCATGTCAGAGATGTAGGATTGAACTTTCATCTCATGGTCAAAGATGGCTGCTTAATCTCCAGCCATCACATCTGCATTCCAAACAGTAGGAAGGCAAGGGGCAAACAAGAGTGTGTGTTTCTTCCCTTGTAATACTTCCTGAAAGTCATACCCGTCACTTTTGATTATGTCAAATTGTCAGAACTTAGTCATATGGCCACACTTACCTGCAAGAGAGGCTAAGAAAATTTAGTGTTTAGTTTGAGTTTTTTGTCCCCCTTTAAAGAGTCTCTTGGAAAGAAGGGGAGATGAAATAGTGGGGAGCAATTAGCAGTCTTTGCCACAGTCACCATTTGTCCATTCTTCTTGCTACATACAGAACTTACTCTAAGAGAGAGAGCCCCAGTCCCATCTAGTTACCCTGTCCTCTTATAAGTACATGATCTCTGGGTGATGCTCTGTCCTTTTCAGGAAGTCCAGGTGTGGCTTTCCATGGGCTGATGGATATAAGCTAAAAAGCAACCTAACATTCCCAATATAAAATAGAATGGAAATAAGAGAATATTTAAAGCTCCCATTTGAAAAATGGGAGAATAAGAAACACATGAGTTTTCAATAGGAATTATTAAACCTTGCTTGGTGGAAATCCTGGAGCCTTTCTGCGCAAGCACTGAAGGACGGTCTTTAGTACCCCATCTGATGGCCCCTGGCTTTCCTCTGTGAGGGATACGCCTTAGTCCTTTGTCCTCTGTTGCTCCTGTCTTCTGTGCCCATATTTGAGGTGGCATTAGGGTGAATGCTCTTCTGAGTGGGTTCTAATACTTCCTTCTCGTACCAGCATGAGCCCCGGCAATTGCTTTAGGGGTTGTACAGTAGCGGCTGTGCAGACCATCCTGCATTTTGGCAGTCCAAGTCCCTCACAAACTTAGTAGCCTTTTAGTCTGTTTCTTGTCAGTTCCATTAACAACTATAGGCAAAGGTCTTAACTGGACGTAGTTTTGAACCTAAAGACCCTGTCTTTTATTTACTGGCCTCTGTCCTTCTTCCCTACTCTGAACTTACTGATGACTCCTTTGAGGTCATCTGAAGCACTCTTAATCCCATCTCTGCCAAGAAACTCAGCTCATGTATGATGGGGCACCAACCTTCTGAGGTGGCTATGATACTGTAGCCAATGCTTGTAATTGCTATGCTTGGCTTTTTCAGACCTGCAAACATCAAAATCACAGGACCCTCAGTCAAATTTAATTCTAATTCACAAGGAGAGTGGTTTTCTTAGCAAAGCTGTTTCCTCTCTCTCTCTTTTCTTTCTTTCTTTCTTTTTTCTTTCTCTTCTCTTTTCAAGTATAAGTCCATCTTATTTCTTTTTTTAACTTTTTTACTTTTAAGTACATTTATGTGGGTACATAGTAAATGTATATATTTATGGGTGCATGAGATACTTTAGGCATACACTCCATAATAATCGCAGAGTAAACGAGGTATCTGTCACCTCAAGTAATTTACAATTTCAGCAAAGCTGCTTTCTTACTCAGCTTGCAACCAGCTAGCCCTAGTCTGAGTTCCTTGTTACTAAGAGCAGTAAGAAGGAGCCAGCTATATTCAACATTCTGAATTTTTTGTAATATCTCTATAGCTATAGACTAAGTTAACATTTGTACTGTCTTCCAAGTTCTGCAGGGGACAATGTGACCAGATATTTTGCTAACATAACATTAATTAGTTTTCCAGCCTGCAGTATGAGTCCTTGCTGCCCAAAATGTGACAAACGAGTATCACACTTTTAGATTCTGTCACATATAGTATCCCACTTTGATTGGATTGGTTTGGGCTGTCAATGACCAAAAACATAAAACAGTGTCTCAGACAAGATAGATAGATATCACTTTCTCACATTAAAAAAGAAAAGAAAAGCTTAAGATGCTTAAGATGTAGCAATCTTGTGCTGGTGGACAGTCCACAGCATCAATGACTCAGGATTCTGTCCTGTTGCTCAGCTGTCCTCTGTCTCATGGTCCATGATGACTGCTGAAAATTCAACCTCCACGTCTGCATTCCAGCCAGGAAGAAGGAGAAAGAGTTAAAGAAGTGTGTGCCCCACCCTACCTTGAAGGTTACTGTCTTTGAAATTGTACAGGACACTTCACTTATATCTCACTGATTAGAACATAACTTTCCCTAGCTGCACGGAAAACTAGAAAATAACACATTTCTTCTGGACATCCATGTATCTAGCTCAAAATCCATTTATATGGGAGATGAAAGGAATGGATATAAAGGGGCCACTGAAAATCTCCACCACAATAGGTATGTCTAAAAAGTTCTCGGGCCGGGTGTGGTGGCTCACACCTGTAATCCCAGCACTTTGGGAGGCCAAGGCAGGTGGATCACAAGGTCAGGAGATCAAGACCATCCTGGCCAACATGGTGAACCCTGTCTCTACTAAAAATGCAAACAAACAAAAAAATTAGCTGGGCGTGGCAGTGGGTGCCTGTAGTCCCGGCTACTCAGGAGGCTGAGGCAAGAGAATGGTGTGAACCTGGGAGGCGGAGCTTGCAATGAGCCAAGATCACGCCACTGCACTCCAGCCTGGGTGACAGAGCGAGACTCCGTCTCATAAAAAAAAAAAAAAAAGTTCTCATGTTGTAGGGTAATAACTTCCCCTAAAAACAACTGAATTTTTTTTATCATATCTCTAAGTATCTAATTATGTTCTCTTGAGCATCAATACCGAATTTTGCACCTGGCTCAATATTTGGTTTTTGTTCTCATATGGTGACAAAGTTTTCATTTTTAAAAAATGCATATCTCCTATTTTAATCTCACAAATTAAACAATATTTTGAAGATTATCAGCTGTCTGTGTTGAGTGACTATCAGAAAATTTCATTTGATGCAAGACTTAAAGAAATTTAACTGCTAGAGGTTTTTTTCTAATATCAAACAGGAATTGGTGTTATTTCAGTTTTTTCACATTCTAGATTTCCTTATTGTAGTATGTATGCAGCAATTGCCTCAGCCTCATGGTGAGTCCCTTTTGCGATTCTATACCATCTAGGGCATATCTTTCTCCCACTGCTTCTATTAACAATCCCAGGTGTCTAGTACAGGTGTCCAGTACATTGGAGTTAGCCTGCTGCCGGAATTACTGAATAATTTCTTGTCAGAACAAAAGAGATGGAGAGGAGAAACTCAAATTTTTCTATTTTCTTTGTTTTCAACCCAGTGTTTCCTCTAATTTGTATGAGGTTACTTACGTGATCTGCTTTAGTCAATTTTGATCAATGAAATCAGTGTTTTTTTGTTAGAAGCCTTTAAAGAAGTAAACAGATTTCTTTTTCCTCAATTATTATTTAAAGCAAAATGCTTTTAGTCTGACCATGTAAATAAGACCAAGCATCGACTTTTTTATAGAAAATACTATTATAATTCAACTGTCCAACAGTGATTCTTTTTCCTGTACTTTCTCCTAATTTACTGTTATTCAATCTTTTAATTGTACATTGGGAAAATACATTATTCTTTTTGAGTTTTTTTCTTGAAAAAAATTATTTCGTTGTCCAGTTTGTTTTGACTCTTATCAACAATTCTGCTAATTGGGTTTCTTTCTTTTTCCCCTTTTAAATAATTTGTACTTTCAAGAATCGTGATAGCCGGGTGCGGTGGCTCACACCTGTAATCCCAGCACTTTGGGATGCTGAGGCAGGTGGATCACTTGAGGTCAGGAGTTCGAGACCAGCCTGGCCAACGTGACAAAACCACATCTCTACTAAAAATACAAAAATTAGCCAGGCGTGATGGTGCGCACCTGTAATCCCATGGCGCGCGCCTATAATCCCAGCTACTCAGGAGGCTGAGGCATGAGAATCACTTGGACCCAGGAGCTGGAGGCTGCAGTGAGCTGAGATTGTGCCACTGAACTTCAGCCTGGGTGACAGAGCGAGACTCTGACTCAAAAAAAAAAAAAAAAGAAAGAATCATGATACAATTCAGTTTTTGGAGAGTGTTTTTCTACTTATGAAATAATCAGGTTCCATCTTAACTTTTATGGTGTAATCCCCCACATTAATATGTTCACTGCCTTCAAATAATTCTATAATTACTAATATTTATTGAACACTTAGAATGTATGAGTCATATATATGTGTATATATATGTGTATATATATATATATAGACCTCATTTAATTATTACAACAATTCTGTGAAACAGAATCCTAATGAACCCCCTTGATGTCTACCTTTTATACGTGAGGAAAGTGAAGCACAGAGAGCTTGAAGTTAGGTAGAAGAATTGGAACCCAGGTTTCCTAGTTCCAGAGCTGGTGCTTTTTACCTACTGTACTTCACTCTTCCTCACTGCCCACCCCTCTGAAGAGTGACCTACCTCCCCACACCACTTGCTGTCTCCACCTTCCCTACCTTTCATCAACTCCTTGATCCTCTGTAATCTGGTTTCTGCTTACTCTGTTTTATTGTATCTGCTCTTGTTAAATTTCTAATTGTGGACTCTGGCAGGCAGTCTTTCATCCATATTTTTTCACTTTCTTATGTTGGCCACCCCCTCCTCCTTAAATCAATTCATTTCAGTCAATCAATTCTGTCCCCACGCCTTCCATTCATCCATCCATCCATCCATCCATCCATCCATCCATCCATCCATCCATCCATCCATCCATCTTACTTCAGTGTTCCTCAGGCACACATCCAAACAACCACATCAGAAACTTTTTTTGGACTTCCTCCTTACCTTCTCCCACCCAATCTACTCTGGCACCAGGTCCCCTCAGTGTGTCTTCTAAATGACTCATGTCTAACTTCTTCATGCCCACCATCACTGCCTCTTTAAGTAAGTATAGGTGGGACATTCTCTTGAATTGTGTTGTCTCCCAAATCTCTTTCATAACTCTAGCCTCACTCCTTCCAATCCACCCTTCACTTTATTGCCAGAAATTTTCTTTCTAAAATAAAAACGTTGTATTTCTTTGATCAAAATTGTTTCTTAGCTCCCCATTGCCTACAGTATAAGGAACAGTAACAACAACAGTTATACCATTACCACTCACTGATTTCTTCTACATGCCAGGAATTATGCAAAGTATTTTACATAGACAATCTCCTTATAGATTATCTCTCCATTATGGCACATACCACATTGCTCTATTTGATTGCATGCATATGTCCTCTCCTACAGACTCCCCCATATAACATAAGGAGTATTTTTGTGTGTATGTTTTCAGTGCCTGGAACAAACCCATTAAATCTTTGTTGAATGAAGGGTTTCTTTTGTTGGTGTTATAAGCAACTAATTTATGTTTGTATGATGTGGAGACTTCAGAATCTTGTAGTAGAAGCAAATAGAACCCCTCAGGAAGGTACAGCAAAGGCTGTGCTGGCTTGGGCAGAATACTAGTTCTGGGTCAAGGGAAGCAAACATCCTGTTACCCAGAACAGCCGCCTCTTCTAAGTCTTTACAACCACATCATCACCTAATTGTAGCAGTATTTGGGGAATGGGTGAAGAAGATGACTATCTCTAGGGTTTGGTTCAGTACATACAGCCTGCTACTGGAAGTTTCACACCTATGTGCACCATATAGTTTAAGGCAAAATAACCGTATTCTGTAGTAAATAGACTCAAAATACGTATTGCCTTCCTAGCTCTGGATTGTCTAATTCTTTACGGCTGACTCCGTACACTAAATGGCAGTGATTTCATTGTTATTATTATTATAAAATGGCTTGTTCTTCCAAGCTATTATATATTTCTTAAATGATTAACCTTTACACAGCCTTGGTATCCCATGTTTAGCAATAAAAATTGTTCTTAATTTTCTTTCTTGGGTTTAATTTAATTTCTTATACATTAAAATATATAAAATTTAATTTAATTCCTCCATTTCTGAGATGTTTTAAAGGGTGTTAGCTGAGGTTACCAACACTTTTAGGTCATGTTACCAATAGGAATTTGACATTTATATGAATAAAAATAATATTGTGTTACAAAAACTAATATAGAATTGCAAGGGCTATCAACCTCTATGCTTGAGGCCATAAATTGATTGCCAGCAGGGGTCAATCAGGAGGCTCTGCATTCTCTGTACAGTCTCCCTGGGGTAAACCATTGCAGTATTTGGTGTACCAGCAGAAAGGGCAGTGTGAATTTACACCTTCCTCAAAACAAATTGCTGAAATATTCACCTCTTACCAGAGGTGTGGACTCATAGCACTTCTTATTTAATGCCTAACAATAGGGTCCAAGGTTATTTTTCCAGAAATAATATCAAGCCACGGAAAATAAATGTAATAATTTTGTCAAATGTATGCAGTCAGGCTTTGTTTGGTCCACTCTGGTATACTTATAGAGAGGGTCTTATTTCTGGTTTTTGTGCAGGAGCTCCTGTGAAAATGAACTAATTAGGTGCTAATTTACCTAAAACGGAGTGCTAATACCGAAGTTGATTTTTAAAGTACAAATGTGGATATGTTGCTATTTTCACTGATGTCTATTTATTTCATGTCACCTTATTGGAAAGTATTCTTATTAAAATGAAATTCCTTTAAGTTTGGAATAAGCTTCTGCCTGAGTAATGGAAATTATAATGAGATATAAAATTGAAGCATTGCCTACCCTGTTGCAAATATTATGACATTGGGTACTGTTGATAAAATTAACTATTTTAGATCAGAATAAACCTTTATTGGCCTAAAATTGAATAACACAAGTTTTTATGTTATTATTTGTTTTCTGTTATTACGTTTATGATTTTTTTGTTGTAGTGTTTTTCTGTGTGAAGGTAGCTTGTGACTCTTTTTGTTCTCCACTTCCTCACAGGCTATTTAAATGAAGTTGTATCCTATAAAGTAGGAGTTTTTTTCTCGTGGTAAAAGGGAAGATATACATGGCCCACCTTGTTTTACCTCCTTTGCTTTGTCGTCTGTCATACTTCTCATTTGTTATTTATTTAATTATTTAGAGACAGAGTCTCGCTCTGTCACCCAGGCTGGAATGTCATGGTGAGATACGTCTCCCTGCAACCTCCACCTGCCACGTTCAAGCAATTCTCCTGCCCCAGCCTCCCAAATATCTGGGATTATAGGCACCCGCCACCATGCCTGGCTAATTTTTATATTTTTAGTAGAGATGAGGTTTCACCACATTGGCCAGGCTGGTTTCAAACTCCTGACCTCAAGTAATCTGCCCACCTTGGCCTCCCAAAGTGCTGGGATTATAGGCGTGAGCCACCAGGGCTGGCACCTCCTCATTTGCTGTTAGGTGGTGCTGGTTTTTTTGTTTTTTAAGCTAGCTGATTTAGTCTGTCCTCACCTTGAGTTACTCCTTTTCTGTCTTTCTTGCTGTCTTATTTTTTAAGAGAAATCATTTCTACAGTTGCCCATTTGTTACGACACTGCAAATGTATCACTTTTTTTTCTAATTAAGATCCTGTATGGCATTCTTTCTACTGCTGTGTCAGGTGCTGTGTATAGAATTAGACTTCCTAGAGGAATTTTGTCTTGCATTAAAAAATAGACTTGAGGCTATATAACACAAATATTAGTGGTGTCGTCTGTGATTAGATATATGAAATTTACATAATACCTTTGTCAGAAGCCTGAGGGGTTCATGCACTTGTAGCAGCAGCCTGTGGTTCTGCTGTTGTGAATGATGACTGTCTTGTATGGTGTGCATCACCGTGATTTCCGAAATTTTTTTCTTAATTAATTGGATATATATATAGGAATCATCATACAGCAATAGACAAAATAGAACCATTGAAATTCATGCTTCAAAATGTTTCATATGCTCACAAGCCACTAGGAGATGCTAAATAACACTATGGCTATTTAGTTTACTTTTTTCAACTAGCATTGAGGAAAGAACCCTAGAAGTTGCTTCCAGCTTAATTTTTACCTTTTTTTTTTATACAGTGGCCACTGTCTCTTTTGTGTCTTTGTTATCCAATAAGTATTTTATGTCCAAAGTAAAAATGCTTTTCTAACACCAGTGTTCTAAATGATACTGTTTAAAAGTCCTAGAAGCTGTGGTGCTAACCCTATTAGAAACAAATTTTTCTGTCTCCCCTTTTTCTTTCACTCTTTCCTCCAAAAAAAGTAAAAATTAAGGGATAAGATAGTTTTTGCCAATTTAATTAACATGATTATGAGCATGTGGAATTAGACTGCAACTTAGAAGTCATAGTCTGGCTTCCTTCATTTTCATTTGCTTGGAGAAGTTATTTTTTTCTCCCTTTCACATGTATTTAATGGCGGGGGCAGTGTCTGGTTTTCCGTGGCACCACCTGGCTGCCATAAAAGGCTTGTTCACTCACAATGTTAGACAGAAATATATGTTGGTTATATTAGAAATAGTCCCATATCTTCAACTACTTTTAGCTGTTTTTGACAGAAAGGAACTCTGTTAGAGTTCACAGGTTCACAGGTACTATTACGTACTTCTGTCTTTTTTATTTTATTTATTTATTTATTTATTTTGAGATAGAGTTTCACTCTTATTGTCCAGGCTGGAGTGCAATGGCACTATCTTGGCTCACCACAACCTCTGCCTCCCAGGTTCAAGCGATTCTCCTGCCTCAGCCTCCTGAGTAGCTGGGATTACGGGCATGCACCACCACGCCCAGCTGATTTTGTATTTTTAGTAGAGACGGGGTTTCTCCATGTTGGTCAGGCTGGTCTCAGACTCCCTACCTCAGGTGATCTGCCTGCCTTGGCCTCCCAAAGTGCTGGAATTACAGGCGTGAGCCACCGTGCCTGGCCTTTTTTCCTTTTTTTTTTTTTTTTTTAAGAGATAGGGTCTCATTATGTTTCCTAGGCTTATCTTGAACTCCTGGGCTCAAGCGATCCTTTTGTCTCAGCCTCCCAAGTAGCTGGCATTACAGATGTGTGTGTGTGTGCCACGGTACCTGACACAGGTACTATTATGTAAGTAAGAATGAAGAGCCAGAGAAAGAATGCTAAAGCAAGTATCTTATGAACCCAGCCACTTAGTTACAGAGATACTGAAGTGAGGTACTGTCAGGATTTTCTTCCAAGCAAGAACTGTATGGGAGTAATCAAAATCACAATACTGATGATAGAAAATTTAATGTAGTCCAGTAATTGAGAGCACAGGCATAGGGCCAGTTAAACTGATATACAGATTAGATAGATAGACTAAATCCTATCTTTGTGGTATGTGGACCAAATTACTTAACTTCTCTTACCTTGATTTGCTTTTCTGTAAAAATGAGGATAATTACATCCTTTCTTTAAGGTTTTTTTTGAGAATTGAGATAATATGTGTTAAGATGGGCTTAATACAGTCCCTGGTAGGCACTCCTTAAATGATTGCTGCTACTTTTTTATGTATTCAAAGCAATATTAATAACAAAACAACCACAATACAGAACACAATCAATAAATGATACCTAAAAAATAAAGACAAGAATTTGTTGCAGATTAAGTGAAAGACAGCCCATTTAATCTAAAATGCACACAAAAATATGAAGGAAAAAAAACATTGAAAATATTTTATTTTCTTTCTACAGCTTTTTTAATAAAATGCCCCTAAGTTGAACGTACAGTTCAGTGGGCAGAACTCACCCAAAAGATTGAGAAAGCAGAGGGTAAATATGTAATAGTTACATATTAATTGATATCAACTAATGTCTCTAAGAACGATGCCATCCTTTGGGGTTGTCAAAGTTGAAATTAAAGATACATTTTTTCAAAACCAGAGTTTTCGTCACCATTTGTACACCTTTCTTTATTTACCTCACCTAAGGTAGCACCCCACACACTAATTCAACCCCCATAGTGCCATCCGTCCGGACATTTCAGTTGCTTCTCTAATAAATGTCTACTTTCCTGGGACACCTTATGGTCCTTGTTGCTGGTGGTTAGTTTTGTATGAAGTCATTGTCTTTGAAGTGTTGTTGGTTGATAATGCGTGGGAACTTATCTTTCTTAAATATAATTTACCTTTGGCTGGGGTATTTAATGTCTTAAAGCAAAAGAAGAAACAACAGAATAGGTCAGGAACTCTGAAGGGCCAATGTTTGAGATCTTGTTTTGGAAGGAATTTCAGCAACGGTAGCTGGGCAGAAGGCTGACCCACCAACATATTTTAGCAAAGCTACAAGGATTTGGAATGATAGTGGCCCCCAGCATGGCCTCCTACTTTGCAGGTCCCGAGGTATGAAATTAAGTTACATTTAAAAATCAGAATTAGTTCTCTAATCTTCAGATAGTGTTAAACCTTAACTCATTCCACTGTTTGGTTATAAATAAATAAACATAACATTTGTCCCAAGTTGTTCTACAGGTTCACGCCTAGCCATAGAGTTAACTTTGAGCATTATTTGCAGTGCAGGGGGTAAATTATCTTCAAAACGCTCATGGATTGGCTGCTGCCCAGAGTCCTGAGAGATGTAATCAGTTTCAGTTAATTCTAAACAATAGATTGTGGCAGGAACTCAGCTAAGTGGCGGGTTGACTGCACCCAAACTGTTGATTTAAGTTGTCAAGAGAGCTTGACTCATGCTTAGACTTGACAACAGTTTGGGTCAGCTGGCTTAGCTGTAAACCATTACCAGTAAACTCTGCTCCTTTTGTGTGTGAGGAGGGAAGGGGGATGGCCCTTCTGGTCACGGTCTCCCTCCCTGAGCTCACTGCAGACTCCACGGCCTGGCTGGGAGGCTCTTTGTGACTTTTACTGTGCTCAGACTTCAGTCTCTTCATCCCTGTCATGCGCATCAGTGGGTTTCTAGCCACAGGCCTGAGGAACTGCCAATATAGTATGTGCTTTGTGTACTTTCTATTCATTTCTAACTTTTGTTGGTGATGTTTAACAGGAAGTGCGTTACTATTCACTGTACCGTAATCCATATCTGTACAGCACTTAATGCTGTTCACAGAGAACTCATATTGTCCAATATATTTTAGGCTAGGGCAGGGCAGGAATTACATTGCATCAGCATTAATCATCCTTGTTACCTTTTGATGAGATCATTCAGGTTAAATACTGGTTGGAAGAGTGATCTAAAGTTGAAGGCATGAGGATAAATGTAGGAAAAACATTAGCAGTTTGCTTAATGTAAGTTTTTTTTTTAAGTTTGAAGATAAATGTTTCTCAATTGATAATTTTTTTTTTTTACCATTAGCCTTTGAACATTAGTAGTAACAATTTATTTTTATTTAAAGTTTGTCCACACATGCAAATGGAAACATGTTACCCCTTGGATACTAGCTTAAATTTATTTACTCCGAGGTGATTTAAAGTCCACATATAGGTATGCTTGTTTCAGCAGGTCAGATTTAAGGATACCTTAATTTAGTGATGAGGTACTCTGAAGGTCTGAACTTGAGAAGGTGATCCAAGGTGACTATAACCTTACACTTCCTGTTAGTACCTGGCTCAGAGTCTCAGGAGACTTTGAGGGCAGTGTTTTGATATGAATTGCCTTTGTGTTCTTTCTGTAAATTAGTTTTTGGTATGGAAAGCCAGAAAGCTCAAGTCCTTTAAGTACATAAGTCAAGCGGCTTTTTTTTTCCATACCCCTGTCAAACATTGTACACTTATCGCTTTCCTTTTATAATTTTGAAAGTCTCCAAATCATTAAATGATATGCTTCTCAGTTGTGGATGGTTCCATTTTCTAATGACTATTTTGTCTTCTAGAGAATGTCTGCTAAAATTCTTCCTGATTTTTATTTTACTTTCCAATGTGGTTTTCATTTATCTTAGAACAGTGTGCAAACTTTCACTGAGAATAGAAACAATAAACAGAATGGCACAATATATTTTTATTTACTATAGATCATATCCATTTAGCTTTTTCATGGCCCTTTCATCATTTTCTATTGTGCCATTCACTTTAGTGGGTACGTTAGTTACTCACATGGTGTGACCTGGGAAAGGAACATTACAGTTGTTTTTCTTTGGTTTACATAATGTCATCAAATGAGGGGAAACTGTCCTTGGCTGAAGAAAGTTTCATGAATTTTAATGTGTACCATTTCCTTTGTTATTAATTTGTAAATAAATATATGATAGAGAGTAAAATAATGAAAGATTTTGGCAATTATATTTTAGCCAAGAAAATAATGAGAAATACCTATTTTCTTGCATCTCACATTAACATCTGTTAGGTTACACTTACTATTATGAGATGAGGGTTCACTTTAGAGATGAGTCAATAGTATAAATATTAGAAGCAATTTTCTAGGACAAAGTATAGAATGGTTTTATAGGTGACATGTGCCTGTGCAATGTTGACCTATTAATAGAATTTATTTATTTATACCCATGCACAGGAATGGAAGCATTTCACAGACAGACATGTAAGAGGTTAAGATTTTTAAAAATGCAGCTGAAGAGGCCAGGCATGGTGGCTCACACCTGTAATCCCAGCACTTTGGGAGGCTGAGGCGAGCAGATTGCTTGAGCCCAGGAACTCAAGACCAGCCTGGGCAATGTAGTGAAACCCCATCTCTTAAAAAAAAAAGAAATTGGTTGAAGAAATCAAGAGAAAGGGCACAATTAATGTAGGAAAAATGAGATGATTACAATGATAAGATTACCATCAAAAATACATGTCCTCCAGCCTCATACACTTATTAGACTTCATATTTCATCACAGATTTTTAGAAGCCAATGCAAAAAAGAAAATATTATCAGTAACATGCTTTACACAGTCTATAAGATAGAGGTGTCAGAGACGGGGAACACAGCTGTTCCTGCTTTGAGACTGGAATGGAAAATCTGCCAGTGGCCTGTCTTGTGATACTTCATGTCCTCATCTCTGGGCACATGGGAACTGCTTTCCTTTCTTCCTCACTGTAAGTGAGAGTGCCAGATCACAGTTCAAAAAAAGTCCAAGTACAAAGTCTTTTCCCAGCATGGCTTAATTCAACAACAAATTTAGACCAGCTAGAGGAATTAACTGATGGACCCCACATCTTTCAGCCAGTTATCTGCTGTTTCTCATGGCTATGTTTTTGATAAAATATTGGGTAGCAGAAAACTTGATATTGTATTATCTGAACAGTACTTAGACTAAAAATGTATTTTGTTGCCCAATAAGGACAGATCCACAGGCTTTAAAAATCCACTTGTCTGATATAACTGTAATTATTTCTTACGAAGTTGATGTGAAAGAAATCATTTTAAATTTTGCTCTGGTTAAGTGCAGATTGTACAATCAGTCACCTCTTCTCCATCCTTTCTCCTCCCCAAAATTCTCTTTATTTTTTGGACTATAAAAATGGGCTAAGATAATCTTTCATCAGTGTCATTCATAGTCAAACACACTGTTTTTCTTATTAAACATACCCCTCTCTATATGCTTTGCTGTATGTTTCAGTTAGTTTTTCTTAAACACTGACATGTCTGCTCTAGTTTTGTTGTTTTGGTTTGGTTTGGTTTAGTTTATTTGTATTATATACTTAATCAAATTTTAAAGAAATGCAAAAGTGGATGAATATTCCTATTTTTCTTCTTTTAGAACTTTCAGGCTGTCCCACCTGACTTCTCTTTCTGTTTGGAGGCATGTAGATTTGGGGTTGTTTGTTTGGGGGTAGGAATGTAATAAGTAGTGAAATGAAGGGGAACAAAAAGAATTTTAACTATTATTTTCTCCAGGCCCTGGAAACTGAAGTTCTTAGGGCACTTGAGTATTTAGGTGCTCTAATTATTCTCTTTGAAATAAATAGTAGGGTGGTTTTATAAACCTCTGCTACTATTTCTAGCTGTAAAGAAGTTTATCAAGAGAAAGAAAGCTTCATTCCAAACTTCTCTGACAGCTTGCTAATTCATCTGCTTGCTTCTTGTTGGTTTATATTATCGACATGGTACAACCTTATAGGAAAAAAAGAATACAATGCATGTTAAATTTTAACTACTTAAATTGTTCTCTAAATTCACAACTGAACACCTCTTAATTTGTATTCCATTTCTCCCATCATTGTTTTGAATGAACATTTCTATGATTCAGTCTGGTCCATATAATTTATCATTTTTTAGAGGTTACATAACATTTTATTGACATTCTTTTTTTTGCTTACTCATTTCTCGTTGTTAAACATTTGGATTGTTTTCAGTTTCTAACTATCATGCAAGGAGTGTGGTTATTAGTTCTTTTTCCTTTATTTGAGGTGGAGATCATAGAAGCAAGTTAAAATTAAATAAATATATGTAATATTGTTGCTGCTAATATATTAACATTAGATAATACAAACCTGGTAGAGTCTGGTTGTATTTTTCTGTTCTGTATGTTCACTGTAAGATATTTTGTATATCTTTATATATTCAAAATATTCTGTAATTTTACTCATTTTGTGGAATTCTTCTGAAACAGGCTGTGAAAACATTTGATTTGGAGTCAAGAAATAAGTTTCTTGTTGCTGTCAATTGGGAAAACGGATTTTATCTCTTTAGCTTCACTTTGAGTCTCATCTTTTGAATGAGAAGACTAGATTAAAGAAACTCTGAGGTTCACCTTTGCTCTAAAATTTCATCATTTTAGTAACTTGCTACATAGTTTTACAATTTTAAATAATTATACAGGTTTATTATTGCATTTTTGCTTTTATGATGTTTTCGTGGCTTTATCTGTAATTTAATACTGAGTCACATTCAGGAGGGCAATAATCAGTGTTTTTATTATTATGAAAAAAGGCAGACTTTTATGATACATTTTCCAGGAATTCATTGTAGAGTGTAATGGAGACTGCTTGTGTATGAAACCAGACACAACTGCAGTCTTAACTATGATGTTATCAGAGAAAATTGTTTCCCTTCCAGACACTTCAGGTTGTTTGGTTGTCTTTATCTGTTATTGGACATGACTTTATGAATTATTTTGTCTATTTACCATAATGACTAACTGCCAAGGGTGCTCAGAAACCTCTCAATGAGCCTCAAACTTCCTTGTATTCTCTCTTCTTCTTCCTCCTTGTCATAAATTCTCATCACTTGACCTCTTCTTATTCTCTAATCTTCTGGCTTCTACCTGCCCTGGACCTCATGGTCCTCCCTTCTAGGGATGCCTTTCATAATAGCTTTGGCATTCCTTTACTTCTAAACACACTCATCTCCCAGCCATAACCCTACCACCAGCACCAACAGCCACCCCCGCCCTACCTCCAGATTGCTAAAAATCCTGGCTGAAGGGGTTGTAGTGTTTAATCTCCACAGAGCCCTCTTTGCTGTTCATCAGTCTATTTTCCTTTTCAGTACATTCTTCCATATTCATATTAGCCATATCAAATCTTCTTCGTCTACTTCAAGTATAATACTCCAACTTTACCTAACTTATTCTCAGGAACAGGATTGGACCTCACAAGTACCACCTCAGCTCTCCTCCTTATCAGCCCCAAAATGCAGTTATATACTGGCCATTGTCTTCATTCTTCCTGCCTAAGAAGTTGTTTCTCCTGTCTTCAGTGGATTGAAGTAGATTCTAATGGACAGTGCTATGGTTTAAATGTTCCCTTCAAAATTCATGTTGAAATTTAATTGCCATTTTGATGACATGAAGAGAGAGATTTAAGTGATCACCTCTTAAAGCCCTCGTGAATGGATTAATGCTGTTATCACCAGAATGGGTTAGTTATCATGGGAGCTCAGCTCCCTTTTCCTGTCTCAAGTGCTCACTTGTCCTTCTGCCCTCCACCACAGGATGATACAGTATGAAAGCCCTCACAGATGTGAACGCCATGTTTTGGACTTCCCAGTCACCAGAACTAAGAGCCAAATAAACTTCTGTTGTTTATAAATTCCCCAGTCTATGGTAATCTGTTACAGCAGCAGGAAACAGGCTAATATAAGTGGGGAGGTAAGACCAATGAGAGTAACAGATCTGGAGAACTGAGTGTAGATCATGTTCTGGAAAACAGAATCATTTGGGATAAGAGCCTGTGCAGAGTCAGCCAAAAGCTTTGGCCCAGAAATCTGAGGTGGAGCTCACTTGGCCCGTGGTGCTAAGGAGAACCAGAGAGGAAGACATAAGGGTGGACTAAACACAGGAACTGAGGAGGAGTCAGAGAATCCAAGAACAAGGCAGGTGGGCCTAGGTACTAGAGAATCTGAAGAAACCTGGTGTATTAGGGTCATCTGGGCTGAATGGAGTCACAGTGATGAATGGAAGCCCAGGGAGTCTGTCAATACTTTGTCTGGAATGTTGAAAGAAATTCCTAATTGGCTACTTTTTTCTAACTCTGGCTCACCTCCTGCATTTTCAACAATAGTAATAGTTAACATTTAAGGGTTTTCTCTGTGCCAAGCAGTATCTTAGAACCATATAGACATTATCTCATTTGATCTTGACAACATTCAGCTAGTGTATTTATTAGTCTGCTCACGCTACCATAACAAAATGCCATAGTCTGAGTGGCTTAAACAATAGAAATATATTTTCTCACCATTTTAGAGGCTGCAAGTCCCAGATCAGGTGCCAGCAGATTCTGTTTCTGGTCAGGTCTCTGTTCCTGGTTTGCAGATGGCTGCCTTCTTCCTGTGTCCTCCACTGGGCCTTTCCTCTGTGTGTGACATGGGGAGAGAGAGCTCTGGTGTCTCTTCCTTTCCCTATAAGGACACCAATTCTATCAGCTCAGGGCTCCACCCTTAAGACCTCATTTAACCTTAGTTACCTAAAGGTGCTATCTCCAAATACAGTCACACTGGGGTATTAGGGCTTCAACATGTAAATCTTAGGGGGACACAATCCATTCATAACAGCTAGTTAGGTATTATCCTTAATTTGTAGATTAAAAAATAGAGACTTAAAGTGGCTCAAAGGCACATAACTAGTTACCAAATGCTGCTCGACCTTATAACCTGAATGTTCAATTGGTACTTCAAATTCAGATTGTCTAAGATGGAAATCATATTCCCTTCTCCAAGCAAACATCACATCTTTGAGACCTTTTTGTTTCTCTTCATTGTACTTATGCTTTCAAAGTCACCAGGCATTAAAATTTGAAGATACTGTGCTTCGGGCTATTTTCCTTCTTTCTCCTTACATCAAACATCTAACTAGATGTCATTAACCTCTCTTTTCTTTTCTTTCTTTCATTTTTGGCAGAGTCTCACTCTGTTTCCCAGGCTGGAATGCAGTGGCACAATTATGGCTCACTGTAACCTTGACATCCCCAACCTCAGGTTATCCCCTCACCTCAGCCTCCTGAGTAGCTGGGACTACAGACAGGTGCCACCACATCTGGCTAATTTTTTATTTTATTTTATTTTTTATAGAGACAGGGTTTCTCCATGTTGCCTAGCCTGGTCTCAAACTCCTCCTGGGCTCAAGTGATCTTTCCACCTTGGCCTCCCAAAGTGCTGGGATTACAGGCATGAGCCACCATACTGGCCAGCTCCTTCTTTTTGTAATGTTGATCAATCCCAGAATGAAGGAGAGAAAAGGGAAACAAGATGAAAATAAAAGTAGAGAGAGAGACTTGGGAGTCAGAGTAATAAAGGTGGTCTTGGCAAATGGGATCTAATTAAACTAAAGAACTTCTGCACAGCAAAAGAAACTATCATCAGAGTGAATAGGCAACCTGCAGAATGGGAGAAAATTTTTGCAATCTACTTATCTGGCAAAGGTGTAATATCTGAAATCTACAAGGAATTTAAACAAATTTACAAGAAAAAAACAAACCCATCAGAAAGTGGGCGAAGGATATGAGCAGACACTTCTCAAAAGAGGACATTTATACGGCCAGCAAACACATGAAAAAAAGCTCAACATCACTGATCGTTAGAGAAATGCAAATCAAAACCACAGTGACATAGCATCTCACATCAGTCAAAAATGGCAGTTATTAAAAAGTCAAGAAACAATAGATGCTGGCGATGCTGTGGAGGAATAGGAATGCTTTTACACTGTTGGTGGGTATAGAAGTTAGTTCAACCATTGTGGAAGACAATGTGACGATTCCTTAAGGATCTAGAATCTTGGATCTTTGACCCAGCAATCTCATTACTGGGTATATACCCAAAGGAATATAAATCATTCTACTGTAAGACAAATGGCCACATATACTTATTGCAGCACTATTTACAATAGCAAAGACATGGAACCAACCCAAATGCCCATCAATGATAGACTGGACAAATAAAGAAATGTGGTACATATACACCATGGAATACTGTGCAGCCATAAAAAGGAATGAGATCATGTTCTTTGCAGCGACATAGATGAGATTGGAAGCCATCATCCTCAGCAAACTAACACAGGAACAGAAAACCAAACACCACATGTTCTCGTAAGTGGAAGTTGAACAATAAGTTGAACACATGGACACAGGGAGGGAAACAACACTCACCAGGGCCACTGGTAGTGGAGGTAGTGAGCGGAGGGAGAGCATTAGGACAAATAGCTAATGCATTCGGGACTTAAAACCTAGATGACGGGTTGATAGGTGCAGCAGACCACCATGGCACACGTATACCTATGTAACAAACCTACACGTTCTGCACTTGTATCTCAGAACTTAAAATTTAAAAAAAATTAAAAAGAGAGATGTTCATGGAAAAGCACTGTTTGCTCAGAGATTTTCTCCAAAACCTCTGTTTTAGGGTTTGCCTTTTATGAGAAGTAGTGTATGATATGTGGGTTTATTTCCCTAACTTCAAGGTTTTGTGATGGTATCGTCATCAATTTTCCATCAAATCTCTTCTTTCGATGCTTTCTTGGACTCACCTGCTTCTATGTCATGATGAATTTTATTTGTATTTCTTTATTTTGCAGAAGGGAATGCATGCATATGAGGAGGAATGTTCAAAAAGTTTAAAGGGATACATTGAAAAGTCAGTCTCTTATGCCAGCTGCTCTTTCTGGGGGATTTTAAGAAGGGGCAGGAGTTGATTGATTCACTCTTCTGGCCCATTCTCTCTTCATTGAAGCTGACAGGGGTGCTGGTGCATGTCTCTTTCCCTCATTTCAAACTCTGTATTTGTTTTCTAATGCCATGTAACAAAAGTGCCACCAATGTAGCAGCTTAAAGTAACACAAATATATTATCTCATGGTTTCTGTGGACAGAAGTTTGGCACTGCATGGGTCAAACTTCTCAGAGTCTCACTGGGCTGAAGTCAAGGTATTGGTCGGGGCTGTGCTCTCATCTTGGGCTCAGGGTCCTCTCCCAAGCTCACTGGTTGTTGAGAAAGATCATTTCCTTGCAGTGTTTGATTGAAGTTCCTATATTCCTGCTAGCTGCTGGCTGGGACCATTCTCAGCTCCTAGCAGCCCATTCCCATGTGACCCCCACAGATCGTTTACAACATGGGTGTCTGCTTTCTTCGAAGCCCACCAGAGCATGTCTCTCTGACTTTGCCTTCTGCTTGCAACGGGGAAAAACACTCTGCTTTTATTAAAGGGTTCACCTGATTAGGTCAGGCCCATCAGGAAAAATCTCCTTATCTTAATGTCCACTAATTTGGGACCTTAAGTACATCTGTAAGATCCCTTCACAGCAACACCTACATTCGGGTTTGGTTGAATAACTGAGGCAAGATGTCTGCCTACCAGGGGCTGGGAGTTCGGGGACCATCTTAGAATTCTGCCTACCACACACTGGTTTATGGTTTATCTTGAGCTCTGAGGGCCAGGCCTGGCTTGGATAAAGTGGAAAACAACATCTTGGAAGGTAGAAGTCGGGATTGGGAGTGAGTAGAACTCGATGGAGTTGATTGTTTCCATGATGTAACTGGCTTGTAAGTCTGCCCCATGCTTTAGAGGTACCCTTTACTTCGTGTGCTTTTAGCCCCATAACAAACCCAGTCTTTTTCAGTGCGTTATTTGCATGACTTTTGGACTTCATTTGGAAAATGCTTCAATACCCCAAAGTTTCTTGAAGGTGTGGAGTCATCTAACCCTTTATTCCCCCATTACCTATCCTTTGTCTTTGTTTGCTGAGGACCATCCTGGTTTATGCCTGTTTTCCTGGTGTATTTATTAATAGTACCTCACTTTCATTCAACAGTGTCTGCATTTGGAGGATAAGTGATATAGACACAGTATCCATGCCATTTCGACTCCTGCACGTCCTATCTTTCTCAGCCCCCTTCCCACCATCTTAATGCTATCTATATACTGACAACCAACCCATGGATCTTTGGCTCACTCCAACCAGATTCCTGACTCACCCCCTCCTGGCCCATTTTGTGCCTAAGTAGTAAGTGTGGCTATTTTAGTTTCTCTATATGTTGGGATTGGGGTGTCTGCGAGCTTTGTATTTGTATTGAATGTTGAAGAGAGCTAAAGGCAAGAAGACTTTTTTTGTAGAGATGGGGTTTCACCATGTTGCCCAGGCTGGTCTCAAACTCCTGGGCTTGAGAGATTACAAAGTGCTGGGATTACAGACATGACTCACTGCACCTGGCTATTTCCCCTTTATTTCTTTACTCCAGAAATGTTCAAAACAGCGGAACTCTGTCTATTTTTATTTAAAGTTACTTAATTATTCTCCCTTCCCTAATCTCCCAAATAGAGCTGATTATAATACCTATTCTTACCAGTTTGTTATAAAAATTAAGTAACTTTTTATATAAAGTAATGTGCTACATAACAATATTTCAGTCAATGACAGACTGTGTATATGTTGGTGGTCCCATAAGATTATAATACTGTATTTTTACCATACCTTTTCTGTGTTTAGATGTGTGTAGATACACAGATACTTACCATTGCATTTCAGTTGCCTGCAGTGTTCAGTATAGTAACATGCTGCACCTGTTTGTAGCCTAGGAACCATAGCCTGTACCATATAGCCTAGGCGTGTGGTAGGTTTATGTATGTACACTCTGTGATGTTCGCACAACAGCAAAATCACCTAATGACACCTGTCTCAGAAACGTAGCCCCATTTAAGTGATGCATGACTGTATTTCAAATAGATAAATAATTCCTGGCCCATAGTAGTCAATTTAAAAATGTTTGTAAATATTTGTTGTTGAAGAGTATCACTTTAGAGTTATGATGTACTTTTGACATTTGGCTAGATAGGAGAGAAAGGTGCAGTCCAAGTGAGGTGAGGGGATCCCCAACATCTACTGTAGAGACCAACAAAGCACGTTCGTTTGCCAGTTGGTAAACTGGTTTGGTTTTAGAAGAAAGTACAGTTGGGAAGTTGTGAAAGAACAGCCTGGATAATTAGGATGAATTCAGATTTTTGAGGGACTTAGAAGTTATGCCTGTTTGTTTGTACTTGGGGTAGCAAATAAATAAGCTGTTGCAATATTTTCCCAATAGGATAAGGTGATGAGAACAATGTAATAGTGACCATTGATGAGATCAGCACTGGCAATGGAAATAAAGAGGAAGGGCAAGCATAGGAGACTTGCTGAGATATTTCTTTTTTAACTAGTGCTTGACTAGTGATAAAGGATGGAACAGATGAGTTAATGTTGACTGAAAGTTTTTTTAACCTGAGTGGCCAGAAAACCGTTGATATCATAGAAGAAAAGATACACAAAACCTTAGAAGGGAGAGAGTAGGGTTGGGTGGACATGGAGGATAGGCTTTAAGGGGACCTGGAGAGGAGGATGGGAAGGTTAAGAGAATCTAAGGAGGGAAACATATGGAATAGTTTCCAAATCAGTATAAAACCCAAGCTACGGGAAAAGTGTTGCAAGAGAAGGCCTTGGCATACTGTCATGTTCTTGGAATGCCTTCCCTGCCCGCCTAGCTGGCTACAATCACTGCTGTATCTGTCCCAGTACTCGCTTCACTATAGACGATGTGCTTTGTGAAAGTAGTAGCCATAGCCCTGGAAGCTGGCATGGCACAGGGACACAGTATATATTTCTCAAATGAACAGTTAAGAAAAGGATGGTTAACAGTGGCCAATACAGTAAATAGGTTAAGTTGAATTAGGATAGAAAATAACATTAGTGGATTTGCCAGTGATGAAATCATAATTTCATCAGCATGCTGGGGCAGGAGCCAGGTTACAGAGGGTTTACCAGGAAGCTAATAGTGAGGAAGCAGCAGCAGCAGCAGCAGCAGCAGCTGTGTTCTGCTCTTCCAAAAGTCTGCAAAGGAAAATATCTGGAACCAGCTAGGGAAAGAGGATGGTGGAGTTAAGCAAGATAAGTTGGGTTGATTTGTTCCTTAATAAAGGTGAGCCTGAATTACAAGGGAAGAGTGTGACAATGCTATAGAAAGAAGCAGGGACAAAAACAAAGCCCGTCAGGAGTTCTAGAAGAATGGGATCTAGCTATAAAGAAAACAGCAAGATTCCAGTTCCTCAGAATCTGGAAGGAAGATACAGAAGATGAAGACAAAACTCTGCTGTTGCCAGATGGTCTCCATCTTCTCAGTTAAGGAGCAGTGTTATCGTCTGTATCCACTTGTTGGATCTGTAACTTTTATGAGTTCCATCTTTACCTTTGTGCCATCTTTGTCTTATCACTGGAGAATCCAGCAACCTTTAACGATTTTTAATAAAAAAATTTATGAAATAAAAATTAATGTTTGGAATTACACCTGTTTTGTTTCACATAAGTGGCCAATTAAAGCAGCTCATAGATCAGCTGGACTGATAGGTTTTTATTTTACCAGAAATGAGTACAGTTTTCTAAAGCACACATGTAGCTTGATAATAAGAGTGATCTGTACCTAATAAAGCTAGCCAAAGCACTAAGGAAAACATTTTTTCTGTTAAATCAGGCCAACACAAACTGCCTACAAGTTTAACACATCAAAGACTTGTTCGTGTGAATATAGGGTTAGTTTAGTACCGCTGTTTGTTCATCCAAGCAAAAAATGGATAATCTAGTCTCAGCAAATTATTTTTGTTGCTGTTACATTTTTTAAAAATCTTGCTTTGACTTGATAAATACAAAGAAATCAAATATGAACAATTCACATTTGACATTTTCCCTTTCTAAATAAAAGGCACAAGGTGTAAAAATTCATTTTAGGAATCTTACTTGTGAATTGTAAACTCAATTACTTTTGAAATCTTTTAATCTATAAAGTTTACACTGTGGTAGATTGTCTACATATCTCATGTGAAGAGATAATTTTTTTCCTGGGGTCCATTTAATGAAATAGAGCAAAACGGAGACACCATATTAAGAACTCTTGCTATGGAAATATTTATTAATTTTTGTGCATGTTGATATTTGTGCTTGAGGTTCAATATAGATTTTATTTTAGCATATTCTTCTCTATCAACAGCAATCTTAGCCAATCACAGGAATGTATAATCAAATATTGCTTTAAGAGTAAATTCCTCAGTAAATAAGATTCTGAAACCAATGACTGGAGACTGGGCCTGTTTAAAACCCCCTCAAATTCTCTTTATAGGATTATTCAGAATAAAGCACAGGAAATCTCTGAGACAAGACACATCTAGTCTCCTACCCTGCTGGGGATCTCCTACACACTTTTTACTGTTTAAAATATTATTTAGTACCCATAGATTTTGTTTCAAGTGTAGCTCACTCATATTTGAGACAAAAATTTTCCTTGTACATGTATTTTAAACTATTCAGGATCATTAGAAAACATCTAAGGGTCAGCAAGCTTGTGTGTGTATATGTGTGTTTATCAAGAAAGAAACAGATTTCTACAGATTTTTTATTGAAGAACTGTAAAATGTATTAATACAGTACAATTTTAAAAATATAGATCTGTTACTAAGAAGAATGAAATGATTTTATTTGGGATAACAGTTCACTTATTGAAGTTCAAAGTTTAGTGTGCCCTGTCATCAAAATCAGTTGTCTATATTGATTTGTCAGTGCTGATGGGTAATGAGATTTTGCATATTTCATCCTTGAAAATGTATTTTCACACAGATTCTTGCTGCCAAACACTGATACCAATTCATGATATCAGCATAACATGGTTTTAACTGAGCATTTAGCACTTGGAAGGCATTTGCAGAATTCTATTAGATTCTACTTCCTCTATTTGTCTTTTATCAGATCAATCACTTGCAATTGACGGTTAGATGGAAGCGCCACTCAATTGCACAGTTAAATGGATTTTTAAATATTAACATTTCCTTTGCGCTTGCATCAAGATCTGAAAAATGCTGTTGGATATGTGGTTTGATCTCAGAAAATATATCTGCTCCAAATTTGTTTTGGAGTGGAGAGCATGCTTAATGCTTTAACTTTGACAGCATGGTAACTGCATAAAGCAGCTTGACATTACTTGGGATTTAAACATTAGTTGTTGTTAAAAATGATTTTATTGCAGTATTCATTTTACATAAAAGCAAATTTTTTTCATGTAACTTCAGGTTGAACACATTAAGAAACATTAAGTCCATAACAGAAGCTAGTTTAAAAGTGTTTGATAGTAGTGGTTGAAGGCAGGTCTTCCTACTGAGGAAAAATTTCAGTCTCAGCCATGAGCCCAATAAATCACAGTAAAACCTTACCACTACTAAACCATCAAAGTATGGTGTGGCAGAGCAAGTCAAGGTGTTAAGCTTCTGTTTCTGACAAAAATTTGTAGAAGCGATGGAAGTTAAGTCTTTGAGAATGAAACCAACTGTTGATACTACTGGCTCAAGGACGTATGAGATTCAGATATTTTCCAAAGTGTCTACCGATGAATAACACCATCAGCTTACATTTTCACAAGCTTTTGTAAATTAATTTACTTAAGTCTTTTTGTGTTTCACACGTTTTTAGCCACCATCAGTTGTAACATATAGCAGATTCCACTTCAGGTTGTGATGAATTAGCATTTTCTCAACCTCTTTGAAAATATTCTTGCCTATAGTTAATCTGTGCAAACTATTCATGAAGGCTAATTTTCATTCACTTTAATTTTGGTATTCACCTCACTAATAAACAACAACTTAGCAGCGTTGGTGACATCTGTCAATTCATCAAAGCCAAGGAAAAATACAAAATCATTTGCTTTGTTTTCTGGCTGACTGTTGGTGTTGGTCCTGATGTCTTCAACTAAGTAAGTATAGAACATTGAGAAGGGAAAGGTAGCGAGAGGAGATTAGACAAGAGGATTCGGATTATCATGGGCCTTATTTGCTCATCATTGATAAAGTTTGGAGATGTATCTTCTAGAACATTGATTTTTTTGGACTTTTTTTGTTTGTTTGCTTGTTCTCATTCATGATGTTTTAATGGGGGGAAAAATCTAAAACGGAAACCCAATATGTGACAGTTAATCTAACACTGTTTTGATGGAAAAGTCAGGAAGTAGAAGGCCTAGAACCCCACAAGCTCCTTCCCTTTCCCACAGAAGTTTGAAAACAATTGTTTTTAGCACAGAGTGAAAAATAGCAGTTTTACAGCAGGGGAATATGTGATAAGATGTGCTTGGAGCAGAATGCCTTTGCATTACAGGAGAAAGGGGCAGGATGCTTGTTTGATCACCAGTTATGTATTAAACACTGAACTATTTTAAAGCACCATTTTATTTAATCTTCATGGGAACATAATATGTATTATCACCATTTTATAAAATGAAGAAAGTACAATTCAAATACATAGTTATGGGTTGGTTTATTTCTTAAGTTCTATCAGTTACAGGATCTCAAGTCTCTGGAACAGTGCTGCCCAATAGAGCTTTCTGCAGTGATGGAAATATTCTATATCTGTGCTGTGGAACATGGTGGTGCCTAGCCATATGTGGTGTCAAATACCTGAAATGTGGCTAGTGCAATTGAGGAACTGAATCTTTAATTTTATTTGCTTTCAGTTCATTTTAATTTAACTAGCCATGTGTAGCTACCCCCTACTGTATTGGATAGTTCAGCTCTAGATTACAGTCATTCAAACTGATTCATTCTCCAGTGATTCTGCCTTACTTTGCCACTAAAGATTATGCGATTTACATTTACTTAATTTTGTTAAATGTGTCACATAAATATTTAATTTCACCTATTACAGATAAAAGTTGACAATCAGATCTCAATAAATATTATTTATGGAATTTGGGTTTTCTTTCTTAGAAAGGGAGCTAGGTAACTCTTTCATTGACTCATTGATGTGTATTAAGTGCCTACTTTGTGTCAGGCACCTGAGCTCTGGACCCTGGGAATATTGTAACATGAAAGACAAGCATGATTACTGTCCACAAGGAATTTAATTGGCCTAGTGGAGAAGATTTAGAAATAACAAGCAGTTATAATGGAACATTAAAAAATACAAGGGAGTTTGGCAGCTTGGAAAGACCACTGAAGATACTCTAACTTGAAGGAAGCTTTCCCAGAGGAAAAGTTCTTTAAGTAGAGGCCTGAACAGAGGAGAGTTTAGCTCTGTCAAATAGATTTAGAGGAGCAGTAAGAAAAATATTCTGTGTGTGGAGGCCAGTAGGCTAGAAGGCATGGGGATTTAGGAAGGGAATTGAAGCTCAATGGTGCTGAACTGCAATGTGTGGGATATGGAGCCCCTGTGATAGATTCTGTAGGGGTCAGACTTCTGAGCACACAGCAGGGCTGGGGGCAGAAGGGAACAGAATAATCAGCACACACTATAAACCTAGAAGATATTTAGCATTTTAACAGAAAGCAAAAATTTTTTACAAAGGTATTCAGAGATCTCTTTTTTGTACCAATCTGAAATTACTTTTAAAATGGTCATTCCTTTTTTCTTAAACTGCTCTAACTTATCATAGCAAGCTTGTCCAGCCCACAGCCCAGGACAGCTTTGAATGCAGCCCAAAACAAATTTGTAAACTTTCTTAAAATATTATGAGTTTTTTTGTGATTTTTTTTGGGGCTCATCAGCTATCATTAGTTAATGTATTTTATGTATGGCCCAAGACAATTCTTCTTCCAGTGTGGCCCAGAGAAGCCAAAATATTGGACACCCCTTCTGTAAAGGTTAATTTGAAAGATGACCAGTGTATAAGGCTTTTTTCAGTTGTCCATTTATTTAATTTTTACTTTTCTCATCTATGAATGGAGAAAATATCATCCAGTATATCTAACGCTGATTTCAGTAATAGCATTACCTACCTAGGTGTGAATATTCAAGAGCCAGTATTATATATTTATTCTCACATTCAGCTTCTTCATTGAGAGCTGAGTCTTCAAAAGCTGCCTGCACATTTATTGTGTAAGTCAGGGGTCCCCAACCCCCAGGACACGGACTGATACCAGTCCATGGCCTGTTAGGATCCGGGCCACTCAGCAGGAGGGGAGCAAGCATTACTGCCCAAGCTCCGCCTTCTCTCAGATCAGCTGTGTTATTACATTCTTACAGGAGCACGAACCCTATTGTGAACTGCGCATGTGAGGGATCTAGGTTGCACGTTCCTTATGAGAATCTAACACCTGATGATCTGAGGCGGAACAATTTCATCCTGAAACCATCTCCCCAAACCCCCAAGTCCATGGAAAAAATGTCTTCCAGGAGACCGATTCCTGGTGCTAAAAAGTTTGGGGACTGCTGGTATAAGTAGTATAAACTTAACACATGATGACATTGATATTAATATTAGGAATTTCACTCAGCAATTAGTTTTCTTGTTTCTGTACTGTTAACCTAATGGAGAATGGGCGAGCCATCATTACCATTACCTTTAACAGCTCAACAGTAAGCTTTATTGATAGTGAGAACCAGGATAAAAATTATCACCTTGTGGAATATGGAGAACATTTACAGGTCAGTACCTTTGCACCTGTATTTTTGTTATGTTTATTTCCTCACTAAACATTGAAGAACTTCAGAGTTCTAAAAGGCTTTGATTAATTTTAACTTTTGGAAGCATTTCTATAAAATATGGAATCAGAACAGTATCATGCCTGTAAGAATCACTCAAATTTTTTTTTAGAGAAATGCAAAGTATGATTGAAACATGGGGGACTGAGCCATATGAACTAATGTCAGTCACTAGACATGCCATATAATTTTTTCTATTTTGTTGTCTACTATTCCATTTTTTCTGTCCATGCATGACAGTTTTAATGTTGTATGTGGAAGAGTTGTGAAAAATTAGTGTAGTTTCAGTGGCTGATTTTGTGCAGTAAACATTAAGTCAGTTCCCATGAACAGCCCCCTGGTGCAACCCTTAATAAATGCAAACTTTATTTTTAGTACTGACCTTTCGTAATGTGAGCCTTGATCCATTGAGATGCTGTTCACTTTTGATGCGTCTCCAAATCCCTTTTTTTATGCATTTTAAATCAACACACGCTTGCTCTGAATTTATGCATGTGGATAGACGGAGATGTAATTTAAACACATCTGTTCAAATATGCATTTCAGATCAACTTGGTGCCGATTCTCATAATACGATGGAGTTTTTGACGAGTATTATATCCCTAAAGTACACAACAGATGGTATTTATTAGAGACTGAATAGAAATGAAGTTTAAGGATGTTGAGCTTTTTGTCTTAAGTCACTCATTTTTTAGTCATAAAAAATAATGGGCTGAAGTCTTGTACCCCTATGATAAAGCTTTGTGTGAGACTATTTTCTTTGAGATGAATGTCTCTCAGTCAAGTTGAGATTAACTATATATTTTTGTTGAGGAGACACCATCACCAGGAAAATGTAGATCAGAAAGGGGTAAATAATAGGTTATTACCAATTAGATACTAGCTACAATTAATACTTAAGTTGTGTAAATTATGGATTTAAATAGATTGAATAGCTTCACTAAAAATTCGTATTTAATTTAGGCACATATCAATGAGTAATTTCAAATTTATTAAAATATTATTATACTTCAGGGTCATTATTTCAGTGCCTAAAACAATATTTTAAAAGTAATCTTCAAAGCGAACTTTTTCTCCCCAAATACTTATACTAAGAATAAATGACATAATATACCTATGATATACTGGCCTAAAATTAGTGTACAGAAATTAATTGCATTGAATAATGCATAGACATGCATTGTTCTTTCCCTAATTCCTCACTTCCCTCTCTTTTTCAAGCATTGTGCCCACATCTGCCTTTTTGCCCACACCTGAAGATGAGAAACTGATAAGACTGCAGTTGCCCATAGATAGATGATAAGCCCTCCGGGAGGGACCAGTAATTGTTGCAGGGTTTTCAGAGCTGTAAGAACTAGTTCTTAACACTTATTTTTCTCTCCAGAGCTTATAACATTGGGAACCAGTTCCAAAGAGCTGGATCAAGGATAAGAAACAAAATCTATATATGCATACCTTTTTCTTGCATTTGGTAGGAAGCTGTGTTCTCACGTCTGCAATCAGATGCAAGTAAACCAGACTGAGATTACTTGCAAGCTATTATTGACTTCTATATACAACACCACAAATAAATCTTTTTCTCATAGATTAGAGAGAGTGCAAAAGGAAACAGGTGATTTGTGAGGTAACCTGCCGTTATGTTAGGCAGTAATAGAAAACATTTTAAAATATTTGAAATAATATAATTGCTTTGCACTGGGAACACGTACATGAATAAAAGATGTTAGCAGGTGTCCTAACTAGTATGGAATCTCATGCTGTTGTATTTATTGGAAATATGCACACCATCAGCAGATGTAAATTTGTAAAAAGTAATCGAAACAGAAGAAGGATTGAATAAAAAAACTCAGGCTTAAATCATGTAATTCCTTTCAACCAAATTTTCAATGTAATAAAATACAGTTTTTGTATCAAATTACCTTTCTATCTTAGATTTTTTTTTTCAATGTTACTCTGAAAATCTTTTTTTTTTTTTTGGTATTCTGGATTATTTTCTTTAAAATGCTTTCTTACACAACATATAATACTTGCCTATCGTATTTGGTACTGGATAATTTGATAAAGGTTTTTGTATAGCATTTAAAATTTTTGATGAATAGGGACTTAATGCTTAGTATATCTTTGGACTGTAATTTATGTGGTTAGTAGCATACAGTCTGGTAAAATCACGTAACATCAAATAAAAGTCCAAAGAAACATTTCCTTCATGTTTCATGTGTATCAGTAAAATTGCTTTTGATAAAATAAGTTACATGGATAACACAGGTTTAGCTATTTACAGAGATTCTGTTTTCAAATCTTTGATGTGGGACTTAATTTTGAGGGACATATTCTAAGGGTAGAGGATATTTGGTATGCATTTTGAATCTGGTAAATAAAAAATAGTCATCTAGAATGCAATTTGTTTCCTGGTGAAAATGATTTTCTTCATTTCTTTTTGTGCTATTTTTATCCCTTTAAATGTTTTAACTACCAGGGAAAATTTCTAGTTGAGGCACTCAAGTCTTAATCCATTTTGAGTCTGCTGCAGCTCCTTCCCAATGTCTCTTACAAATTAAATACATAAATCCCATGTATTGGTCTTCTATCTAATATTTTAACTGTACACCCCCATTTCCCACCCACCCTACTCCACCACCATACCACCATTCACCCCTGTCTCTGCTTCTCTACTAACAAACACTGTTTTAGAACCTCACTGCACATGAAGCACCAGGGAGGTAAAAGCTGGATGTAACGTGGTCCCTGCCCTACCTGCACTTATAGTTCATCCCTTACACAACTAACACCTCTCTCGTGGCACTGGGTACTCTGGTAGATGTCTTGGTTAACAGCCTCTCCTTCCAGTCACGTCCAAGCTTAAAATCCTAGAATCATATTCACTCCCTTTTTACTGTCTCCACTTCCTTCTACCACCACCTGCCTCCACTCAAGTCAGTCACCTAATCAGCCACCATTTCCAATGATTACACCTCTTCTTACACTCCTTCCCCTACCTGCCCCACTGTCACTATCCTATTTGACGCCAGTACTATCTTGTATTCTGTCATGTCTGTTTCATCGATCTCATTCTTAAGGTATTTCCAGAATCATCTTACTGATGTACCGCTTCAAACGTTTTCCTCCCCACAAAAGCCTTTGATAGCTCCTTTTCCCCAAACTTCTATATGCTGGTCCTAACCTCCTTGTTAGCTATATTACGATACTCCCATTCATAGGCCCTGCATCCTATGGTGTTTGTGATTTGTTTCTTTCTACCTGAACGCCTCTGCTCTGGCTTTTCTTTCTGCTGAGAGTGTATAAAAAACAGACATAGAGATAGTAATAGTACCTACTTTATGGGAGTGCTTAGGAGGACCACGTGAGTTCATATATGGAAAGCACTTGAACCTCACACAAAATGCATCATAAATGTTTCTCATAACTCTTAATGTTATTATCACTACCACAACTACCAGTTCTACTGCTACTGCTGGTGTACACCTAACTTAGCAGTAAGTGAGGTTTTTGAGGGAAGGTATAGCATCTTATTGTCTTTAGCACATAGCACAGTTATAGAGCATAGAATGTCTGCCTTCCATGATATTGGTTAAATTATCTGTCAGTTTAATTGATGGTGTTGATTAATTGAATTTTCCTCAGGACCGAAGCCCAAAGTAAGTCTTCTGCCCACATCACATATATGTGTGTGTATGTGTGTGTGTGTTTGTGTGTGTGTGTGTGTGTATAAATGATTCAGTATGAGGGGGATCTACATGAACATTTAAGGTTCTTTCAGACTCCAAAAATCTATGTGATGCTGTTTCTTCATTTCCATTTTACTCTACTTAGAGATATTTTGTATGCAACACTTGTAAGGATACTCCCAAGACTACTCTTCTCTCCTTTTGCAAAAAGCATGCTAGGCTTACTTAAGAAAAAACTCATATCTTCATGCTTTCATCATTTGTCTCTGCACTTTTATGGCTCTGAAAGTTATTCATCATCCCTATTTTAGTGGCATTACATGCCTTTGCATTTTGCTATCTCAGAGTCATTTCCTTGTTACTTTCTGTCGTATTCGGTTTATTTATGTTAACATCTTTTAAAAGTATCGTCATGGAATTAAAAGCAATTCTTATTCAAGGCTACCTGGAGAATGTGACTTTGTCTTTAGGAGAAAATCACTTTGTACAGGAAGCGTATTGTCACAGTGTATACAGCACTGTGTCTTGGACCTTTAGCTGTGATGAGATATAGTCATTAGTTGTGTTTTGCCACCCCAGTTTTCTTCATTTGCTTTTCTGATCAGAAATTGATTTTGTTAAATCTGTTTGCTAAAGGAAATGTTTGCTGTAATTGGAGCTACATACATAGATTGAAGTGGAATATAAATTCTATTGATGTCACACTTTGTTTCAGTTAATTTAAGCACATTCTACATTAGGAGGGCAATCTGTGATCCTGTTATACCATGTTGTACCCAAAAACCTCTGTAGTTGTTCCTTTCATCTTTTCTTTTTCCTCCCTGTGTTATTCTTTGATTTTATCTTCTCTAAGGCCCATAATTCTCTTTACTCCTCGACATCTCCTCATCCCACCCTTCTCTCTTGTATTGAGCCTGGCACAGTTGGTCACATTACTGTTTACCTCCACTGGTGGCTAGAAATCCTGTTTAGCCCTCTATTACACTCTGATTCTGCTTTCTTGCCTCTTACTTGTAAGTATTCAGTTATCATTGATGGGATTGAATCAAATTGTCTTTAACTCAAGCCTTCATTCTAATAGACTTTACCACTCTGATACCTGGCTGGCTGATAGCATCACACACATTTATACACTTGCTTCTTACATTGGTGGTCACAGACAAAACTTTCTCCTTTACCAGGTTCTCTAAGTTCATAGCCCAAAACCCTTTCACAGATGCCAAAATTGTTATTAATAATGACATTATTGTTAATTTTTATAAATGCTAACTTTATGTTGACATAGTATAATCATTAGTATTTATAGTTAATAAATTATTCATGATTCTTCTAAATATTCAGTTGAGCTGGTTTGAAAGGCAGTAGTTTTCAAGTCCTGGTTTCTCTGTGCAAACACTTCACTTTTCTAAACCTCTGTAAGCTAGACATATCCCCCTTCCTTCTCAGAAGGTTGTTTTGATGTCTCCGTGTCTTAATCCGTTTGTGCTGCTGTAACCAAATACCTGAGACTGGGCAATTTATAAACTATAGAAATTTATTTCTCACAGTTCTAGAGGCTGGGAAGTCTATGATCAAGGCACCAGCAGGTTCAGTGTCAGGAGAAGGCTCATTCCTCACAGATGGCACTGCCCGGCTTCTTCAAATGGCAGAAGGGAGGGAGGGACAAGATAGAGTGCTCCCTTCAGCCTTGCCCTTTTATAAGGCTCTGCCTTCATGATGTCATCACTTCCCAAAGACCACACCTCTATTAATACTATAGCATTGCGGATTCAGTTTCAACATAGATTTTGAATGGGACACCATCATTCAAACCATAGCACTTGGCGAAATAGCACAGAAAAAGGACTATAGCATGTGACCTTCTTTGGGTTTTTATGGTCATTAGCTAGATCGGAATGATATAGCAGGCAGGAATACTTTGGTTTGCCAGGAATACTCCTGGCAGTGACTGTTCAGGACTTGGTATCAAGCACCGCTATAGTTATCTAAATAATCCTCAGATTCTTTTGCCAAAAATGATGTAATCAGTGCTACTTTCTAGACCTTGCATAGTTTGGGACATGAGCATGAGGTAAAGTGTTAAAAATTAACAAGATGTGTTTGTTTTCTCCCTGACTCTGAGTCAGGGGCTAGTTGTACCTATTAACATTTCTACTCCCGTGGGCACCTGTCTCCCTTTCCCTTATTTAGAGGCACCACTGAAAATGTGCGTGATGAAATCTGAACTTGCATGAATATCTCCTTGTTGGCTGCTAGCACAGATGTGTTATCTGGTGAGGATTTTTCCTAGATTTCTTTCCCCTGGCTAAAACAGTAAATGCATAAGTAAAGCACTAGGAGTCAGAGATCCTAATCCCAGGCCTTTTCTACTGTAAACTAGCTCTGTGTCCATGGACAAGTGACCTTATCCTCAGTGCCCTTGTTTTTTAATATGAGAGTAGCAATCTAATGATGGAGGGGTGCTGAGAAAATAACTTCATGTGGGTATTTTTATTTAGCAGTTGTGTGGGTCATCCGATGGCGTCTCAAGTCACTATTCAATGACACCTGATAGTCATTGTTTCTGAGAAAGGGGGCCTTTTGGAACAAATGCATCTGGCACTATTTAACATTCACTGCCCTCCATCAGTGGGAGGCAGCTTATTATTTCAGATCACAGACAGGAAGGATTCAGATCCTGACTCTGCTGCTTATTGTTGTGTGACATTGGGCAGCTTACATGACCTTTCTCTGTGTCCACTGCCATGTCTGTAAACTGAGGAAAATATTGCATATCTCACTGATTACTCTGAGGATTAAATGAGTTGATATATGAAAAGAGTGCCTTCCACATTCTTGGTTCAGAGAGGCTGGTGTTAGAAGATGCCACACTATTAACCTGATAGTTAGCTAATTCACATGTGACTAATGTTATTTCCTTCCCTCCGTGACTTTGGGGATGGTTGCAGTGTCTTGATATTCTGTAATATAGCGGCTTTGTTCTTAAGTTTTAAAGTGTTTCTTGGCATAGGGTCAGCTACCACCAGCATTCAAGCCATACCCAGCATTCCAGCACTGCTGCCTGGGTATGTAAGAAGAAGGGGGCAGTGGGTAGTGGGCTCCCTTGGAGCCGCTGTTGTGGCAAGAAAGGACTTTGGTCACTCACAGTCAGGAAGAGTCTAGGAGTGCTTTGCAGGTCAGTGAAGCCTGTCCCAGGCAGTGCTCATGGCTGTGGGGAGCTGTGAAGCAGCCGCAGCTGACAGGCCAGCCAGGCGTGGCGTGAGACACAACGGAGCTGCTCCTTTTGAGGCAGAGATTTTGGCCAAATGTGTATCCAAGAGGCAGTGTCATAAAAAGTGACAGGGCCTTCACATAAAAGCTACAACGTCTAACAAACAGACACATTTCATGTGAGTTTCACAGGGAAAGGGCTCTTGGCCACCTGCCACCTCCCTGCCACAGCAGCCCCCATAGATGCTGACAGTTGAGAACCTTGTCGAGAACATATCATCCAGTTAACAAATGAGTTTAGAATGACGAGACTTACACCCTTCAAAAATAGACGCAAGCAACTGTAACCTAGAATTAGAATGAAATCTCCACTTCATCTCCTCCTCGTAAACCTTGCTTCAACCTTAAAGACTCCATCTTGTACCCCTTTCCCCAAAATTTTAACTGAAAGTTGCAAATAAATTCAAGTTGTTCAAAATAAGCATTGACCAAATGTTCTGATTAATTCTAAAAATAGAATTGAGCTTGAAACAATTCTTAGTTAACTGATTTTTTGTGTTTTTTTTTTTTAAGAGATGGAGTCTCACCATGTTGCCCAGGTTGGCCTTGAACTCCTAGATCCTTCCGTCTCAGCCTCATGAGTAGCTAGGACTACAGGTGTGTGTTACTGAGCCAGGGAAAGAGAAAGTGGAAATTCAAAGGGCTTTGTAGATGACAGCTTCTCTTTGGAGAAAGGCTAGGCAGATGCTGCTGAGAAGCCAGGCGCTGGAGCCAACTTGTACTGCTCACAATGATAGTATCCCCTTTTCCTAAAGAGAAGCCATCATTTACAAAGCCTTGTGAATCTCCACTTATTCCTTTCCCACCAGAGCTAACCTCTAGGACGTAAAGGAAAATATTGAAATTGGTATTAGTCAAAACAGGGATTAATCATTGATCTCTGGGTGAATAAAGCCTATTGCTTTATTAAATTCATGTATTCGTCTTACTGTCTGTTTTTCCAAGTTCTCCCAAGCATTTCACCTTTAAGTCAGTGGGCACTTTTACTGAGCCTCAACTGTCTATGTGGCTGTTGCCTCATTACTACAGAGTGTAGGAATGTGAATATGACCCCATCCTTGTCCACCAGGTGCTTATAGTTTATTAGGAGGCATAAGGCAAGAAAACAGATGTAAAAAATGTCAGGAAGATCATAACAGGGACATCATAGAGGTACAAAGGAGGGACTGTGAATGAATTAAGATGCTGAGAGAAAATCAAGAAAAATTTCATCAGAGAGGTGGCCCAGGGAATATCAGTAGTATGGATAGGGGATTGTACAGTAGGATTGCTCAGAGAGGAAGTATTCTGATTTCAATGAGTAGTTTGGATAGGGGATTGTACAATGGGATTGTTCAGAGAGAAAGTATTCTGATTTGAATCATATCAATCGGAATTGGGTGATAATGGAAAGGTTGATTAGGGCTACATTTTGGAGAGCATTGTATGTACCCACTGGCCCTCAACTCACCCTGGAGTGTTCCTGGGAGTTCTTATCAAAAATTAGAGTCGTGGACCTGGTTGGTTAGAATCTCAGCAGATGATAAATAACTTTGGCTTTGCAGACCATGCAGTTTCTGTTGCAACTGTCACAACTACATTCAACTCTGCTTTTGTAGTGAAAGCAGCCATAAACAGTATGAAATGAATGAGTGTAGCTGTGTTCCAATAAAACTTTATTTACAAAATCAGACAACAGCTGGATTTGGCACATGGGTTGTAGTTTGCCAACCTCTGACCTGATCGGGGTAAACTGAATGCAGGGAAAACTGAATTTAAAACAATAAAACACAATAAGAAAATGTTCTCAACTCATAAGAAATAAAGTAATTATAAATCTGGGTTTTGATTTAAATGATTTTATAATTTCTAGTCCATAAATATAGCTTCCGGTTTCTTTCTCACTTGCTTGCTCTGTGTATGTGTGTGTATATATATATTTTTTTCCAATTTGTATATATCCCTATTCAGTATTATTTATGATGATGCTATACCAATTGCACTTTAGGATGACATAAAACTTGAAATGTAATGTTTCTGAGTGCTATTTTTTGGTAACACTTCCATTAAAAGTAATAATTTGCCTAATTTCTTAATAATGGACTGGATATTAGAGGCAACTGCATTTTGACTGTATAATTTTATAAATTATTCTTCCCGAGACCTGATGTTTAGTTACCTTCCAGTTATGTTTTCCCATTAAAGAATGCCATGATCTGGGTTTCAGTCTCTAAGTGGTTTTTTTTCAAGGTTTAATTTTAAAAGATTTAAGAAACTTGCCTAACTTTGTAGATTTTGCCCTGTCCTGATATTCATTTAATTGGTTCTGCTAATGTGAAAGCCCTTTCAAATATGAAAAAAATAAAGCAAGAGAGAAAAGTTGATTATTTCTGTAATTGGATTTTTTTCTTGAATAAAATGATTTCACCCACTTTATCTTTCTGACTTAGGGGTGGGGGTGGAGGATGAGCTTTCTTTTATATTGTAGTCAGAAGCAGACAGAAAAAGGTATAGTCTGTTCCAAGGTATCAGAATGGCAGATGGGTTTGGGTTGTAATTAATTACTGATGCTGAATATACTCTGGCCCCTACTTTCATTCTCAAACTTAAATTTCCACTGTGTGCAAAATAATTCCATCCAGGAAGAATTCTAATTACTTTAGTAATTATCATCTTATCTCTAAATGGAATTCAGACATTTGCTGTAGTTTATGAATGTTAGAAATGTTTCATTTCCTTTTCACCTTGAATAACAGAAAAATACACATTACTGAATTCAGCTTCATTGAACCTTATAATTCATGTTACCATAGAAACAGAAAAACTCATATAAGAATTGTGTTAGCAGTACCATAGATAGTAAATACCTTCACTTTAACCAGCAATATCATAAAATGATTTTAATAACAGATGTGTAAAAATTCTGTGAAATTTAATATGGTTTCTTTTAAATACTATAACAATATTATCCAGTATGCTTACTTTTAATTTTTAAGGCAATATCTTTGGTCTTATGTAAGGCTTTGTGCTTATTCCAAAATATTTGCTATGGAATGCAAGCATAGTGTTACAGGATAAAAAACTTATTTAACATGGTATTTATTTGATTTTTAGTTAGCAGTGATGATTCATTTGATGTGTGCTTGAAGCCAAATGATATATTCTGGATTTATACCAGGCTTAGAAATGTAATGGATGACACTAAATTCTTTGGTGTCATCTCATCCAGTTGTCTCTCATCCTTTTTTTTTTTTTTTAGCCTATTTGACAGCCACTTTTCCAAGTGTCAGAAACAATTTTTCCATACACTTGATCAGTTTTTACCACAAGTATTTAATAGTTGGAGTTTGTTGCATTTTAAATTCTCAGAATATTCAGAAATTTGCAGAGCTTGAGCAAACCATTTGCCATTTATTCATATATTTCTTCCTTTACTTATGTCATACATTTGCCTAGTTTACTTTAAAAAGGTAAAATTGTACCAAATTTAAACTGAATAACCCATCTAGGTTTTTATTTTTGCTTATTAAAAGTTTTATTACTTTCAAAGAGAAGGAATCATTAAAAAACTAACTGCTACTAAATTTTTTTAGGGAGATACCTTGAAAGGCCATCTTTGATTATAAATATTATGTATAATTAATATGTTAGTTGTATTTTAGCATATAGATTTTGCCTAATATTGATTGTAGGAATTTTTTTTCTTGGTTGCCTTGCAAACCGGGGACCTCTGGCTGGCAACGCCCTGCCTGGGCCCCACTCAGCCACACTAGTGTGCCCCAGCCTGCCTGTGTTATAGCTTGTACCTGTGTTTGGCAGTTCCCGAGCTCTTGTACTGCGCCCAAGAAGGAGGATACACTGGACATTGAAGAGTGAGGAAGGCGGAGAGAAGTTTATTGAGCAGTGAAACAGCTTTCAGTCAAGAGAGGACATGGGGATGGTCCCCTACCCAAAGGCAGAAAGTTCCTTTCTTGTGGCTGGGTCTCGGGCCTTTTATGGACTCAGAATGGGGAGTGCTTGCTGATTGGTTTGTGACTATGCAAAAAAGGTTAAAGCAAAGACACCACTCAAAGGTGGGCATGACAGTGTAGAAAACCAATTAGGAAAGGGTAGGTATATGTAGAATAGATGAAGGGTGGGGATCAATCAGAGGAAAACGTGCCAAACAGGAAGACACATTCTCAGTCCAGTCCAAGGATTTAACTTGTAGCTTGGCTTTCAGGCTTTAAACTGTCTTCCAGCTTGGAGGTGGGGTTTCACTGGGGACCTGCCCCTATCTGCCTGTCACTATCAATATTTGAAAACAATTTCTTCAAACAAGAGGGTTTAAACTTCTCTGTAAAGGCCAGAAATGTTATAAGTCTACTGTGAAAAAGATCACATTTATTCATTTATAGGAATACATGTATTTTTATTATATTCAGTTTCCTGACAAATAGGATCAAGGTTTTTCTGTGCCTTTTTCTTAGTAATTTCTAGTTTATTGCTTTATTCTCACAGAAGGTGACCTGTGTAAATGTGGTCTCATTAAAGTAGCAGAATGTGAACACTGTCTGGATCACTTGAGCTCAGGAATTCAGGACAAGCTTGAGCAATGTCGTGAGATCTCATTGCAACAAAAAATAAACAAAATTAGCCAGATGTGGTGGTGCACACCTGTAATCTCGGCTACTTTGTAGTCCCAGCTACTTGGGAGGCTGAGGCAGGAGGATCATTTGCACCCAAGAGATAGAGGCTGCACTAAGCCAAGATCACACTACTGCACTCCAACCTAGGTGACAGAGTGAGACCATGTCTCAAAAAAATAGTAATAATAAGTTGTGTTTTCCGTGAACTTATGATCAGCCAGTGCTTATGGTACATCAGTGCTGTGAGCACATCAGTGACATAGGTAAGAGATAAGGACTACCCTGGGTAGTGATCAGAAGCTTCAGATCAGATGCTTCCTTTACTATTTATTGATTCTGTGATCATGGGCAATTTACTGTACCTCTTTCCCTAATGGCATTTTCCCCCTTTCTCATGAAAACTGGATTAGAATCTATCTTATGAGAAAGTTATATTAAACAAGATGAAGTTGTTAACATATTGCCTGGCACTTTTATTAGTATTATTATGTAATATTAGTATTACATAATAAATGACAGTTGTTATCATCTCTCTGACAAGGTTACAATAATAAAGCCAATACATATTAAGCACTATATGGGAAGCACCATCCTGAGCAATTAGTACATCTATTACCTCATTAATCTTATCTATGAATACTTTTACTATATCCATTTTATGAAAGAAGAAGTGGAAGCATCTAAGGCTGAATAGTTTGCCCAAGATCATGCAGCTAGTTAGTGGTAGAACATCTTAGTTATGCAAGGAAGTTGTTTCTCCCAGACAGTCATATTAAAAGAATAAGAATGAATGCCCAGGTCACACTAGACTTTCTTTGTCTTAGTCACTCATTATGGCTTTTCAGCCCTCATCTAAATGTTTTAGTGTTTTTTCTGTTTTTAGAGCAGTTAATTTAAGAAATTTTTAATAAAACTATGAGAATAAATTTAGAGATGCTGAAAAAAATCTGAAATTTATTTGAAGATGTTGAATTGTTTCTTACTAAATTTTCTCTTTCAATATAAATAGAATGATTCCCTATTGTTATATGATGTTTTACTTGGGAAATAGATCCATGCTTTCCTTCTTCAAGTCCTTCATGATTTCATGCTCTGAACGTAATTCCTTTATTCCTGGCCTTTTATTTTGCTGTTTGTCCCGATTTGTCTATTTTTTCTTATTAGAGGTGGAGTCTAGCCCTGTCACCCAGGCTGAAGTGCAGTGACACGATCACAGCTCACTGCAGCCTCAAACTTCTGGGCTCAAGTGGTTCTCCCACCTCAGTTTCCTGAATAGCTGAGACTATAGACACACACCACCACACCTGGCTAATTTAAATTTTTTTAATTGGTTGTTTTTTTTTTTTTTTTGTAAAGACAGGGTCTTGCTTTGTTGCTCAGGCTGGCCATGAACTCCTGGCTTCAAGTGATCCTCTTTCCTTGGCCTCCGAAAGTGCTGGGACTACAGGCATGAGCTACCACACCTGGTCCTTTGTCCACATTTAATTCTTTGACTACACCTGTCAAAGTTGAACTGTTAAGACTTCTTGGCCGGGTGCAGTTGGCTCACACCTGTAATCTCAGGACTTTTGGAGGCTGAGGCAGGAGTATCACTTGAGGCTTCAAGTTTGAGACCAGCCTGGGCAACAAAGCAAGACTCCGTCTCTACAGAAAATAAATAAGAGAATATAATTGAGTCTCACATAGTAAGTGCTCAATAAGACTTCTTAGAAGAGTATGTTATGGAAGATTCATGCTATCTGTCTTCAGAAAGGTATTTTTTTTTCATTGTTAAGTCTGTAGGATAATTTAGAGAACACAGAATATTCATTCAATGTAAGTGTTTTGAAGATTTTTAGCAAATTAATGCAGTTGTGCAACTATCATCACAATTCAGTTTTAGAATGCTTTCATTCTGTCAAAAATTTTTCTAATGTCCAATTGGAGCCAATCCCTGCTTCTACTCACAGTTCCAGACAAGACTGATTTGCTTTCTGTCTATTCTAAGTCGTCTTCTAGATATTTCTTATAAATGGAATCACAATAAGCAATCCTTCGTGTCTTTCATTTCCTTAAGAATGTTTTTCAGATTGGTTCATGTTGGTGCATATATCAGTAGTTGGCTCTTTTTTATTTGTAAGTAATTTCCACATATGGATATGCCACATTTTGTTATTCATTCAACAATTGATAGACATTTGGACTGTTACCAGTTTGGGGCAGTTATGAAGATTGCTACTGTGAAAATCCAAGTACAGGTCTTCGTGTGAGCTTACATTTTCGTTTCCCTTGGGTAGACACCTAGAGTAGAATTGCTGGGTCACAGTAAGTGTATGTTTAACTATTTAAGAAACTGTCAGACTGTTTTCCAAAATGACTGCACCATTTAAAATTCCCACCTTCAATGTATAAGTGCGTCAGTTTCTCTATATGCTTACTAATATCTGTTATTTTTTTTTTCAGTCTTTTTGGTACAGCCATTCTACTGGATGTGTGGCATTTTACATGGTTTTAACTTTCATTTTTCTGACTAGTGACAATGTTAAGCAAATTTTAATGTACTTATTAGCTATTCCTATATCTTCTTCAGTGAAGTGTTTGTTAAATCTTTTGCCCATTGCATCATTGTGTTGTCTTCCTGTTAGTGAGTCATAGTTCTCAATATAGTTTGGATACAAGTCTTTTTATTGGATATATGATTTGCAAATATTTTATTCTACTCTATGACTTCTCTTTTCATTTTTTAACGGTATCTTTTGAGTAAGTTTAATTTCTTAGTTTATCAAATTTTACTTTTACGGATTGTGCTTTCGGTGTTGGCACTATCGCTAAGAAATCTTTGCCTAACCTAAGGTCACAAAGATTTCCTCCCATATTTTCTTCTAGATGTTTAATAATTCTGTATCTGACATTCAGACTGTGATGCACATTGAAATATTTTTGTGTATAATGTAAGGTGGAGGGTTTAATAATGTGTGGGGTTTTTTGCATATGGTGTCTGATTGTTACAGTACCATTTATTGAAAACGCTTTGTTTCCTGCCCTCATTGAATTGCCTTGGTAATTTTGTTGAAAACTAATTACCCATATATGATGAATTGGTATATATTTGGACTCTCTATTTTTCCATTGATGTATCCCTACACTGATAACCATACTGCGTTGATTATTGGAGCTTTATAGTTAGTCTTTAAAACAGGTTCATTTATTCCACCAGCTTTTTTTTCTTCAAAATTGTTCTGATTATTTCAAGTCATTTGTATTTCCGCATACATTTTAAGCACAGCTTGTCATTTTCAGCAGAAATACTTGCTGTTATTTTGATAGGAGTTGCATTGACTCTATAAATCAATTTGGAGAGGCTTGCCATCTTAACAATGCTAAATTTTCTAATCCATGAAAATTATATATTCTTCCATTTATTTAGATCTTCTTTAATTTCTCTCATCAAGTTTTAAGATGGTTTCTTTAAATTCTCTCAGTTTATGGCATACAACTTCTACCTTTCTTTCTCAAACGTATTCCCAAGTAGTTTTTATGCTATTGTGAATGGAATTGGATTCTTGATTTCATTTTCAGGTTGTTCATTACTAGTATAAAAAATGTAATTGATTTTTATATATTGATCTTGTATCCTACAGTTTTGCTAAACTCACTTATTCTAGTAGGCTCAGTAGATTCTTTAGATTTTCTACATACAAGGTCATGTCACCTGCCCAAAAAAAAAAAAAATTCTGTCTTTTAAACATATATGCCTTTAATTTCCATTCCTTGCTTTTTTGGACTGACTAGAACCTCCAGTAATATGTTGAATTGAAGAAGTGAGAACAGAAATCTTTGCTTTATTATCAATCCTAATGGAAAAGCATTTTTAAAAATCATGAATGGGTGTTTGATTTGTCAAAAGTTTTCTGAATCTGTTAAGATCACTATGTGGTTTTTATTTTGTCCTTTATTCTTTTTATATGGTACATTACATTAATTGATACTCACATGTCAAATCAACCTCACATTTCTTGGATTTAAAAAGTGGTCATGATATATAATCATTTTTTTTAATTTTGCCAGGTTCAGTTTGCCAATATTTTGTTAAGAATTTTTGTCTCCTTGTTTATGAGAGATATTGGTCTATAGTTTAATTCTAATCTCTTCCTCTGATTTTCTTTAAAAAAAACTTTTTTTGTTTGTTTTTTCTTTTTTTACTTTTTTTTAAGTTCTGAGGTACATGTGCAGGATGTGCAGGTTTATTATGTAGGTAAACGTGTGCTGTGGTGATTTACTGCACCTATCAACCCATCACCTAGGTATTAAGCTCAGCATGCATTAGCTATTTTCCCTGGTACTCTTCCCCACCTCAACAGGCTCCAGTGTGTGTTCCCCTCCCTGTGTCTGTGTGTTCACATTGTTCAGCTCGCACTTATAAGTGAGAACATGTGGTGTTTAGTTTTCTGTTCCTGCATTAGTTTGCTGAGAATAATGGCTTCTGACAATATCCATGTCCCTGCAAAGGACTTGATCTCTTTCCTTTTTATGGCTGTATAGTATTCCATGGTGTATATGTACCACATTTTCTTTATCCAGTCTATCATTGATGGGCATTTGGGTTGATTCCATGTCTTTGCTATGGTGAATAGTGCTGCAATGAACATACGTTTGCATGTATCTTTATAATAGGATCATTTATATTCTTTTGGGTATATACCAAGAAATGGGATTGCTGGGTCAAATGGTATTTCTGGTCCTAGGTCTTTGAGGAATTGCCACACTGTCTTCCACAATGCTTGAACTAATTTACATCCCCACCAACAGTGTAAAAGCATTCGTATTTCTCCACAGCCTCACCAACATCTGTTGTTTCTTGACTTTTTACTAATTGCCATTCTGACTGGTGTGAGATGGTATGTCATTGTGGTTTTGATTTGCATTTCTCTAATGATCCGTGATGTTGAGCTTTTTTTCATGTTTGTTGGCCGAATGGAATGTTTTTCCATTTGTTTGTGTCCTCTCTTATTTCTTTGAACGGTGGTTTGTAGTTCTCCTTGAAGAGGTCCTTCACTTTCCTTGATAGCTGTGTTCCTAGATATTTTGTTCTCTTTGAGGCAATTGTGAATGGGTGTTCATTCATGATTTGGCTCTCTGCTTGTCTATTGTTGGTATATAGGAATGCTTGTGATTTTTGCACCTTGATTTTGTATCCTGAGACTTTGCTGAAATTGTTTATTGAGTTAAGAGGTTTTTGTGCTGAGACGATGGGGTTTTCTAGATATGTGATCATATCATCTGCAAACAGAGACAGTTTGACTTCCTCTCTTCCTATTTAAATACACTTTATTTTCTTCTCTTGCCTGATTTTCCTGGCCAGAACTTCCAATACTATGTTGAACAGGAGTAGCGAGAGAGGGCATCTTTGTCTTGTGCCCGTTTTCAAGGGGAATGCTTCCAGCTTTTCCCATTCAGTATGATATTGGCTGTGGGTTTGTCATAAATGGCTCTTATTATTTTCAGGTCTGTTCCATCAATACCTAGTTAATTGAGAGCTTTTAACATGAAGGGATGTTGAATTTTATCAAAGGCCTTTTCTGCATCTATTGAGAAAATCGTGTGGTTTTTGTCTTTATTTCTGTTTATGTGATGAATCACATTTATTGATTTGAATATGTTGAACCAGCCTTGCGTCCAGGGATAAAACTGACTTGATCATGGTGGGTAAGTTTTTTGATGTGCTGCTGGATTTTGTTTGCCAGTATTTTATTGAGGATTTTTGCATTGATGTTCATCAGGGATAGTGGCCTGAAATTTTCTTTTTTTATTGCATCGTTGCCAGATTTTGGTATCAGGATGATGCTGGCCTCATAAAATGAGTTAGGGAGGAGTCCCTCCTTTCCAGTTGTTTGGAATAGTTTCAGAAGAAATGTACCAGTTCCTCTTTGTACCTCTGGTATAATTCAGCTGTAAATCCATCTGGTCCTGGGCTTTTTTTGGTGGGTAGGCTGTTTACTACTGCCTCAATTTCAGAACTCATTATTGGTCTATTCAGGGATTCAAGTTCTTCCTTGTTCACTCTTGGGAGGGTGTATGTGTCCAGGAATTTATCCATTTCTTCTAGATTTTCTAGTTCATTTGCATAGAGGTGTTTATAGTATTCTCTGATGGTTGGTTGTATTTTTTTGCAGTCAGTGGTGATATCTGCTTTATCATTTTTTATTGTGTCTATTTGATTCTCCTCTCTTTTCTTTATTAGTCCAGCTAGTAGTCTATCTATTTTATTTTTTCAAAAAAAAAAACAGCTCCTGGACTTGTTGATTTTTTTTAAGGGTTTTTTGTGTCTCTTTCTCCTTCAGTTCCACTCTGAGCTTGGTTATTTCTTGTCTTCTGCTAGCTTTGGGGTTTGTTTGCTCTTGGTTCTCTAGTTTTTTTAGTTGTGATGTTAAGATGTTGATTTGAGATCTTTCTAGCTTTTTGATCTGGGCATTTAGTGCTATAAATTTTCCTCTTAACACTGTTAGCTCATAGATTCTGGCATGCTGTCTCTTTATTCTCATTAGTTTCAAAGAACTTTTTAATTTCTACCTTAATTTCATTATTTGCCCAGGAGTCATTCAGGAGCAGGTTGTTCAGTTTCCATGTAGTTGTGTGGCTTTAAGTGAGTTTCTTAATCCTGGGTTCTAATTTGATTGTGCTGTGGTCTAAGAGACTGTTTGTTATGATTTCTGTTCTTTTGCATTTGCTAAGGAATGTTTTACTTCCAATTATGTGATAAATTTTAGAGTAAGTGCCATGTGGCACCAAGAAGAATGTATATTCTCGTGTTTTTGTTTGGAGAGTTCTGTAGATATCCATCAGGTCCAGCTGATCCAGAGCTGAGTTTAAATCCTGAATATCTTTCTTAATTTTCTGTCTCAATGATCTGTCTAATATTGAAAGTGGGGTTTTAAAGTGTCCCGCTATTATTGGGTGGGAGTCTAAGTCTCTTTGTAGGTCTCTAAGAACTTGTTTTATGAATCTGAGTACTCCCCTATTGGGTGCATATATATTTAGGACAGTCAGCTTTTCTTGTTGAATTGATCCCTTTACCATTATGTAATACCCTTCTTTGTCTTTTTTTATCTTTGTTGGTTTAAAATCTGTTTTGTCATAAACTAGGATTGCAGTCCTTGCTTTTTGCTGCTTTCCATTTGCTTTGTAAATTTTCTTCCATCCCTTTATTTTGAGCCTATGTGTGTCTTTGCACATGAGATGGGTCTCTTGAATACAGCACACTGATGGGTCTTGACTCTTTACCCAGCTTGCCATTCTGTGTCACTTAATTGGGGCATTTAGCCCATTTACATTTAAGGCTAATATTGTTATGTTTGAATCTGATCCTGTCATCATGACTCTAACTAGTTATTTTGCAGACTTGTTTATGTAGTTGCTTCATAGTGTCATTGGTTTTTGTACTTCAGTGTGTTTTTCTAGGGGCTGGTAGTGGTTTTCCCTTTCCATATTTAGTGCTTCCTTCAGGAGCTGTTGCAAGGCAGGCCTGGTGGTGACAAATACCCTCACCTGGAGGTGTCACCAGTGGGGGCTGCAGAACAGCAAAGATGGCTGCCTGCTCCTTCATCTTGGACCTCTTTTCCAGAGTGACAGCGACCTAATGCCAGGGGGCATGCTCCTGTATAAGGTGTCTGGTGACTCCTGTTGTGGGGGTCTCACCTAGTCAGGAAGCACAGGATCGGAGACCTGCTTAATGAAGCACTCTGGCTGCCCCTTGGTGGAGCGGGTTTGCTGCACTGAGAGGAATCCCCATCATCTGGAGTGCCCAGCCTCTAAATAGCCAGCAGGCAGGAAAGACTAAGTCTGCTGAACCATGGAGATTGCAGCTGCCCCTCCCCTCAGGGTCTCTGTCCCAGGGAGATCAGAGATTTCTCTGTAAACCACTGGCTGGAGTTGGTGAAATTCCCACAGGGAGGCCCCACTCAGTGAGGAGGAATGGATCAGGGTCCCACCTAAAGAAGCAGTCTGGCCATGATCTGCCACAGCCACTGTGCTGCATTGTGGGGAGTTCCTCCTGGTCCAGACTGCCCAGTCTTCCTAGCACCAGCAGGGGAAAACAGAAGACTGATGCTGCAGTTGCAGTGATGGCAGCCACCCTCACCTCTAGGAACTCGGTCATCTTAGGCAGTCTCCAGCTTGCTGCTGCTGGCTGCAACCTGAGCATCTGCTGAACATCTGCACAGCTCTGTGCTTGAGACCCAAGATCCTGGTGGCATGGGCTCACAGGGGGATCTACTGATCCATGGGTTGCACAGATTCATGGAAAAAGCATGGTTTCCTGGATGGGGTAGCACAATCACTCACCGCCTCCCTTGGCTGTGAGTGAGAGCTCCCCTTGCCCCATGCAGCTCCCAAGTGAGCCATTGCTCCGCCCTGCTTTTCCTCACTCTCAGTGGGTTGCGCCAACCACCTAGTCATTCCCAATTAGAGAACCTGGATACCTCAGCTGAAGGTGCAGGATTCACTCACCCTTTTCATTCTTCACGGTGGGAGCCACTGATGGCAGCTGCTTCTAATTGGCCATCTTGGCCCCTCCCCTGATTTTAAAAATATTTTTAAGTACCTTTTAGGGTACAAGTGGTTTCTGGTTACATGGATGATCTATATAGGGTGAAGTCTGAGATTTTAGTGTACCCTTCACCCAAGTAGTGAACACTGTACCTGATGTGTGGTTTTTTTATCCCTCGCTCCTGTCCCACCCTCCCCCTTCTGAGTCTTCACTGTTCATTATTCTATTCTGTCTGCCTTTGTGTACCCATAGCTTAGCTCCTACTTATTTATAAGTGAGAACATACAGTATTTGCCTTCCTCTGGTTTTTGTAACAGGGTAATGCTGGACTCTTAAAAGAGTTTCTTTCTCATCTATCTTTGAAATAGTTTCCATAGAATTGATTTTATCATTCTTTAAATGTTTGGTAGAATTCACCATGAAACCATATAGTCTTGGGTGGTTTTGTTTTGTGTTGTTTTGTTTGGGTGGCAAGATTTTAAATTACAAGTTTTTGTAATAGATAAAAGAATATTCAGGTTTTTGGTTTCTTCTTGAGTCCATTTTCATAATTTATATCTTTCAAAGAATTTGCCCATTTTATCTAAGTTGGGAGTTTACTGGCATAAGGTTCATAGTATTCTTTGTATCCTTTTACTGTTGGTAGCATCTGTAGTGATGTCCCATCCTTCATGCCTAAAGCTGGTCATCTGTATCTTCTTTTCTTTTCTCAGCCTAACTAGTACATTACTAATTGTATTGACTTTTTTCAAAGATGTACTTTTTACTTTTATTGATTTTTCTCTATTTTCTATTTCATTGATTTCTTATTTTACCTTTATTATTTTCTTTATTTGTCTTTTCATTTGATTTTTTCTCTTTGTTAGCTTCTTGAAGTGGAAGCTTAGATTTTTATATCTAACACAGAAATTAAAATCTATAAATTTTTCTCTAAGCACTGCTTTAGTTGCATATCATATATTTAGATGTGTTATGATTTCATTTTCATTCAGTTCAAGATATTTTTCTCCCCTACCTACCTCATTTTTTCCCCAAAAGTATTGAATATTTGTCCTAGAATAAACCTCCACAGGATAAGAATTATTTATTTTAATCATGTGTTTTGTTTATGTCTATAATTTTGGTAGGTCTAGTCCTTTGCTGATCATTTTTCTCTTTGTCTTTTGAGATGATTAGTATGTGTATTAGTCCTACTTTATTCACATGTAGAATTTGAAGCTCACAATTTATTGATCTAAGGAATGAAGTAGAATTATTATTTTCCATATTTTTGCCAGTGAAACACCAAATGGCAAGTAAAAATCTTGAGATGAATGTTTAAAGTGTGGGGTGTGTATATGTTTGTATTTTTATTCAAGGTGAAATAATTAACTTTTAAAATATTTATGGCTTTCTTAAATTACAGGCTAGAGCCAACAAATAGTTTGCCTGTTCCTTACATGTCCCTGATATATCTTTACAAGTAATCATAGCACTGCTTCTGACAAGGTCAGATGCATAATTCGAACCTTTCTTACTCCATTCCCAAGCTATTTAATAAGCCCATTTTGCCAGTAAATATAGGAGAGAAAAAATAATGGGCCAAAATTTTCCTGTTGTTTAACCTAAATGAATATTTTCATTTTCATCTTCCTTTCAGAATTATTTTCTAATACTAGTATGAAAACATACATAAAGTTCCTAAAATTGAATAACATATTACTTAGTATTTACATACATTACACACAGCTTAAATAAGTTTGTGGAAATGATTATTTTAAAAATTTTAGTATTTTGAAAATTCATGTCATCTCAAAAATAGCTTTTACCCAGAATTAGCATCTTAAATATTTGGATTAATATTCTGTTTTATACCCCTTATAATATTCTCCTAGCCATTTAAATCATATTCTAGTAATTTAGAATTTGTTCCACTTCAAACTTCTTTGATTTTCTCATACTAAAGAGAATTATTTACTAGGCAAATCAACAGTGTAAATGAGATTTCAGTTGGTTCACCTAAAGAGTCAAATTATTTTCAAGAATGTAAGTAGGATCATTTGCGTATATAAAATTAATGTATAGATCCGCCTCATCTCACATTAAAGTGCAGTCTCTACTTAAAAAACATTTTATAAGCAATCAGTTTGTATTCTTATATACTTTGAAACCATTCAACTGCTTTTACTTTTCAATATTGACTAGTATAAGTTGCTATTCACAGTGGCCTGCCTCCTCCCTTGCTATCAGGCAACTTTTTGTTTACCTTGCCAAATATATCCATGCATTGAAAATCCCTTTCCCTAACATTTACTATGACTTCTTTAAAGGTTTCTCTTTTGTCACTATGACCCTTAAGGCCAAAGTAAGCAGGTGTTGCATAACAGTGGGTTCAACCATAATGTATCAAGAAGGATAGAGGGAAAATCAGTAAGGTACTTTCCTGTGGGAATACCCCATAATCTAGTGCCAAATTTATTCTAATTCATAGCTGAGGACAATAACCTTTGTTTTTACAGTATTTCCCATGCAGTTTCTAAGATTTATTTTTAAAAATTTTCTAGGAGAGATGGACTATTCTCTATTATGATCTGCTGTGATCCATAACTTTTATTTTTAGCTGTAGACCTTTTGATAAGAATTATTGAAAAGGCAAGTATAAAACTAGCTAGCTGGAAAGCTATTCTACATGCTTTAGTCTACAAAAATGGTCTTTTTATTTATAGCTTACATGTAAAATCATATGATATTTGTGATTTTTCAAATGTAATTTTGATAATTACCTTTAAAGAAAAAAATATGTTTATATCACAATAAAAAGTTTAAATTTTTCTTCAAATGTACTGTTTTATTCTTCTGTGTGGATATTGTCTCTTTTTCTATTTATCATCATGGAGAAAAGTTCCAGTCCTTGGAATTTATCTTACTAACTAAAGTTCAGCCCAGTAACTAGCTAGGTGAGACCAAGAATAAATTAGGAACAAAATATTTTAAAAAATAGATTTGTCATGCTTCTTTCACACTGGGTGTTAAGTAGTGTGTGAAGAAAATATGGAAAGCTGTTGTTTTATGAAACTATATTAGGAATATAATAATTTGACTGTCCTCATTGGTATGTCCCTTGTTCCCTCTTATGCCCCCAAATATCTCATATATCTTAATTTGATAAACTGTTTTCATTCTTTCATGTAGAACTGTTTTTTGTTTGTTTGTTTGTTTGTTTTTTGAGACGAAGTCTTGTTCTGTCACCCAGACTGGAGTGCAGTGGCGCGATGTCGGCTCACTGCAACCTCCACCTCCCGGGTTCAAGCAATTCTCCTGCCTCAGCCACCCGAAGAGCTGGGATTACAGGCACCTGCCACCACACCCAGCTAATTTTTGTATTTTTAGTAGAGACAGGGTTTCACCATGTTGGCCAGGCTGGTCTCGAACTCCTGACCTCAGGTGATCCACCCACCTTGGCCTCCCAGAGTGCTGGGATTACAGGCATGATCCACTACATCTGGCCAGAACTGTTTAAATGATAGGAAAGTTGATATTCTATGTTTTGACATTGGAGCCATTTTCCCTATTGTTTATGGACTCAGAGTAATACTGGATTTTTAAATAAGTTAATGTAATTCTGTTATTGTTATACTATTAAAATAGAACAACGTCTGTGCCATATTTATGGAGGCACTAAATGGCCACAAGGAAATGACTTCCAAGATGCCAACATTTGGGCCTATCAAAAACAAAGGCAGCTTGCTACCTTATCGCTGAATGATAAAAAGATTTTAATGCTTTGCTCTTAAATGTAAAAGAACAGCAAGAATTGTTCTTTAGTGGTGGAAAGTCTCAACCGTGAATGAGAGTAATCAACAGACAAATTGCAGTGAACAGAAGAAAAATTACAAAAACCTTTAATTGACATCCTCAGATAAATAAGAAAAGATATTGTGTCCCTAAACAAGATACTGTGAAAAGGAAAATTGAGAAAGAGCTCTGAGAAATGTAAATAGTAATATTGAATTAATTTTTTTTGCAATAAAATAGTTGGAAGGTATGCTGAAGTAAAATTTCCAGAAAATAAAAGGGCAGAGATGAAAGAGAGAAAAAGCTAAGAGATCAACCCAGTGGTTTCAACATTCAAAAGAAAGGAGTCCCTGAGAGAAAAATTATTAAAGAAATAATATCAGAAAACTTCCTCAACCTAAAGCCCATGAGTCTCCAGACTGTACCTTGTACAAAGATTTAAAGACCCAATCCAAGGCATATTATCACATTGAGCATAAAGTTAATATCTTAAAAGCTTCTAAAAAGAGAATGGTGTGGGCACATTTAAAGAAGTGCGCATCCAAGTTAATCCAGACATCCCATTAGCAATTTTTTCAGCTTAAAAAAAGAGGAACAATGCAAAATTTGTATGGATAATACTTTTTGACTTGGAGTGCTACACACAACCAAATGTCGGTCAGTTGCGTGGCCTAAGACCACGCATGCAGAGACAACAACAAAATTTCCCTGGTATCTTTCTGATGAAGCTTCTGAAAGAAAGCACACCCCTACAGAATGAGGGAGCTAATCAAGAATTAAGAAGACTTAGGATCCGGGAAAAAAAGATTATTGAAAAAAGGATACCAAGAAGCAACATTCAAAGATGATAACCAGTTCACTATAAAAGCAACACACACCTGAAAGGAGTGGCATTTCCAGAAAAAGAAAAGGGGACTGGTACATTATACAATATGTCAAAGGTTTAGAAAACAGTATTGATTTTTGATAGCCCTAATGGAGTCTGGAAAACATCAACATAGGTATATAGAACATTAAGCTAATTTTTTTAAAAAGAGAAGCAATTATTAACTCTAGGAAAAATTACACATTGTGGAAAAACAAAACTGAATAGTATATCAATTGGCTCTACAGTGAAAGTTATCTTTGCAATTGTACCAATGGAAGTACTGTGTTAACTAGGAGTTGTTCATTGATTTCTTTGGGAGGGTAAGGATAGAGTAGTTCAAGAGTTAAAGCCTCATTTACCATAATAGAGAAGTTAGTAACTTATTGCCTAAAAATTAGTAAATCTAGAAATGGCAGAATTAGCATCTATTTTTAAATATAGAGGAAAGAACAAAGAACCATTTAAAAGAATTTAAGATGGGTTTCCCTGGAAATGGCAGGCAGCCAACTGTTTTTCATTTTAAACTTTTGGTATTTAGGACTCTTTGAAACTATTTGCACGTGTGCTTTTTATAAAAATAAATTTTAATTACCATAAAATTGTATTTAAAATGTCAGGGAAATAGAATAATTATGGCTTATAGTCAAGTTTTTACATTTTTGTCTTGTTATTTTCTAGAGTTCCTGGAATAACTATTGCTACAGATATTATCTGTGGTTTTCCTGGAGAAACAGATCAGGATTTTCAAGAAACAGTGAAACTTGTTGAAGAGTACAAATTCCCAAGCCTGTTTATTAACCAATTTTACCCAAGACCAGGAACTCCTGCTGCAAAAATGGAACAAGTTCCAGCACAAGTGGTAAGATCTTTTTCTTGTAAGGTATTGTTTTTTGCCAGTAGCTATAGAAATGCAGCTGTGTTGCCTACCTTCACACAACTTGCTCATGTTATAACCCTTAAATTACAAAATATGGAGAGATTTCCAAGTTGGGGTCAGGGGCCAGGGGGCCGTGGATGAGTTAAATGACCTTAGGCAACTAAAATATAATCACCTTTTTCTTCTTTTGAACAGTAAAATTCAGATGACTTGGGGAAAAAAATTTTTAATTAGTATCTAGTATTTACCTGTGTGTAGAAGATAAACTTTTGGATGTTTCAAAATAAGGCAATATTTAAATATTTGTGTATAAATGAGGCTTCATTTTTACCCCACTTTTTAAGAGACTCTTTTCATAGTTTGTTATTGATTGGGATCCCCCTAGTTTTGCTGCTTTTCTATTGGATAGATTTGATACTATCTTTCTACCTTTTTTTTTTTTTCAGTTTTTTCACAACGAGCCTCAATTTAATTTTATCCTTTCATGTTCACAGATACAGTAGAATTAGATGACTCATAATGAATGTGAATAAGTTTGGAATCAAGTAAAGGCAAAATGTTTCCCAGAATGCCCCAGAAATTAAGGGTCTCAAAACAAATATCTACTTTCTAGATTCATTGGCTGAATACGGGCAAATGTAAAATAAGCCTGAAGAGCAAGTAGAAATTTAAGTGAAAATTTTCTACTTTGTTTCTAATAACTATTAGGTTGGTGCAAAAGTAATTGCGGTTTTTGCCTTTAATTACCGCAATTACTTTTGCACTAACCTAAATTTTAAAAAATTATGCCCTGTCATTAATTTGCCTCAAATGTTTTTATGAATAAATATGCAAAGAAATAATCCAGAGCTTGTTACTGTTTTTCTGTTATAGCGTAAGTGAATATCAAACACAACATATATATTCTTTCAATATTTGGTTGAAAAATAGATGTATATTAGTTAAAGTCTGTTTTTTCCAAAATCAAAAGTGAATATCATAAAACCAAAATGAAGAGCATTATTTGTTTTCCCCAAATTTTCCTCATCTTAATTTACAACTTTCTGTCTATACAAGGGTAAGAAAATATTTTGCAGGTGGACCATTTAATTTTCTTTCTAATCTAATCAATGAAAAAAAAGCAGATTGTAACACCACAAATCGTTAACTTCCCACAAACATAAAAAGATGCCAAATTAATTCATTTTCTTCTATATCACAAGTATATATTATTGAGGGATAACTTACATACAGCAAAATTCACTCTTTTTGGTGTACAGTTCTATGACTTCTAGCAAATGCATATAGTAGTGCAACCTACTACATGACAATCAAGATATAGAACAATTCCATTAGCCCCCTCAAGATTCCTTTTTACCCTTTTGTTTTGTTCTGTTTTGTTTTGTTTTGCTTTCAGACAGGGTATCGCTCTGTTGCCCAGGCTGGAGTGCAGTGCTGCAATCTTGGCTCACTGTAGCCCCAACCTCCTGGGCTCAAGCAGTCCTTCCACCTCAGCATCTCAAGTAGCTGGGACTACAGGTGGGTGCCACCATGCCCAGCTCATTTTGTTTTTTAGTTTTCATAGAGACAGGGTCCTACTATGTGGCCCAGGTTGGTCTCGAACTCCTGGACTCAAGCGATCCTCCCATGTTGGTCTCCGAAAGTGCCAGTATTACAGGTGTGAGCCACTGCACCCAGCTGATCCTTCTTACCCTTTTTTGTAATCATCTTCTCCCTCCATTCACACCCAGTTCCTGACAACTACTGATCTGTTTTCTGTTCTCATAGTTCAATCTATTCTTTTTTTAAACTTTACTTCTTCTTTGCTAAAAAAGCTTTTGTACTGTACCTACAGAAAAGTATATGGCTGTGCACTTTTGTAAAGTGAATACTTCCTTATAACTACCAGTCAGATCAAGAAATTGAACATCACCAAGTACCACACAGGTCCCTGTCATGTCCTCCATTTACTGTCCTCTCCCCCTCCTCAAAGGAAGCCACCATGCCTTATTCTGACACCACAGGATAGTTTTACCCATTATTATTCTGGATATAAATGTAAGAATTCATGTTTGAGTGCTTGGATTTTGGGTTTTTGGGGATTTGTTTGTTTTTGCATAACATTATGTTGGCGAACTAATCTGTTTTTAAAGTAGCTGTAGTTCATCCATTGTTATTGCCAGGCAGTGTTCTACAGCATGCGTATATATATCACAGTTTATTCATCCTATTGATTATTAGCCGGGCGTGGTGGTGGGCGCCTGTAGTCTCAGCTATTCGGGAGGCTGAGGCAGAAGAATGGCGTGAACCTGGGAGGTGGAGCTTGCAGTGAGCTGAGATGGTTCCACTGCAGCACTCCAGCCTGGGCGACAGAGCAAGACTTGGGTATTTTCAAAATCCCAATATTAGTATTGCAGCAAATACAGCTGACAGGGTTCTTCTTGTTTTTTTCTTTTGTTCCACTTGTGTGTAAACTTTTCCACTGGGGGGTCTGGCTAGGAGTGTAATCGCTGAGTCATAGGAAATGAAATTGATCTGCTTTACTAGATAACTGCCAAATAGTTTCCCCAAATAGTTGAATAAATTTGCAATCCCAACAACAATATATAAAAATGGTAGAAGCTCCATATTCTTACCAGCTCTTGGTATTGTTACATTCTTAATGTTAGCCATTCTGGTGGGAATGTAACTTAATTTTAATTGTAGTTTTATATTTTCCTGTTAATTAACCATTTTGAGTGTCTTTTATATGTTTATTAGCTATTTGGGTGTCTTTCTTCATGAATTACCTGTTCAAATCTTTTGCCCATCTACCTGTTGGTTTACCAGTTGGATTTACAACCCGCCCTTACCCCCAATTTATAGGAGTTATTTACGTATTCTGGCTACAGCTCCTTGGCAGGTCATGGTAATTTAAATATCTTCTTCCATTCTGTAACCTACCTTTTCTCTTCATGGTGCCTTTTGAAGAACAGACGTTCTTCATTTTAATGTAGAATTTATCAATTTTTTTTTTATGTTAGTGCTTTTTGTGTCCTCTTAAGAAATGTTTACCTTCTCCACACCATCATAAAGATACCCCTCAATGTACTGTTCTAGAAATTTTATCATTTTGCCTTTTACCTTTAAATCTGCAGTCCAATTGGAATTTATTTTAATTTAAGGTATGAGGTGTGTTTGGGTTTCAGGGGAAGTTCACGTTTGTTTTGGGTTTTTTTGCCTCGGAAGCTATCCATTTGAGTCAATGCAGTTTATTGAAAATATCATTCTTGTCTCACTCGCCTGCCTGGTCACCTTTATTATAAATCACATGTATGTACATGTGTGGGTCTGTCCTGGGCATCTATTCTGTTCCTTTGGTCTGTTTGTCAGTCTTTCCACCCATACACAGGTTAACTACCATAGCTTTATAGTAAGTCTTGATATTGGCAATGTAAGTATTTCAATGTCGTATTTTTCTTGAAATTGCCCTAACTATTGTTGTTCCTTTGTTTTTGTAAATTTGTCAAGTTTCACCAAAAATCCTGCTGGAATTTTGATTAAGATCATATTGATTTTATAGGTCATTTGGGGGAAACTGATGTTGTTATAATATCAAGTTTCTGTCCTTAAATGAAGTATATGTCTCCATTTATTTTGATCTTCTCTAATTTCTATCGATAATGTTTTATAATTCTCTGTATATGTCTTACATATCATTTTATTAAATATGTTCCTACATGTGTGTTTCCATTGATACTATTGAAATGATTTTCATTTTTGTTGCTACTTAGAAATAAAGTTGATTAAAATATATTTATTTTGCCCAACTAATTCACTTATTAATTCTAATAGTGTTTCTGTAGGGTATTTTTTTAGATTTTCTTAGTATACAGTTATGTCATCTGATAGTCATAGTTTTAATTTTTCCATTCCAATTCTCATGACTTTTATTTCCTTTTCTTATCTTACTATACTGGCAAGAATGTTCAGTACACTGAGTAGAATTGGGCATCTTTCTCTTCTTCCCAAGCTCAAGGGGAGAGTTTTCAGAATTTTACCATTAAATGTAAAAGTTAGCTGTAGCTTTGGAATTAGTAAAGTTCCTTTCTATTCCTATTTTTCCCTGTGTCTGTGTGTGTGTTTTAATCATGAATAGAGTTGAACTTTATCATATGCTTTTTTGTCTATTGAAATAATATGATTTGTTTTTTGTTCTAAGTCTCTGTTAATATTATAACCTACATTGAATGGTTTTCAAATATTAAATTAACCTTGCATTCCTGTAATAAGCTTTACTTGGTTGTGATATATTGCTATTGATAAAATATTTCTGTTGTCTTGGTTATATTTCATGAAGGTTTTGCATTTTTGTTCATGGAAGACATTGATCTGTAGTTTTCTTGTAATGTCTTCTTAATTTTGTTATCAGAGTAGCATTGGCCTCATAGAATTAGTTGAGAAATCTTCCTTCCTCTACATTTTTCTGGAAGAGTTTGTATAGAAGTAAAGTATTTCTTTTTAAAATATTTGACAGAATTGCCCAATAAAATCCCCCAGATTTTCTTTCTTTTTTTTTTTTTTTTTTTTTTTTTTTTTTAAAACAGAGCCTTGCTCTGTCACCCAGGCTGGAGTGCTGCAGTGGCGCCATCTCAGCTCACTGCAAGCTCCGCCTCCCGGGTTCACGCCATTCTTCTGCCTCAGCCTCCCAAATAGCTGGGACTACAGGCGCCCGCCACCACGCCCGGCTAATTTTTTTGTATTTTTAGTAGAGTCGAGGTTTCACCGTGTTAACCAGGATGGTCTCGATCTCCTGACCTTGTGATCCACCCGCCTCAGCCTCCCAAAGTGCTGGGATTACAGGCATGAGCCAGGTCCCCCAGATTTTCTCATCCTCCTCACCCCCAGGTTACACACCCTTTCTAATCTCTGGGACTGTGAATTTGATATTTGCTGTACTTGCTGATCGTTTGGTTCCACTCTGTGTAGTTATTTTTCCCTTTTCCTGAAAGATAGCACATGTGTACAGCTGAATAATTTTCTCGGCCTGATCCTGCCATAAGAATGTTAAGAATCCTATGGCCTCTTTTTATTTTGTACTGTCTCTGTCCCTTTTAGTCTACACTGGCAGTGTGAATTTTTTGTTTGTTTATTTGGTTTTGGTTTGTTTGGGCTTTTTTCTTTTTGTTTCTCTCTTTTTTTTTTGGCTCAGTTTTCTCAGGAATTTTGTGGGTCTTCCCTGGATTTCACTGGAACTTACTCCATTAGATAAATGTTATATCCACAGATCTTTATGAGATCATCCCTGCTCTACCTTAGCCTCTTGCTGAGAGTACTTTTCTTTGTATTTATCCTGCTTGAGGATTCTTGGTGTTTTTTCGCCCTGTGTCCTCATTTTTTTCAGAAGGTTTGGAAACCTTAGCCATTCTTTCTTCAGATATATATTCTACTCTCTTCTCTCTTCCCCTGTGATTTCAGTTACATGTGCTAGATATTTTCTTTTGTTCCCCAATATCTGATATATTCTTTGCTATACTTTGTGCACTTTGTTCTGTGTTTCTGTCTGGATATTTCCTCTTTATCTGTTTCCTATTTCCTTGGTATTCGTAACTGTCCCTGGGCCAACATCCACAGAAATTGTAGTCCCTGAACAGCAGTGTTGGCAGCAGCTGTGAGGCTGCTGGAAATGCAGACTCTCAGGCCCCACCCTAGACCTGTTCAGTCACCGTCTGCATCTCCAGGTGATTTGTGTATACATTAAAATTTGTGAAGCACTGATCTTGCTTACTAATCCTTTCTTCATTTGTTTTTAATCTGCTGTCAAACCCATCTATGGGATTTCTAATTTTAGTTAATGTGTTTTTTAATTCTAGAATTATAGTTTGAATTTTCATAGATTTCCATGTTCTAATTAAATTATTCATATTTTCCTTTATAGTTTTTAAACATTTATATGGTTTGGCTTTGTGTCCTCACCCAAATCTCATCTTGAATTGTAATCCCCACGTGTCAGGGGAGAGACCTGGTGGGAGGTGATTGGATCATGGGGGCAGATTCCCCCATGCTGTTTTCATGATAGTGAGTGAGTTCTCACAAGATCTGATGGTTTTATAAGGGGCTCTTCCCTCTTGACTCTCCTCTCTCCTGCCACCTTGTGAAGGGGGTGCCTGCTGCCCCTTCCACCGTGATTGTAAATTTCCTGAGGCCTCCCCAGCCATGCGGAACTGTGAGCCAATTAAACCTCTTTTCTTTATAATTTACCCAGTCTCAGGCATTTCTTTATAGCAGTGTGAAAACAGACTAATACAAACATATTACTTAGTTATCTTAAAGTCCATTCCAAAATCTCCAGTATTTGGATCTCATATTGGTTCATTTCTGCTTTTTAGTTTTGTTTTTTCTTGATTCTGGTCGTTTGTCTTTTTCTCCATGTACCTAGTATTTTTTTCTTTTTTTGAATGGTGGCCATTGTTTATTTTTTAAAAACCTGTAGATTCTAGGCTATCATGTATCTTCCTCCAGGGAGGATTTTATTTTGCTTCTGCCAGGTGCTAAGGTAAGAACTGATTATTTTAATCTGACTGAGATGGATTTTTGAGACTGTTTTTCACTCTTTCTGATGACTGCTTTATTTCTGCCTGCCCTTACTTTTGAATGCAGCCAGTTGTGTGCTAGTGTTTAACAAGTGACTCTCGGGAGAAAGAGTTCTGATCTGTAGCATTTGCCAGTTTCCATAGTGTGAATACTTCCACTGTTGCCAATTTCAGATTACCAATGTTACATCACTGAAGATGGCACTGGGAAGCGATACACACAGCCAGCTTTTGTGAACTGGTACACGCCACATTAACGTACCACCTAGTGTAGTTCTTCTAGTACCCAGCTGAAATTCTATGGTGATTTTACCAGGACTTTTTCTTTATGGCAGATCTTCAACTCTAATTTTTGTATCTCACGCTCATGAGAATGCATCAGGCTCTGCGTATTTACTTCGCCTCTTAGATTTTGTTTGGCTGTTCAGCCTCCCAGGCACTACTTAACATTGATAAATGTCTAGAAGGAAAAAGTGACTCCAAATATTGAGCTGTCCTCCACGGGCTTGTCTTCTTTCTGGGAGCTTGATCTCTCACTTCCTTGGTAGCTTTTTCATGTTTAAATAGTACAGATTGTACATTTTATTCACCTTTTTAATTGTTCTTGGCAAGAACATTGGTCTGATACTAGCTAGTTAGCCAGAAGCAGAACTCATTGCATAAAATCAGCTTTTAAATGCCTTTTTTTCGGAGCTTGCAGTGAGCCAAGATTGTGCCATTGCACTCTAGCCTGGGCGACTGAGCGAGACTCCGTCTCAAAAAAAAAAAAAAAAAAAAAAAAAAGCCTGTTTTTGTCTTGTCTTTTATCTTCTAAACGTAGCCTGTTACCATCTTCCTCACGTTTTAGACTTCAGTCACCCAGGCCTGGAATAGAGTATCTTTTTTTTTTTTTTTGTCTTTATTTTTTAAAGCACTTTTAGGTTCACAGCAACATTAAGCAGAAAATAACACATAGAGTTGCTATATGTTTCCTGCCCCTACACATGCACAGCTTTTCCCAGTACATTTGTTACAATCAACGAACCTACATTACATATCATTTTCACCCAAAGTCCATAGTTTACATTAGGATTGATCCTAGGTGGTATACATTATATGGGTTTTGACAAATGTGAAATGACAAGCATCCACCACTATAGTATCATCAGAATAATTCCATTTCTCCAAAATCCTGTGTTCTCTGCTTGTTCATCCCTCTCTTCCCCAAACCCCTGGCAACCACTGATCTACTGCCTCTAATTTTGCCTTTTCCAGAATGTCACATATTTGGAAACATGGAGTGTGTAGACTTTTCAGATTGGCTTTTTTTGCTTAGTAATATACATTTAAGATTCCTTTGAATCTTTTCACGGCCTGATAGCTCATTTTATTTTAGCACTGAATAATATTTCATTGTGTGGACGTAACACAATTTATCCATTTACCTACTGAAGGACATGTTGGTTGCTTCCAAGTTTTGGCAATTGTGAATAAATCTGCTATAAACATCCACGTGCAGGTTTTTTTGTGGACCTAAGTGTTCAGCTCATTTGGATAAATACCAAAGAGGAGCGTGATTGCTGAATTGTATGGTAAGAGTATGTTTATAGAAGTATGTTTATAAAAAATTGCCACACTGTCTTCCAAAGCCACTCTGCCATTTTGCATTCTTACCAGCAATGAATGAGAGTTCCTTTTGTTCCATATCCTTGCCAACATCCTTGCCAACATTTGGTATTGTCAGCATTTTGGATTTTGGCCATTGTAACAGGTGTGTAATGGTATCTCACTGTAGTTTTAATTTGTAATTCACTAATGACATATGGTGTTGAGTGTCTTTTCATATACTTATTTGCCATATGTATGTTTTCTTTGGTGAGGTGTCTGTTCAGGTCTGTTGCCCATTTTTAATCATGCAGTTTGTTTCCTTATTGTTGAGTTATAAGAGTTCTTTGTGTATTTTGGGTAACAATTCATTATTAGATGTGTGCTTTACAAATATATTTTTCCAGTCTATGGCCTGTTTTCTCATTCGTTTGAAACAGACTAATTTTTGTTTATTTATTTTGTTTATTATTTTGTTTATTTAGCACTTGGAAATTTTTCAACTTTCCACTGCACTGCAATCTGAAACAGTAAACTTAGGTTCAGAGTGTCCTAGGCCAACTTGTGAAGCTGTTTCCTTGTATTATTCTCAGTTATACTGTTCTGTTCTCAAGAGCCAATATTCTGGGATTCTGCACTGTTGTTCTTCTCATGCAGCTCTTTATTAAACCTCTTTGTATTAATGTCCCAAAGCTTCTATAACAAAGTACCACAAACTAGGGGGCTTCAAACAACAGAAATGTATTATCTGACGATTCTAGAGGCTACAAGTACAAAGAAAAGCCTCTTCTCCCTCAGAATCATGTACCAGAATCCTTCCTGGCCTGTCCCAGCTTCTGGTGATTTCCTGATGGTCTTTGGTGTTTCTTGGCCTGCAGCTGCATAGCTCTAGTCTCTGACTTTATTGTCACAAGGTGTCCGTGTATGTCTCTGTCTTTACATGGCTGTTTTCTTAAAAGGACTAAGTCATATTGGATTAGGGGCCCACCCTGCTCTTCATCTTTACTAGTTATGTCTGAAACAAGCCTATTTCCACATAAGGTAACATTCTGAAGTACTGGGGATTAGGACTTCAGTATGACTTTTTGTGGGGGATACAATTCAATCCACGAGACTCTTCTACATCCCTGTAATTATGCTCTAGGTAAAAACCATTGCCTGGAAGAGTTTCTTCTTTATAAAATGCAGAAACTTTGGTAAAAAGAAGCAAAAATGGTGAAACTTGAGAGATCTGCAGTCAAACAGAAGATATATGATGTGCACTGAGTCTTCTTGGTTCTCTTAAATTTACTAAAAATTAATAATTGTCTACTCTACCAGTCTTAGGTAGTTTATGAAACTGCTTATGAAACTAGAATTCACTAAAATATAATACTATTGCAAAATGGGTAGCAGTTTTTTGGTTTTTTCTTTCTTAAAAATTTATTATTTTTTTAAAATTTCAATAACTTTAGGAGTACACATGGTTTGTGGTTATATGGATGGATTGTATAGTGGTGAAGTCTGAGGTTTTAGTGCACCCATCATGTGAGTAGTGTACATTGTACCCAAAATGTAGTGGTGTTTTTTTTTTAATCCTTCACCTACTCCTACCTCCCCACTTCTGAGTCTCCAAAGCCTATTTCCTTGCCAAAAGAATAATCAGTGAACATATGTACAATTATTGTGTGCCAATTGTAAATTTTTTAAAAATCAATAATGAAAGTAGATGCTAACCCATTATTAGAAGAAGAGTACAATACAATACCAGTTGCTTTCAAATAATATCTTTTTGTTTTGGCTTTAGAATGCCTCTTAGTGAAGATATACTATTTTCTGAGATACGTTTTATTTCTGCTAACAACAAGTCCCAAAAAATGTTCTTCCCCTGTAGATGACATAAGGATAAGTATACTCTCCCCGTCATATTTACTTTTACATAAATATTAGCATTAATATAAATAAATTTCAGTGTTTTAATCTATTATGGCAGAGCTCTAATAAATGAACTAAATTGTTTGTATTCTTAATTATTTAAATCCCAAATGGATAAGACACCCTTTAGTTGAATTTTGTATTTGTATAGGGGGAGAGATGAATTCTTCGCCTTGATTGCCTACTGAAAAAAAAGAGTATAATCCTCTTAACTTTATAATGAAAATAAATTAGACAATATATTTTCATGAACAGGATAAACTAAAATTTATTTTTTTTAGCTTTTACAAGACTATAATATATAAGCGATTTAATAATGAAATCACCTAAGCCAAATGAGAGCGACTAGATTTTTAGATGAAAGGTCAGATTTGCAAGTTCATATTTTCTGTTCCATTAAGTCTTCCTTCATTAGTCTTCATTCATTTGAAGTAATTCCAGTAGTATTTTTAAATTGTGGCTGAGATTCTTGGTCTGCCTAGGAAAGGTCACCTAAGTTTAAAAAGTCTTTTGATCCTCGGCGGTCAATTCCAGACTTTGCTTTTTAGAAAATATTGATGATGAATAATGAAATTATTGTGAAATCTTTATATTAGGAGTCTTATGACTTGAAAAAAACAATTAGATGGCAAGAGTGGCTGTTAGAATGTTTATATAGCTTTAAGATGTTAAATTGTGATACATCTACCTACTTGCTTGTCTTACATGTTGGAACCAGAGAGTAAAGGCAATATCTTTGATTATATGTCCTCATAAAAGAATCATAGTTCACTTACCTGCAGTTTCTAGAACTTTTACCCTTAAGAAAGAATGTAAGGGAGTGTTTCTAAGAGGGCTGGAGGGACATTCTTGTGGGGGTTAGAGACAGCTTTGCCAAAACGGTCTCTGGCAGATTTTCCTTGTGAGGAATTACATTGTTGCTGTGGGTGTTCATACCAAGGCAGGGTGACCACTTGGAACAGATATTGAATAAAGAATATTCTTAAATCATATATAGAAGCTTGCTCAATGACATACAGTGACTCTCCCAAATCTAGCTGCCAGTGGGTCAAGGAATATTTTATTTTTCACACACACACAGACACGTGAGTGCGCACATGTACATATGTCCGAGAAACATAGCATATAAAAGAGCTTTGTCACTTTCTTTAAATGCCTTTAAACCTTTTTGTTTCTGAGTGTAATCCTTACGTTTAACAACTCAGTGTTTTAAAGAATATCAGGTTGCCTTAATGGAAGGAATACTGAATCTTTTAGCTTACTCGATAACAGAATTACATTATTTACTCAGTGTCAGATTTTTTAATTAAATTTGTTTTCTTGGAGGAAAGAGAAAAAATATTTTCAAGAATTTTTATACTCTGGATTGTTAAGTACCTTTTATTCTAAATTGATTCCCAAACATACCCATAGGGAAGACCCTTTTCTCAAGAACTTTTTCATTTTAACTTCTCTTTTTTAGAAAGACTATCTTGGCATTCTTATTCTTATGCAACTTAATTGTACTTGATCCCTTCCAGTTGATCTTTTGAAGTCCTTTCTTCTGGACACATCATTTTTGTTTTTACTTCCATTTTCGATGGAGTTTTTAGCCTGCCCATAATTTTGTTGTATCTGGATTTCAGCAGATCATTTAACAGAGCTTTTTATAATGACTCTATACTAGAGAGAAGTATGAGCTAGATTATAATAGAAAGATAGTTGAGAGCCTCCTACTTTGTGTGGGTTTTTATACAGAGGATATTTATTTAACATAAACTTAATGATCCCAAAGACTTCTTGAAATGCCTAATAATCTTTGATTTTTCTATTAGACAATTTTAAGGCCACTTTTCAACCTATATATATAGAAAGATTTAGGTGCTTTCTTTTTCTAGATGGTTGGTGTAAATATGTTATCTACATTTCCCATTCTTTCACCTTCTATTTTATTATGAATCTAATGACTTTTTGTTTGTACAATTGGTTGATCAAATCTTCTTGAATTCAAATAGGAATACTATTAAATTCATTGTTATAGGGGCTCAAATGGCAGCAATGAGACCTAATATGGTAGGCAGAGTAACGGGTCCTCAAAGATATCCATGTCCTAATCCCGAAACTTGTGAATATGTTACCTTGCATGGTGTATTAGTTCATTCTTGCACTGCTATAAAGAACTACCTGAGACTGGGTAGTTTATAAAGAAAAAAAGCTTAATTGTGCTCATGGTTCTGCAGGCTTTACAGGCTTCTGCTTTTGGGGTGGCTTCAGGAAACTTATAATCACTGCAGAAGGCAAAGGGGAAGCAGGTACATATTCACATGGCCAGCAGGAAAGGGGCAGGGGGAAGTGCTATACACTTTTACAACAACCAGATCTTGTGAGAACTCGCTCGCTATCATGAGAACAGCAAGGGGGAAGTCTGCCCCCATGACCCAGTCACCTCTCACCAGGTCCCTTCTTCAACACAGTAATTACAATTCGACATGAGATTTGGGTGGGGACACAGAGCCAAGCCAAACCATATCACATGGTGAAAAGAACTTTGCAGATGCAATTAAGTTCAAGCTCTTGAGATGGGGAGGTTTTCATGGATTACCTGAGTGGGGTCAATGTAATCACAAGGATCCTCATAAAGGGGAGCAAGAGGGTCCCAGTTAGAGGAGATGTGAGGGCAGAAACAAAGGTCAGAGTGATAAGCTCTGAAGGTCAAGGAAGGGACCACGGGCATAAAATGCAGGTGGCCTTTAGAAGCTGGAAAAGGCAAGAGCAGATTCTCCCCTAGAGCCTCCTGAAGGAACACAGCCCTGCCAAAACCCTTGATTTTAGGAGACTCATTTCAGATTTCTCACCTCCAGAACTATAATATAATAAATTTGTGTTTTGTGGTAATTTGTTACTGCAACTATATGAAACTTGTACACTATGGAATATTTTGATCTGAGAACATTGTCTGGCTTTTCGAGACAGCTAAATTAATTGATCTTTCAGGGCTTTATGTTACCCAGGGTTTGCTGTATCACTAGGTGACACATGCTTATTCCTAGATCTGTGAACAGTTAGCTAGATACTACCCTACAGTCACAATAATCTTTGGGCCTAATCATAATAATGATATAACAAAAGTAAGAGTTAACATTTAGCCATGATTATATGTCAGATGTTGTTCTGAGCCCTTTAATGTATTTCATTCTCACAGCTCTCTGCCGTTAGAACTGTTATTATTGTCATTCTGCACATCAGGAAACTGAGGCCATGAGTGATTAACTAGCCCAAGATCATACAGAGGAGCTCCTGCCTGCCTCTCCACTCCTCGATCTTGCCATTCCTTCCAACTCACTCTTTGCTCCCACATCTGACTGCTTGTAGTTCCCAGCATACTTTTATATTCATCTCCCCTGCCTCAGATTCCTTCCTCGTCCTCTCACACAGCGGGGTGCAGGGTGAGGAGGAGAGCTTGGATCATTTGCACTTAGCATTTAAGCCTCTCTTCAGCCTTCCCTGATCATCCCTGGCTTGGATGATCACCCTGTTCTCCTCCCCACCTCTTTCATGTTCCCATAAATTTTGGTGCTTATTTATACCCTGTCACTTATGATGTATAACTGGTTTTGAGAAATGTGGGGGCTAATCTTTCTATCATGTGCACCTAGCACAATACCTGGCATAGAGCAGGAACTCAGTATGTGTTGGATTGACAGATGCTGTAAAATTGAATTCTGAGAGTTGAGATGCCATCAGCTGTGAGAAGTGGGGGGTGCCTGTGTGAGAGGAAGAATGGCTGTTACAGGGGCGGCGTGGGACAGAACCTGGGCACAAATAAAACAGGGAACATTAATGAGAATAAAATTCATTCCCATTGGGGCGGTGAGATATATTTTTGTTTGTTTGTTTGTTTTTGATGAAGTGGAGAACAATATGCAGGAATAGGTTAGTGTCAATAAATGAGTCAGGTACTATAGGCAAGGCTTAGATTAAGATGGCCATATAAGCCATGTTAAATAGCTTTAAACTGTCCTGTGGGCAGTAGGGAGCTACTGAGTAGTAGTGATCTTATGTCTGTTTTGGAAAGCTCTGTCTAGGTGGCAGGGGAACAGAGGAATCAGAAAGCCCATTGAGAAGCTACTGCAAGAGATAGAGTTGGAAACTAGTAAGTGGATTTAAAGAATCTCTGTGACTTATTCCTGAGACTTTAGATACGTCTTCTTCTTTTGGACTAAATCATTCCAAGTCCCAGACTTAGTTGCATGTCAGCAAATTATTCTGTGTTCTATGGAAAACATTAACTCATGCCACAGGCATTCACTAATTGGGTTTTCCTTGACTGTAGACTTAACAGATCAAATATTGGTAGGCAAGAACATTTTACAAGGACCCTTGAACGTTGCTGAAAATTTAAGGCAATATAAATTGATTTTGCCTTTTGCTACAGCTGGTGCTGATGACATTATCTTCCCTAATGGTCATGAGATTACTTCCTGGACCAGGCCCAACCTCTTCTACTCTGAAGTAGAAACACCAACCCCTCCAGCCCTCTTTCCTTGTCTGCTCCCTATCTTTTCCCCTACTTGATTTTATCTTTTCCCAAGCTGTTTCTACTTGCCAGTTACAGGATTGGCTTTTTTCTTGTGGCCTCTTTATCTTTCTTTTTGTTTTTGTTGTTCTAAGCACCATAAGATAAGCTTATCAACTTTGTCTCTGTGTGTGTGTGTGTGTGTGTGTGTGTGTGTGTTTGAACCATGTAGAAAACTCTGGGCTTGGGAACATTTGAAGAAGCTGGAGCCCTGATTGGATCATTCTTTTTTTTTTTTTTCTTTGAATCCTTCTTAAATTGAGCACTTCCCTTATATCCACTGTCACACTAACAAAAGTAAAGAAAAAGGGGGTGCTAACATTTGGAACTTGGAAACGTGAAAATAACAAAAATTGTTGTTAAGCCTCAGCTGTGTAGAGGGAAGTTTGCCAATGATACCCTTGGGTTGTCTACCATCTTGAATCTGAAATAGAGAATCTAACAAACATGACTAATCTGGAGTAAATGGAAGCAGACCTTGTCAAGATCTCATGAAAGAAAAGACTGTTTCTAAGACGGAAATGCTCTCCAGCAGTGTAAACAGTGTGCATGGGTGTGGGCTGATGCAGTACCTCTCCTCCCAGGGACCTGCACAAGGAGACCAGGGAGATACCACAGCCGAGAGTGTCACCAGTAAGAACTCTATTAGTTTTTACTGCCACAGGTAATATCTTTTTTAAGAGCGTGCTCCTGATTCCTCTCAGTCAGAATCATCCTTTCAGGATCCCAACCTTTTCCCTCTGTACTATCACTGTTCCCCCTAATTTTCTACCCTCTGAACCTGACCTCTTGCCTACCTGCCACAGAGCACTGGCCCAACTTTTTGTTTAGCCCCAATGTGACAATGATGAACTAAATTCCATTACCATGTAAATCAACTTTGTGTAGTCAGACCAACAGGACCAGATGTGTACGGCACAAGTGTAGACTAACTTCGGGATGGAGCCGTGTTTTTGTGGGATTGGTTTTTACTTAAGATGGTAAAGATAAGAAGAAAACCCACAGATTGTTGGTACTAAAAGCTCTTTCATGTGACTCTCCTGTTAATTATAAGCCATTTCTAGAAAAAATCAGGGATGACTGTACTTGGGAACATATAATTGGTATTGGGAATCTTAGCATTTCAAGTTTTCTAAAATAACCCAACTTTAGGATAATGAGGAATCATATATGCTTTGAAGAGCCTTGACTTCACTGATAGCAATTTTAATTTGTGCTTTGTAGTGATAGAAAATCATTTTAAAAAAATGCCTGTCAAAGAAATAAACTCAACCTGTTTCTTATGATTAATTTTTTGCCTTCCTTTTGGCATTCATTTTTATCCTGCTTCTTTTACGAATTTGTAATTACCAAAAGAGGAAGAAGATATGTGGTTATAAGTTTTCTCTCACATGCTGAAAGGTGGCAGGTATTAGAGTTGAGAAAGACTGAGTGAATTTATATTAAATAAGGAGAATATAAATTTTATCCTTTGAAAAGTCATCTTTATTATATTTCAGTCTAACTTTTTCTCCAGTGGTGATTACATACCTTGTTTTATACAAGTTTCAGAAAAACTGCAAGGATCTATATAATAATTCTTTTATGCCTTTTATATGAACTTGATTTATTAAAATTGTAATATTCAATTTGAATTCATTTTTATTACATTAGTAACAACTTTAGAAGTGAGTAGACTCTTGGAGTAACTTCTAAAGATAAAGAACCTTATAATGATATATCTTTTTTTTTTTTTTTTTGAGATGGAGTCTCACTCTGTCACCCAGGCTAGAGTGCAGTGGCGCGATCTCATCTCACTGCAACCTCCGCCTCCTAGGTTCAAGCAATTCTCCTGCCTCAGCCTCCCAAGTAGCTGGGACTACAGGTGCCCGCCACCACACCTGGCTAATTTTTGTATTTTTTTTTTTAGTAAAGATGGGGTTTTCCCATGTTGGACAGGCTGGTCTCAAACTCCTGACCTCATGTAATCCACCCACCTCAGCCTCCCAAAGTGCTAGGATTACAGGCATGAGCCACTGTGCCCAGCCAATATACCTTATTTGTTAGCCTTATTTTTGTTCTGTGATAAGTATGGTTCATTAATAACTCCATATATTTATAACGTTCCAAAGGACTTATACATGTAGTTCCAAGTATAAGAGCTATGTATAATGTTAACTGTGTATTCAGGTCAATGGAATAGATTTGGTAATCTAACATGAAACTCTTTTAAAACTCTTGCCCCTTGCAATCCATTTATTTCATAATTAAGGACAATATAATCAAATATGAGCAAATAAGCATTCAAATGGACAAAAATGTACTGTACTAGTTATGTTCCATCTGGGATCTTGTAATCTAAGATGAATGACCTGGTGCTTTATTTTGCTTCTCATAATGACATGCCTTCAGAGAAGTGTGGATAAGATAAGAAGTTAGAAGGGCAGGGGAAGAAACCTTCCATTGTTTGGATGTTAATATGTGCCAGAAACAAACAAACATAGTCTATGCTTTTCATGTACTTTGTCTCCTGTTATTCTTTCAACAATCTTTTTAGGTGTCTTTTATGACTTTTACTTTGCACATGAGTTAGTTAACTCAGCTCAGAGAAGTTAAGTTCATTTGTCTCAGGTTATGTAACTATTAAGTAAAAAGCTTGAGACTGAGACTTCATTCTTTCTTATTGGTCCTTGCTCTTATAAACAGTAAAATAAGTACTCATCCGATAAATTCAAAGTAATTTTAGAACATTTTGACCAAACAAGTGTCAGTTTTTAAAGTTGTTTTTCTATTATGACAGTAAGTTTATAGGCCTTAGAAAATTTTTAAACTTCTTAAAAATGATTTTGTCTTTTATAGAAAAGTTGTAAGAATAATACAAAGACCTCCAGTACAAGTTGAGTATCCTTTATCTAAGATGATTGAGACCAGAAGTTTTCCAGATTTCTGATTTTTCTCAGATCTTGGAATAATTGCATATATATAATGTGATATCTTGGGGATGCGAACTAAGTCTGAACGTGAAATTCATTTATGTTTCTTTTGTTTTTTTTTTTTTTTTTGAGACAGGGTCTCGTTCTGTTGCCCAGGCTGGAGTGCAGCGGCACAGTCACGGCTCCCTGCAACCTCGACCTCCTGGGCTCATACAGTTCTCCCACCTCAGCCTCCCAAGTAGCTGGGACTACAGGCATGCACCACCACACCTGGTTAATTTTTTGTAGAGACAGGATCTTGTCATGTTGCCCGGAGTGGTCGCAAACTCCTGAGCTCAAGTGATCCACTTGCTTCGGCCTCCCAAAATGCTAGGATTACAGGTGTGAGCCACCATGCCCGGTCTCATTTATGTTTCATATATACCTTATACACATAGCCTAGCATTAATTTTATACAATGTTTTTAATAATTTTGTGCAAGAAACAAAGGTTTGAATGCATTTTAACTGCAACTCCTCACATGAGGTCAGATGTGGAATTTTGTGGAGTCATGTTGGTGCTCAAAAGTTTCAGATTTTGGAGCATTTTGGATTTCTGAATTAGGGATGCTCAACCTGTATAACCCTTAGTGAGATGATCAGTTTTTAACATTTTGCTACATTTGCTTTCTCTTTCTCTGAAGAGAAAGACAGATGTAGATGTAGTCATAGATATTTTGCTGCTAAACAATTTCAGAATGGGTTACAGACATCATGTCCCTTTACCCCCTTAATATTTAGTGTATATTTCCTAAGAATGAGTTTCTTACATGATCACAGTACTGTTATCTAAATCAGGAAATTTAACATTGACACAGTGCTTTAATCTACAGTTTATATTCTAATTTTGTCAAGAGCCCCGACAATATGTATAGCAATTGCTTTCCCAATAGAGGAGTCAGTCTAGGATCATGGCTTGCATTTAGTTGTTCTATTTCTGTAGTCTCCTTGAATCTATACAGTTCCTAAGCCTTTTTTATCTTTCATGATATTGACATTTTTAAGAATACTGGCCAGTTATTTAATGGAATGTCCCTCAATTTGAGTTTGAGTTTTCCTCATGATTAGATTCAGGTTATATGCTTTGCCCTCTTAAGCTAAATAAAAATGATGTCATATCCTTCTCAGAAGATCTGAGAAGGTATATGATGTGCTTTTGCCCTTTATCGGCGATGCTAAATTTGATCACTTGGTTCAGGTGTTAGCTGGTTTGTCTAGTTTCTTCACTACGTAGTTATCTGTTTTTGGATAAGAACTTGTAATCCCAAGTATTGAATAGGATTGTAGAAGAAAGAAACGGGAGGCCTTGAAAACTCAAAACTCTCAGTGGTTTAGTTCACATTTGCAATTTTATGATGACTTGAACTGTCATCTTATGTAGTCCACAAGATTTTTCATTTCTAATAGATTAAGTTTAATCTATTCTAAATCTTTGGGTTATTTCTAATAGTTTTAAGTCCTTAGACTATATTTTTAAAATAAAATATTTTGAATTGGATATACAGTGACGGAGGAGCAACTAAAGTTGGAAAGGCAGAAATTTATTTCATTGAAGTGCCTGTTTATTTACTTGGCAGATAATACATGTAAATCTTTCATCCTCAGAAACTGTGCAGATCAAAACCTATGTGGGTTAAGAGAAGCTAGGTAAATTCAGTTGATGAATTTTTAGTTTTTAGGGGGAATTCGTAGGTCATAAGTGAACTATTTTTCCTGAAGTACTATAATACTGACTTACCAAATCTGCCTGGGTATGACTTAGTGTCAAAGGCATACTCTTGGAGTAAAAAATATTTTCCATGTACCTTACATTCCTTTACTGCCATTCCTCTCAATGTTTATTATCAGTGAAATCACAAAGTATTCCCTCTAACTATTTTCTGGGTTCTTTGAACTTGTTATTTTAGGATAAACAAATATAAAGAGGTGGAAGAAAATTTCCCCATGTAAATTCCAGTTGGTTTTGGAATCAAGCACAAAAATATATGACTGATATCCCTGGGGCCGTTACAAAGTTATATGATGCAGTAGTTGATGGATTCCTTCCCAACTAACTTGACATTAAGGCTTGGCAGAGAGCCCCGGGAGCCCCACAATCCCCTGGGAGCAGCCTTCTTCATTCTTCTCTCTAGGTTAACCCAGAACTAGTCAAATACTATTAAAATGAAAATCAGTGTGTTCTCTAAGGGTTGAAAAGGTTATTCATACTGATAATTTGTCAGGTACCTGAAATCCTATCCTATTAACAAACCTAAAGACTACTGTGAACGAGTTTAATTTGATTTTATCTTACATTAGCAGCCAGAGTTATCCAGGGGAAGATTGGAAGAAGGCTGTCTGGTGGTGCATCTCACTAGTGTGTAGAAACTACAGCAATCTTTTTGCCTGTAATCACCCAAAACATGGCTTTCGGGAGTCATGTAAGTCTCTTGATCATTTTGACCATCAGAACTGCATTTCTTTTAGAAATCATAGTCAAAACTGTAGTTAAAATAAAAATTGTTAATTTGCCTGGTATTGAGTAAGCTTCTACTACATGCAAGGAACTGTGCTGGGTAGGACACTACATCTCAAGATGACTCCTGGGTGCTCCTTACTCAAGAGGCATGTAATCCAGAAAGGAAGAGGAAGTATGGTGCTGACAGTACCACAGGACCGTGTGTCTCCACTGCTGTAAGAGCTATACAAAGGGCTGTTAAAACTTGGGGGCTTGTGAGTGGGATGGTCGAGGTCACTGTTAACAAAAAAGTAACTTTTAAGCTGAGCTTTTCACTACATGAAAGATATTGGGAGTGAGGTATGAGATGTTTTTAGAAAGTGATCGCAGTACAGTTGTAAAATCCAGGGTTTCTAGTGAACAATGAGAAAGACTTTTTACCAGGTGCTTTGGGCTCCATCAAGAGAATTCAACTGTATAATCCTCCTGGATCTACAGCCGCATTGGCCCTTGGGAATTTTCCTAGATAATAAACTGAGCCATCAGAAGTATGACATCTGTACTCAGTAGGCAAGGAGTGACGCAATCTAAGCAGTGCTGTAGAAAGATGAAATTAGTAAAAATATGCTAATTGCATCAGAGTGGAGAAAGGCTGCAGGCAGGAATTAAGACGGTAATGAAACAGTGTTGTTATGAAGTCTAAGAGTCTGTGCCTTGATGAGACTATGAGGGTAGTCAGAAAGGCAAGAGAAGTTGAAGGAAGAATCTCTATGACTTGTACACTGGATAATACTGGTAGCTTACATAGACCTTGTGTAGTGCTTGCCGCCTTGCACTGTTTTGGTGTTTTATATATGTTGTTTCATTTAATCTTCATGCCAACCCTGTGGGTAATGATTGTTTTTATCCCCACTTTACATAAGAGGAAACTGAGGCACAAAGAGTATAACTTGCTCAAAGTGACACAATTAATGGTGGACTTAGGATTCAAAACCAAGAATTCTGCTTCCATACTCTGCTTCTTAAATATTGTATCTATAATAAATTATAGTGGCAAGGGAGAAAGAAAATTAGTGCCTAAAATAAAGTTCTGAGAAACTTAATTAAAATATAGACTCCTCAATTTCTATTTTAAATCTATAGGATTTTAGAGCCAAAATTTTACTCATTTAAAGACAAAATTCTTTTAACTGGCGCTACAACTTAAAGACAAATTCCATGTTCATAGAGGTTTGAGGAGATAGAATGACTTACCAAATGCCTGATCCATGCCAGCGCCTAGGTGGGTGAACTAGTGGGAGCCATAGGCGAACACCGAAGTCCTGGCTGTTAAAAGGGGCATCTGTAGATGTTTAGGGTCAGAGTCTGGCACTGAGTCTTCTCTCTGCTTGCTCCTAGTAGCCCCTTTACCTTCCTAACAGTTCCCAGAGACCTTTTCTTTTTTAAACTCTATCCACCTGCCATGTTTCCCCCCGACTGCCCAAGACCAGCTTTAAGTATGATTTAGGGCCCAAGCTCCTTGTTGCTTTGCCCAAACTGCTTTTTCACTTTGACTTTTTTTGCTATTCTCTGTAGAAGACAGGAGAAAAACAGAATGAAAACTTTGAGGAAATTTACAAAGGTTAAAAAATATCATAGTCCCTCATTTTTAATTCTTAACTGTCTCACTAGATCTAAATGTCATTGTCCTAAAATATTTTTCTGGGAACATTTATGTATCAAGCATTGGTTAAAATGGCACCCCAAACCTCTGTAGCCCAATAACTCTCTTGTTTATTAATTAGTATGATGTTCCTTAACTTCACCATATGTATCCACCCTTCCATTAATTTAGTGAACTCTTTTCCTTCTGCACCCAGGCCTAAGACAACAATGCATAAACTGCCTGAAATTGTGAGCAAGCTTTGTGCCCCATACTCTATCCAAAGACCGAGCAAGGGATGCCAGATGTCATTGGAAATAGAGTAAGATGGAAAAAACTTTAAAATCACAGCTGCTCTACGGGAGGACTCTATATGGGTTGTAACTGATTCTTTGAGAAACATCCTTGCTCCTTGTAACTGCCTTCTAAGGAGCGGGCGCCTAGTTAACTTCAAGTCTTTGTTTTTTTTGGAGATAGCATCTAGTTCTGTCTCCCAGGCTGGAGTGCAGTGGCACAAACACAGCTCCCTGCAGCCTCAAACTTGGGCTCAAATGATCCTCCAGCCTCAGCTTCCTGAAGTGCTGGGATTACAGACATAAGCCACTGCTCCTGGCCAACTTCAGGTCTTTTTATTTGCCAAGTGGGGTGTACAAGCTAGGACACCACTGCTGATGTGATTATCTTCTACTCCGTTCCTATAGTCCTCAGCTGATCCTCCAAAAACATCAGATATTTAAAGAATATTGGCTTTCATGGACACCAAATAAGTAGTTTCTAAAAGGCTCCTGGGAGAGCATTTTATCTAACCCTAACTCTTGGTCAATGGTTCTTAACATTTTTTGAGAATAATTTTATATATGTGTGTTTATATAAATGTATATTTAATTATATTTAATATACAGATATGCATGCATGCGTGCACACACACACACACATTTCCTAGAAAAAAAACAAATTTGTCCAAAAATCTCCGACCGGATGATTCTCCGAAGTTACACCATCAACCTGTCCCTCTGAAGTCAAGCCGCTTCTCTCTAACATCCAACTGTGGTCCTGTCTACTGGCTGAATATGGGGTTTTTATATGTACAGGATGGGACGGGACAGGGCCATGGGTTGTTTAGGAAAAGGCAGTATTCGGGCAGGAAAACAGGGATATAAGTTCTCATTTTGGGCCACAGTTTCAGGCTTTTTAGCTTGAGGGTAGGGTTATGCCAGGGACCCACATTTTTCTGCCTAGAATTTCTCTGTCCCTTGTCCCTATCAATGGGAACAACATAGTTGAACATCTGGCTAGTGACTATACTTCATATAAACCTATCAGAGAAAAACGGGTTCAAAAACAAAGATAGTACTTCCAGGATCTGGGTCAACAGAGATCTGGGAAAGAAGGGCAAGAGACCACTGCACAATTAGTTCAATTAACCTGAAACTGGAGAAGACTTCATTTCCCCATAGAAATAGTTCATAAATAGTACATATAATTGAAAACCAACCATAATCTACAGATATGTAGTTAAATAATTGGTTTTCGGTTGTCATTTTGGGTTTTCTGGAAGTGGAGGTTCTAACAAAATGTAATTATTTATAATGGGAAAAGATGCAGTCTTACTTCAACCAACTTAATAAAGAACAAAGTTATGGAGCATAGCTAGTTCAAAAGTTAGGAAATGTCCTTATTATTTCCTGTTGCTTTCATTAATTAATACTTGGCTTCACAGCACTATTTTTGTTTTGGAATTGATAGTATTTTTCTACAAGTCTTTAAAATTAATATGATAGGCTGGGCATGGTGACTCACACCTGTAATCCCAGCACTTTGGGAGGCTGAGGAGGGTGGATCATTTGAGGTCAGGAGTTCAAGACCAGTCTGGCCAATACAGTGAAACCCCGTCTCTACTAAAAATACAAAAATTAGCCAGGTGTTATGGCAGGCGCCTGTAATCCCAGCTACTCAAGAGCCTGAGGTGGGAGAAGCACTTGAAACTGGGAGGCAGAGGTTGCATTGAGCCGAGATCATGCCACTGCACCCCTGCCTGGGCAACAGAGCAAGACTCCATCTCAAAAAATAAATAAAATAAAATTAGTATGATATAGACAATGTTAAATGATTCTTTCCCATTATCTATGGATACCGGGTCATGCACTATGCAACTTTACAGTATATTATGCTTATGGAAATTAAAATCGTAGCATTTACTTCCCTTGATTTTTAAAGGAATAAAGCAAAAAGGATTAATTGACATTCTTTTCAACGTCAGTTGATGGTGAGATGAATGTTTTTTAATTACCATGCCTTAAAAAATTTACAGATAGGACGGGTGTGGTGGCTGATGCCCACAATCCCAGCACTTCGGGAGGCTGAGGTGGGAGGATTGCTTGAGCCCAGAAGTTTGAGACCAGCCTGGGCAACATAGTGAGACCCCTGTCTCTACAAAAAATAAAAAAATTAGCCAGGTGTGGTGGTGCACACCTGTAGTCCCAGCTACTCAGGAGGCTGAGGCAGGAGGATCACTGGAGCCTAGGAGGCAGAGGCTGCAGTAAGCTGTGATCCTTCCACTACATTCCAGCCTGGGTAACAGAGCAAGACCCTGTCTCTAGAAAAAAAAACAAAAGTGCAAATAGCAAATTAAAATAGGCATACATAATAAGTATGTGACTGTGTAGATCCTTTGGATTGGCCAGCAAAGCTCTCTCTGAGGAGGTGACATCTAAGTTAAATGTGAGTAAGGAGTAGCCTTGTGAAGATACTAGGAAAGAGGAGTTGAGGCTGAGGAAATAGCTACACAAACACCTTCAAAAGGAAATAAGCGTGGAGAAACAAAAAGGAACACCTTACAGCTTGAAGCGTCATGGGTGAGAAGACTTGTAGGAAATGAAGGAGGCCAGGTGGTCAAGAGTCAGATCATGGCAAGCTTTATAAGCCAGGTTAAGGTCTGTAGAGCAAAGTAAGCCATAAATATTAATTCCTATATAGTGAGATTTGAGGACATTGGATTCTTGTTTGCCTCTGAAATATTGGGAATGCATAGCTACAACCAATTAAAATAGGAAGTTACGTATGAGCTGAGATCATGGTGAGAAGAGAATAGCTTACTCTTGTTTTTTATTGCTATATAGCATGCAGTGTTAGGGTTATCCTCATTCTTTGAATTTATGGAGAGACATCATCTAGTCATTAATGAAGAAAGTTTTTACAAGGGTGATGTCTTTGTAGCTATAAGTAAATAGACACCTGTTACCTTTCAGCTCATGATAAGATAATGAATACAAGTGATATTATTGAACACCACAGTCATGTTAATTGGAAAACTAATTAAGAACCTTGTATGTTGATAATAGGAACTAACATTTATTGAGTGATTACTATATGCAGACACTGTACCAAGCATTTTATTGACATTTCATCTAATCTTCATGGCATTCCTACAATAGATGGTGTGCATATCAAGGCTGTAAGTGAAGCCTGTATTTAAGAGCCAACTGGGCCAAAAGGGTAAGCACAACTTCAACACATTTGATTGCTTTCCATACCTAGCATACACAGTTTCTTCTGTCTTTGAACACAGTTTTCATAAAATATAAAATCCATTGTGCTTAGAAAAACAAAACCTGAGTTGTAACATTCTACTTTCATAATTCCCTTTGCTGATAGAGACTGATTTATGGATTATGGAGTTATATATTTTTCTACAGCCTCTGGAAGAAAGGAATGACACTCATATATATATGAAAGTATACATAAAACAGAATTTCTAGCCTTATCTCAAACTTTTTCACTTTTTATTTGTTCAGGGAATACTGTTAGATTATTATTTACCTTGTTCTATATATCAATTATTTCAAAAGAGAAATTCATGAATGTCATATGTGTATGTGTGAACTAAGAATATATTTGTAAGTATACTAACAATTTTTTCTTTTTTCTTTTTTTTTTTTTTTTGAGACAGAGTCTCACTCTGTCACCCAGGTTGGAATGCAGTGGTGCAAAATAATGGCTCACTGCAGCCTCAACCTCCTGGGTCACACGATCCTCCTGCCTCAGCCTCCTAAGTAGTTGGGACTCCAGGCAAGCACCACAATGCCTAGCTAATTTTTTGTAGAGACAGGGTCTTACACTATTGCCCCAGCTGGTCTTAAACTCCTGGGCTCAAGCAGTCTTCCTGCCTCTGCCTCCCGATGTGCTGTGACTGCAGGCATGAGTGTACTAACAATTCTTCAAAGAGTAAGTCTGGTTTCAGATTTAGAAGGAAAGATTAAGACAGATCTAGTTTCATTGTCTCTCAAATCCTGCCAAAATACATCATAGAGATTTTTAGTACAGGAGTTATTAACCCACAAATATAAAGAGGACAGGCTAGGAGAGGAAACCCCACAACAAGATTGTGACAGCTGGGGAGCAGCTAGAAATTGGCAACTCACCTCACCAACCTGAAGAAACCTAAATGCCAACCTAGCAGTGGGGAAAAACCAAAACCCAAGTTATGAACAAACTTGATATATACCAGAGAATCCTCAAATGGTCAAGGAATTGGCTGGCACTTTTGAAAGGGAGAATGAAGTAGGAAATGAGGGCACTAACATAAGAAGGATTGTTTAAAACTACTTAAGAAGCAGCAGCTGGATTGCCCCATTCCCTCCCCAGCTCAGGCGTACAGCTCAGGCATCTCCTCACTCACACCAACAGAAGACTGGAGGCTCATTCTTTGAGGGGAAAATGAAAAGTCTCTGGACTGAAGAACCTGTGGTACAGTTGAGGGCAAGGGGAATTCAGTGCCTATATGGATATCAAATGCCCTCTTTGTTCATTTAGCAGCTAGAATGCTGGCAGTCACACACGCCTTTCCTTGTTTGGGAAACCTGATCAGTTCAATACTTAGAGATGTTGACATCAGAGGTTCCATAATTAAACAATTCAACCAGATCATCCTATATTGAGGCTCATACTTGACAAATGCAGCAACAGGCTCAGAACTTTCTTTTTTTTTTTTTTTTTTTTTTTTTTTTTTTTTTTTTTTTTTTTTTTGAGACGGAGGCTCGCTGTGTCGCCCAGGCTGGAGTGCAGTGGCGTGATCTCGGCTCACTGCAAGCTCCGCCTCCCGGGTTCACGCCATTCTCCTGCCTCAGCCTCCCGAGTAGCTGGGACTACAGGCGCCCGCCACTACGCCTGGCTCATTTTTTGTATTTTTAGTAGAGACGGGGTTTCACCATGTTAGCCAGGATGGTCTCGATCTCCTGACCTCGTGATCCGCCCGCCTCGGCCTCCCAAAGTCCTGGGATTACAGGCGTGAGCCACTGCGCCTGGCCAGGCTCAGAACTTTCAATCAGCTTTTTTTTTTTCTGGGTCGGGGGGGCGGGGTTTAGATTAACTGATTCTTTTTTTTTTTTTTTTAAGTTCCGGGATACATGTGCAGAACGTGCAGGTTTGTTACATAGGTATACATGTGCCATGGTGGTTTGCTGCACCTGTCAACCCTTCATCTAGGTTTTAAGCCCCACAGGCATTAGGTATTTGTCCTAATGCTCTCCCTCCTTTTGCCCCCCACTCCCCTCGACAGGCCCTGGTGTGTGTTGGTCCTCTCCCTGTGTCCATGTATTCTCATTGTTCAGCTCCCACTTACGAGTGAGAACATGTGGTGTTTGGTTTTCTGTTCCTGTTTTAATTTGCTGAGGATGATCAATCAGCTTTTTAAGCCTCTTACTCTTAAACATAAGTAGCAAGCAAGGATTACCAAATTCCTGAGGAAAGCCCTAACTAACACAAAGGACAGGACCAAAGCAAACAGAATAGGAATGGAGTGAGAGAGAAAATAAAAAATAAGAAAGAAACAGGACTGGGCAGGAAGACGAAAACTTAAAAAAAAAAAAAAGAAGTTACTGATATTCTCAGATAAATGAGAGAAGATATTTTATTCATGAAATAAGATTGAGACATCAAAAAAGTGATTGGGAGAGCAAAAAATAATTCTTAGACATTAAAAACATGGTAGCAAAGGTAAAAATTCAATAGAATTGGAAGGTTAAAGTAGAGAAAATCTCTAGAAAGTAGAACCAAAAAAAAAAATAAGATGAAAAATAGAAGGAAAAATATAGAAAAATCAAAGAACAAATCTGGGAAGGGTCCAACATTCAAATAATAGGAATTCCAAAACAGGGTAAACAAAGAAAGGAAGAAATTGGCAATGAATAATTCAAGGACATTTTTAATGACTGAAGGTCATGAATTAACAGACTGAAAGCAATCCCCATGGACGCAGCATTATGGATGAAATGTAGACCCATGCCAAGACAAGAGAGAAAAGCCAGGTCACATTCAAAGGACCAGGACTCAAATTTCAAACTGACTTCAAACTTACCAACAGCACCCAGAGAAGAAATGAGTGATTCCTTCCCTATTTTGAAGAAAAATGCTTTTCATCCTAGGATTTTGTACCCACCAAAGTATTCATCAGATTTCAGGATACTCCTTTCTCAGGAAGCCTTTCCAGAATTTTGGGCATCATGAAAACAAGAGAGTAAGCTAAGAAAGAAGATACGAAGATGTGGGATAAAGGAAACAGCAGACTCAGCACAGATGAGAGGTGAGCGAAATCTCCAGGATGATGGTAAATGGGACAGCCATGTATCAGAGCTGGAGAATAGACAGATTGAACCAGAATGTGCCAGAAAGGTCCAGAGGAAACTTCTTCAAGAGGATGAAAGGATAGAATGCTTATTGTGAATGCACTTCTTGCGAGGTGATTTAGATAAGTGGAAGAGAACTTGGATTGAATTGGTCATAAAGACATAGATAACCAACTGAGCTGCTGCTGCTGCTTTTTTTTTTTTTTTTTTTTTTTTTTTTTTTTTTTTTTTTGGAGACAGGGCCTCTCTGTCTTCCAGGCTGGAGTGCAGTGGCACGATCATGGTCATGGCTCACTGCAACCTTGAACTCCCAGGCTCAAGCAATCCTCCCACCTCCCACCTTAGCCTCCTGAGTAGCTGGGTGTGACGGTAGGTGCACCACCACACCTGGCTTTTTTTTTTTTTTTTTTGTAGAGACAGGGTCTTACTATCTTGTCCAGGCTGGTCTCAAACTTCTGGCCTCAAGCTATCCTCCCACCTTGGCCTACCAAAGTGCTGGGACTACAGGCATAAGTCACTGCACTTGTCCATCAAGCATATTTTTTAAATTACTAACTCCAGAGAAAACAAAATATACAGACAAGAAAATATAATTAGGTATTACTTGGGTAAAATCTGAATAGCATGTGTATGATCATGGGAAGTGGAGGTAAGAAATATATACATAAATAGAGTGGGCAGGGGAGGGAATGCAAGCTCATCTTCCCTAGAGGGAAGTCAGGAGATAGTATCTAGTAGTAAGAAATTACCAATAGCAAAAATGACATGTTACTTGGCAATATGGAGGTAAATACCAAAAGAATAAACTAAAAAGAGTTGAAGGTAGTTACTTCTAAGGAAGCAGAAATGGGAAAGGGAAGCTGGGAAGCTATGTGGAGCTGGTTGGTTCTTAGATCATATACATGGATAACTGATTTTGAAAAAACTGAAAAAATAAGCAGATGCTTTAGGGGGTTTAAGATTAACAGAGTTGCTAAAAACAAACAACATACACAAAAATAGACAAACTCTCCAAGATAGAATCTTATTTAGGTGTACATGAAAATAAAGAGCTAAAAAGATGCTAGAGCTGAAAAAGAAAAAGAAGCAAAAAGAACATGTAGCTTCCTCTACAATAAATAGAAAGAACTTCTAAATTGCCGAGGAATTTAAAACATAAAAGTAAAGATGTTTATGGTCTTGGTTGTTAGTGATAGAAGAAGCCAATAGATCCAGACACTAGGTAAAGAGATGGGGTTTAATTTACTAATAAAATACACAGAGCAGATACGCAAATCTTTTAAATGAATGAATGCTTATTAAAATATAGTTATTACAGTTTGAAAATATAAAGCACTATCTGTGTCAAAAGAATGTTTGGACTTTGACATTGATTAAACTTACTTTAAGCATAACTCTTTTAAAATTATCACAATCAGGTAGTTCATTGAGCTCTTCTAAGATACTCCTGTCGTTTTACATTCTAAACATGTTGTGTGTTAAACCAACTGGCTTTTTTTAAAAACACCTTAGGATCCTCTTCCAATGAAAAAAACAGAAAGCATACAGTATACGCAATAAGTGGATGGTTAGGACCTCTTGCTTCTTCAGTATGTCTCTCTGAAGAGTTAAGGAAAGCAGAGAAAGGTGGAGATAAGGTTGGCAGGGATGGGAGAGCAGTATCCCGAGGCTGAGTGGAGAGGCCTAGGCTAAGCCCCTGAAAGTATGCTTCTTGTGATGGGTGCAGGGCCTCTCTAAGAATGGAAAGGATGAATGAAGAATAGTAGGACTTTAGCCTGCAGGAAGGTCTATAAGTGGTGGACCTGAGGCATCACTTTCTGCCTGTTTGCTCATTACTTAAAATGGTCAGGCCTGTCATTTGATACAGAAACCTACACTGTCTGGGCATCCTTTTCCCACTTGTGTGAACATGGGTTGATTTCTGAAAGAGTGATTATATAACACAAATTATATATAACTAGAGTTGCTTTAGGTGTTAGAATGGGTGCAAGGGGAAACTCAGCTACTTTATTTTTCTCTTGCTTTGCTCTTCTGTAATTTCCTAGCCTCTTGGTCCCCCTTTCCCCCCAACCCCCCTCCTACCCCTACACACATACATACCTGTACCCCTCCTGCCGAAGGCTTGACAGTGTTGCTTGGCAAAGAGCCAACTTCAGAAATTTTCATCCACTGGCTATCTCTGTGTAGTATCCCTTGCTCTACAACATAAAAAAGAAAATCAACTGATTTCTGAAGTGACATAAAGACGAGAGAATGGAGAAGATTGAGCTGTATATTAAATTGCTTTCTGGTTATCAAATAAAGACTCCTTTGTCATAAAGGCCAAAGATAAAAAAGAAAATGTGTATGTTTAATATATGGAACAAAAATAAGTCTATTTTTGACATAGTACTTGAGGAGAAGATGGGTCAAAAAGCCCAGCCACCCCTGAAATGAATTTTAGACTCTTATTATTGGTATGATGGGGCAGAGAGAGATATCAGTGATGGTTGCATTGCTGATAGAAATGATTTTTTACAGTAGGTGCTAAATTAGATGTAGAAAGGAGAGTTATCAAACCTACATTGTCATGTCTGACCTTCCAGGTCCCAGTCGAGGAATCATCATAAAAACGAGTTGTGGGCTTATCTAGAGATGCAGCAATAACTGGCACAGAACAATTTTCGAGCTTCTCTTCAAATGGGGTGACACCAGGGGTTATTCGGGGTAGGGAGGGAGATGCATTGGCTTTGATCAGTTTTTAGAACTGTATAGCAGCTTATCTGTGGGTCAGAGAAATTTCGTTTTCTCCATTCTTTTTTCATCACTTTTTCCCTTGGGTGCGATGTGGATTAGCGTCTGGAAGCTGGTATGAGGCTCTGAGCATTAATAGAGTTTGCGCAGATCCAGACTCTGTTTTCGCAATACTGGGCTCAAGCTCAGCCTCGCTGAATGTTAGATTCAGTAAAGGCACATTACCATCTCTCCATAAATAAAAGGAAGAGAAATACTTAATGACAATGTAGAAATACATAGAACTCCAGGATACTAATTAGCAAAACTCACACTGCATTTATTTTATCCAGTTGCACAGTGTTACTCTCTCATAGTTATGTCTCTAACATAACTTCCTTTTTTAACTTTTTGTTTAATTATATTGCCTGTCTTTAAGAAAATAATTTATAGGTATCAGGCATTATTATTAAGCAAATGGTAAAAAATAAATAAATAAATAAAACCACTTGCTGTCACCCTTCCTAATTTTAAAAAATTTATAACATAGCAGAACTTTTAAAACAAAAATAAAAACAGTGTAGTACATAGACAGCAGCGAGTTTGTTGCCCCACACTATCTGCTAGGTTTTGAGGATGGGACAGACTTTGAGAGTTTTAGCACTGTAACTGCTAATTTTTCTAAAATAGCAGTGTGAGAATAGTTATCTTGTCATATGTTAAAGGAACATTTTAAATTTTAGAAATAACTGAAACTTCTTCATGCATTGGTAATATTTATATCAAGAATGTATCTAGAAATACTAAAATTATTGGAAAGTAAAATTCAGCAAGACTTGGATTAAGCCCTATTTGCTTTGCTTTATCAAACAGTTTAGATTCAGGGTATTCAAAGGGGCAGGGAGGACATTGATGGGGACACAGTATTTATTCTTGTAGTCTCAGGTATTTGGGTATAAAACCTAGTGTCTTCAGCCAGGTGTGGTGGTTCACACCTGTAGTGCTAGCACTTTGGGAGGCTGAGGCTGTTGGATTACCTGAGGTCAGGAGTTCAAGACCAGCCTGACCAACAGGGTGAAACCCCGTCTCTACTAAAAATACAAAAATAAGCTGGGTGTGGTGGCAGGCACCTGTAGCCCCAGCTACTTTGGAGGCTGACAGGAGAATTGCTTGAACCTGGGAGGCAGAGGTTGCAGTGAGCTGAGAGTGTGCCACTGCACTTCAGCCTGGTCGACAGAGCAAGACTCCGTCTCAAAAAACAAAAAAAAGAAACAAATACAAAAAAAAAAAAACCTAGTGCCTAATATATGTATATATGGACAGCAAATCAGTTGTCTGGCTACATTCTGGACTGCAATTAATTGTTTATTTACTTTTCTTAAGGTAAGGGTTAACCGTGCTATATAGCTGTTGATTTTTTCCTTTCCTAATATTTTTCTCTCAACAAAAGATACTAAATGCTGTCATTCCCCCGTTCTCTATGGAACTTGTCATTGGAGAAAGGAGCAATCTTTATGAGAGTGCAAACATACTAAAAAGAAATTCATGCCTCGAATATAAATTGACTCAAAGCAAAATCCCTGGGAAACATGTTTCAAATTCTGGAATTTTTACAATGATTGTCTTGAAGTACTATTTATAGTTACAAAAGTAATAATTCCATCCAGCACAAAAATTTGCATTTGAGTTAGTAATCTGGTAAGCACTGTTAATACCAAATGTCAATATTCAGAATTTTTGGAATTAATTCAACAAACATTTATGCACTTACTGTGTGCCTGGTTGCTTGGTTAAGTAATTATTTCTTCCCACTAGTTTGAAAGCTCTATTGAGTTCAGTGGCCTCATCCAGCTTTCTTTCTGTCTCACTAGTATGGTGCCTGCACAATGGGCACACAGTAAATGTGTCGAATGAATATGTCATTCAATTAATCACCTAAGTTTTAGAGCTCGGCGAATGGATTTTAGATATAAAGGATGAGAATGGAAACAGAAACTGGTTGGGAGGCTCTGATGAGGAATAGAAACAGCAATTGAATATCTACTTACAGAGGAATGACCAAGTAGTGCTGAGGTGGCCTAAGTCCCCAGGTGCTCAGGGATCAAGTGATTTAACTATATAAGGTGAGCGTGGGAGACTGTAGGGGGAATGAAGGACAAAGCAATGTGGAAGCTCAGGTTACTGACAAGAAATAGATTGAAGTGTTGTGTCATGAATTTAGAGCCTGGAGGGAAAAGGTGACCTGAATGGATAGTTTGAAGAACTAGAAGTTTCAATGAAGGTAAAACTGAAATGTTATGAGGTTAAACGGGTACACAGCTTTTTTTTTTTTTTTTTTTTTTTTGGCCGTCACCCATGTGCAAGGCATTTGAATAAAGTGTTACTGAAGGAAGGGATGCTATCCAGATGACCAAGACATGGTTTCTTTCTTCAAGGTGGAGTTGACTCACCATGAAAGTGGTAAAGAGATCTCTGGAAGCACATAGTTGAGTGGGTTCTTTCTGTTTGGGAGGATCCTGCATGGAAGAGGTGATCTTTGAATAGGGCTCTTTGGAAGGAATTTAATACATGGAGATGGTGGCGGAGGCATTCCAGGCAGAGAGAGTAGCATTAGCAAGATGTAGAGTCAGAAAAATGCAGGCTCTCTAAGGAACAAGACACTGCCTTTGGTGTTAGCTGGAAAAGTGGGACAAGCTTTAATGCAGTACTTGAAATTTGATTCCCTGAGCAGTAGGGAGTCCTAAATAGAAGAGTGCCATTAGTTGACCATGCATTATGAAGCTTACTCTGGCCTCAGTAAAGGGGGATTAAGCAAAGGTTCTAAACTGTGGCTTCACATTCTCATCACCTGGAGAAATTTTTAAAACCCCAACTCCTGGGCTGCACCCTGTATCAATTAGAATATCTGGCACTGGAACCCACACCTCAGTATTATTTAAATCCCCAGGTGATTCCAATTTGCAGCCAGGATTGCAAACCAACGGTTTAGAGCAAGGGTTAGTAAACTCTAAAAAGGGGCCACATAGTAAATATTTTCAGCTTTATAGGCCATACATTTTCTATTGCAGCCATTCAACTTTGCCATCATAGCAGAAAAGCAACCGTGGACAATGTTAATAAAGGAATGAGCACGGCTGTGTTCCAATAAAACTTTATATATATAAATTTGAATTTTATATAATTTTTACATGCCACAAATATTCTTGTGCTTTTTATTTTTCTTTTTCCAGCCATTTTTAAATGTACAAACAAATCACAGACTACACAAAAGGCAGCCAGCAGTATTTGGCCCACAGGTCATATTTTGCCAACCATTGATTTCGAGGGTGAAGATTGGACACAGGTAGTCCAGGAAAGAAAACAATAATAATCCAGATAAGAGGTAAAGTTAACTATTGTGGTCAGTTAGAAGGGCAGAGTGAAGGTTAGTGATATTGAGTTGATATTTATAGCAACTCGTGTTCTTATGGGCTACTTTTGAGCACCCAGAAGTTGTCATACAAAGGACGTTTGAATGAACCATTGTGCGGTATGTGGTGTACTTAGTGCCCTTTGACTTTGTCTTTTTATTTTGCAGGGATTTGACCTATGTCGTAAGACTGTTTCTGGCCTAACTGCTAGTAAAGGCTAATCATTTTGGCAACACTTATTACTGCAAATTAGTTAAGTCTCTTGCCTTCCTTATGTGCTAGCCTTGCCTTTGTTACCAAATAATGACCTTTCCTTGCAAAGAAATGTTCTCTTTAGAAAATAAAGTGAGCTTGATAGGAGAAGGTATGGCAACCTACATTTTATCACACATCACTGAATTAACACAGAATTTTCTATTTGCATTTTCTTCAGCATTTGTTGCCTAAAGACCTGCCAGGATAAATGGTGCCTGCTCCTCTACCACCCCCACTCTCTGTCCCCTGTGAAAATGAGAGGCTGATGGTTGCAACTTCCTTCCTCTAAGGTTATTTTAGAAACCGTAAGGCTGAAAAAAAAAAAGTATTTCCCACTGATATCTACTGTGATTTAAAATCAGCTGTACATTTCCACATTTGCTTGGTTATTTTATTTGAATATCATTACAGTTGGGTGAACAAATTCACTTACCTATTTTCTAACTTCCACTCTTAGAGAAGTCTGCTGTTTTGGTGTCCTCTAAGAAATGCTTACTCTTTGCCTCCAGCACTTGGGTATGTGAGAAACTGAAGACCCTGATAACTTTCCTTGAATCTGCTGTAAATGGATGGAGAGAAAGAAGTTCAAGACAACAGTCAAAAGCATTTATGGTCATCTTAGTTATTTTGCAGACCTAACTAGAGAGTAGGGGGTGAAAAAATATATGGAATAGAGCCACAGCCTTCTTTTTCTTTGTTTTCCCTGCCACCCTCACAATAATTTCTCACAAAAGAATAAGGAAGTATTATATGTGCCTTATGAAGGAAAAGCATTTGAGATTTTGAAGAGTTTGCCTGTTTCCCTGTATATTTTGGGGTATTTTTTTTATCACTAACTGTATTTCACATCATTGATGTTATAATTGATTTCTAAAACTTGAGGTTCATGGTTTAAATTCCAGGGACTTTTTTTCCCTTCTTCTCATTGATCTTAAATGAGTATTATCATCTTAGGGACACTATCAAAATATGTATAATATAAAGTGAGATTGTGATTGAGCGCTGATATTGTCAAGTGCTTTTAATTAAGCTTCTGATGCTTTACACATTGATAACACAGTAAAGAGTCCAGTGTATTAAGTTAGCTTTCCATTTATTTTTCAGAAGCACTTACCAGGTAGGGGACTAAATATACAGCAGCAGGTTGTACTGCAGCCACAGCCTTACTGTGCCCCAGAGGAATTCTTGCATAGAGAGTCCATTCTTTTATGGAAAGGAAGAGGTCAAGAAATAAGGCAAAGCTGCAGGCATAATACAGAGATTAAAATGACTGATAGAATTGAGAACACAGAATGGCAGTAGCTGAAAGACAGTAGGGAACCGATCCAGAATCATAGAGGCTAACAGTTGGAAGAGACCTTTGGGATCGTCTTGACTAGTGTTTCTCATCTTTGGCCACACGTTGGAAATACCCGAGAGCTTTTAAATAATACACTTTTGTCCAGGCCCCAGAAGACCAATTAAGTCAGAGTCACTGGGGATTAGGATTGAAGCTTTGGTATATTTTAAAGATTCGCTAATAGTTCTAACCTGCAACAAGGATTGAGAAGCAGTGGCCAAATCTAGCGTCTTCATTTTATATAGGAGGTACAAAGCAGATACATGGCCCAAGACCAAACAGCTATTGTTTGCTAGGATTTTAACCTCAATCTTCTTATCTTCTTGCCTCCCTCACTCTACATTCTCCCTGTGTGATCCCATCCCTGTCCTGCTTTAAATTACACCAATATGCTCATGAGTCCCAAGTCCTTTACATGTAACTTCCTTCTTAATTTCTCTCCAAATGTCTCACATCTTCCTCAAATTCCCTATATTCAGAACTGAATTATCCTTTTTTCCCCCAGTCTCCAAAACCAGTCTCAGTCTCTAGACTGAGTGAAGGGTACTTCTGTCAGTGAAGGGTACTTCTCCTGTTTGGTTATCTGTGCCAGCAGCCTGGGAGTCCTCTTCAGCTCTTCCCTCTCTGTACTCCTATCTAATCAGTTACCAAGAGCTGTCTATCCTACCTCCCAGCTGTTAATCAGATCTGTCCCACCTTCTCCCCTTGCCCCTAGCTTAATTTAAGGTGTTATTTTTTTTCTGAGTGATTTTGCAACAGCTTCTCATACTGTCTTCAGCTTCTTGCCTTTGTCCCACTTGAGCTTTATCTTTAACACCATTAGGAAGCTCTTTCTGAAGCACAAATTTGATCATTCGTCACTGTATTTTTTCCATTATGTGTTCTAATCATTTAGCCTTTCTTCAGCCCAACTAGGACTCCCTTTTCTCTCTGTCTCCATGTACCTATATTCAGTCTACTTCCTTATAGTCTATAAAAGCATAATCTATCTGTGGAGTCAGTTCTTTTACCGTGCTTTTATCAAACACTGAACTCTCCCATCAGAAATAACATTTTCCTTCTTCAACCAAATGCTGTCACATTGCTGACTGAATTTAATGGGCCTAGCGTTGCCTACACCCTCATTTTGGAACCCACCCCCGCAGGAAGTTCCCAAGGTAAACATCAGACCTGCCTTAGCGTCGTCCACATCCTTGGTAGTTAACACCTTCACTTACTCAGTGTTTACTGGCTTCTTCATTTCCTATCCCTGACTTCAGTGTCCCTTATTGCATCTTAGTAAGCCCTTGTTCTCTGCGTGACTCTCCCAGTTCCTAACTAGTTCTTCACCAACGACCCCTTGACTCTCAGTCATTTGTTGTTTTCATCTTGCACCTCTTGGCTCTTTCGGCCCTTTTGCCTTAGGATGTAGTTTTCTAACTTCTACTGAGTGTCTGTTTCTGTCGTGTAAACCAGTCCTGGAGCCCTAGCGTGTATTACCTGGAATTGCACTCCAGTCTCTTTTGGAATTTTTTTTGGGCATAACTCTTGGTCGCCATTAGACCACCATTGCATTTTTGCCTCAGGCACTCCTGCGTGACTCTATTCTGAACCTGATTGTCCAGTTCGTGAGTTGCCTTGGCTCCTTATCTTTTCCTCCTACCTTTCTGCTTCCTGCCAGTTGACAGGCTAACTACTTAGGCTCTCTACCAGAAAGGGAGCAGGAAAAATGCAGCATGCTGAAATGCAAACCCGCTCTTTTGGCTTCTTACCACGAAGTATGATGAAGGCTTGCAGAACATTTAAATTGTATTGTAGTATACCTTAAACATATCAAACCCTTTGAAAACTTGTAGGCTTTATCATTTTTAAGAATCCGTATGTAGAAATGAAGTCCATAGTCTTATTATAGCTTTTCCTTATAATAACACCATTTTATTTGGGAAAACTTTAATCAACAACTTAGAGAATGGGTACAGAAAGGATTGAATTGGCTTGGGGAACCAAAAGAAATTAAGTTCGTGGATGCTGCTAAAATTTGATTGGTTGTATAACCTCACATTCAGAATACAAGCTGTTATTACATGCGGGGCCTCTTTCAGAACTGAGCTCTGTTGCATATCTTTGACAAAAATTGGAATGATTACATTGTCTGGAAACCTGAACTGTTAAAAATACTCTCTTGGGGTCTTTAGTTTTGTTTGGTTTTGTCTGAAAAGGAGTTTAAACTTGAGTATAAGAAAAAAAAAAAAGGTCATCAGTGTTTTCTGTCCTTGGAGAGTGGAATATAAAAGCAATTTATGAAGTGCCTGTAAGATGAAGATTACAGAGGTTCAGATTCTCGGGAATCTAGAAGTTTTACCAAACATGCATACTGCCTCATTTTTTAAACCCACGGCAGCCCGCAAAAAATGCAGGACGCAGCATGTAATTACTTTTAAATATCCTCTCATCTCTGTGGCCTGTACTTTGGGATTAATGATGAAGGTAACTTGAAGGTACCTTGTACAATTTGGGGAAAAATATTTGCCATACTCACTGTACTCTGGCCACCCTTGTTACAAGTCCATCACACAACTTGTTTAACATGTTTACTTTTTAAATGCTTGGAGAGCTAACAGGTGGTTGCATGACTGAGATGTTTGTTTTAACAGGCTAAAAACTGGGAGGTAATTTAGACATACACTATGATGCAATAGGAAAATACCTAATTATTCCATTTTTGGCTCAGCTTTTCGTTTCAGTTAAAACTGTTGATAGCAAGGCTCGACAGGTTTTGTAGAGTAGTTCTCTTAACATTGCCTACATAGGAGAAACTGGCTCACTAGTAATAATGGCCGTGTTTTAGTTACTTGTATAAGAAACTTACTTGGCTTTAGTGCTAGAACTTAGTAAAGGATTTCTTCTCAGAGCTTCTGTCATCAGCAGTTACAGTGTGAATACAGACGGCTCTGAAAGCCCCATATCTATTTCAGCATGCTCTAGAAAGCCACTTGGAATATTTTTTGCCTGTACATAGAAGCACTGAGGAAATATCCTGAAAACAAGACAGCTAATTGTTATTATGCTTGGTACGTTCATCCCAATGTTTCAGTATATAGGTTATGATTGGCTCTTGGAACTGTCCATTGAGCAAATAGAAGGAGCCAGGAATTTTGCAGGATAGTTAGTTGTTCATGTGGTTTGGAGTTAAGGGACTACTGCCGGAAGTAGACATAGTCAGGGATAGAGTTTCTAGATCGGGGTGGTTACCTTTCTCTATAAAGGGCCAGATAGTAAATACTTTAGGATTTGTGGCTGTATTTCAGTAAAACTTTATTTAAAAAAAAAAAACAACAGGCAGTGGGTCAGATTGGCTATGGGGCCATAGTTTGCCAACCCCTGTTCTGGATTCCAGAAGATACTCCACTGGATTGTGTGACTGATCTCAGAGGGAAGAATAGCAGTGGTTTTCAGTTAACTGGGCAGATACCTATAACCTTCAATATGCCAAGACTTCACAGTATTTGTATATAATAAATTTGTTGTCAGAAAAGGCATTGTTTCTTTACTGGTTCTTTGGGGCTAATATGAATAGTGTTACTTAGTTATACTCCATTTCTTTCCCAAAATCGAGATAATTAGGATAAAAAGCACATATAAGTGTTAGCTATCAAAGTAAAATCAAAACCTACATTAAGTCACACAAAACAACTTCTGAATATTCCTTTTCCACCTGCCAATGCAAGCTGGTCGCTCAGCCATTTCTGATAAGCCTCAGTTCTTGGGGCATCTCCTAAGTTTAATACTGATATGCTACCTATTTTATTTTATCTAGCATAATTTCCTTTCTAAAAATATTTTCCCCAGTGTTTTATATCAAGACTCCTAACAAAGGAAGTGTTAGCATCCGTCATTTTTCTTCTGATTGAAGTATAAGCCAAGAACTGTTTCACCGAATAAGTGGGTATATGGGAAGAAAAGAAAAAATTATAAGCTAATGAAATTTTGATGGGCAAATGACCTGTTCAAAGCAGATTCCAAGGCTCACAGAGCTAACATTTCATTAGCCACAGGAACTGTTTCCAATCATCTTACTGATACATCTTTGCTCTCCAGGGGAAGGGAGTGTTAAATTACTTTAGAATTTGATGGTCAGAAGCACTGCTCAGAGGCGGAGAGAGGAGGCAGGAATTTTGGCTGATCTGTAGGAGAGGACTTTTCAGTGGGTGTCAGAAGGTAGCAACAAGGCCAAGTGATTTGAACCACTGCCACTGGAATTGTGACTTCAAAGACAGCTCTGAAATAGGGAAACTGATCTACAAGGAAACGATGAGTGTGTACAAATGATTTTATTTACAAGGTCCTTATTAATATCAGGTCCAACTGCTTAACTAAGGAGATGCAGAAGATTATGTAGAGCTAGGCGGGGGTATGCGGCATTGGGGAGGTATGATAGCTGTGTCCTTGAGGACACTGGAGGAGGTAGAAGATACTTCCCTAGAACACGGGATACCAGTCAAGGATTCATCACAAGTGAAGACAGAAGCAGTCTCCTGGCAGTTGGAATAACATCAGAATAGAAACAGAAGCAAGACAGGGGCAGTGTTAGGGACAAACAGACCACCTGTGTCACAGAATTTTAAGATGTGGTCGTGGGCTAACCTATGATGGACAAGAAATAAATTATATTATTGCCAACTGGGAAAATGTTCAATATCTGTTCTAAAAACATTGATTACCTCTGTAAATTTAGAAACATTCTAACCTTTAAATAGAAGAGAGAAATTCTTAAGAATTACCAACTTAAGCTGAGATCCCTTCTCTCATTCACTCTTGCTGAGGGGACAAATTGATGCAATATTTGTGAGGAGGAGGCAGTTTGACTTTACCTGTTAAGGTAATAAATGTGTGTACTGTCTGATCCTGAAACTGGACTTCCATAATTTATTATTTTTAAATACAGTCAGGCTGGCAAAGATGTTTGTGCAAAGAATATGATTATATTAAAAAATTGAAATGAATTACAGAAAAGTTTGCATTTGTAAAGTTTTCAGATGTCAAAAACTTTGAAAAACTCCCTTTAGGGAATTGCTGATCTGTATGTACAACCAAGGAAGTTTTGCGAGGACAAACTGTGTAGTGGAAAAAGTAAATTTCCGAACAATATATAGTCTTCCTTCCATAACTGCAAGTTCTACATCTGCAGATTCAACAAACAGGGCATCAAAAATATTTAGAAAAATAAAAAATAACAGCCAGGCTTGGTGTCTCACGCCTGTAATCCCAGCTAGGAGGCTGAGGCAAAAGGATCACTTGGGCCCAGGAGCCCAAGGCTGCAGTGAGCGATGATTGTGCCACTGTACTGCAGCCTGGGCCACAGGGTGAGATCCTGTCCCTAAGTAATAATAACAAGAGTACAATTTAAAATAATACACATAAAAATACAGTGTAACAACTATTTACATAGTATTTATATTGTATTAGATATTCTAAGCAATCTGGAGATGACTTAAAGCATACGGGAGGATGTGTATAGGTTATATGCGAATTCTGCACTATTTGACATAAGGAACTTGAGCATCAGCGGATTTTGGTATCTACGGGGAGTACTAAGGGACAGCTGTACATAGAATGACCTCTTTTCTTTGAAAGTAGTAATCAATGTTTGTGTTTGTGTGTGTGCGTAGAAGATTTGGACCCATACACAAATTGCTTATGGTGGTTATGGGGCAGGGATCACAGTGGATGAGGAGAAAGCCACTTTTTTTTTTTTTTTTTTTGAGATGGAGTCTCGCTTTTTCGCCCAGGCTGGAGCTGCAGTGCAGTGGCACTATCTCGGCTCACTGCAAGCTCCGCCTCCCGGGTTCACGCCATTCTCCTGCCTCAGCCTCCCAAGTAGCTGGGACTACAGGCACCCGCCACCGTGCCCGGCTAATTTTTTGTGTTTTTAGTAGAGACGGGGTTTTACCGTGTTAGCCAGGATGGTCTCGATCTCCTGACCTTGTGATCCGCCCACTTCGGCCTCCCAGAGTGCTGGGATTACAGGCGTGAGCCACCGTGCCCGGCCAAAAAAGCCACTTTTATATTAACTAGTTGGCTGTAATAAGAGAACCTCATACTTCTTGGTTGTCACAGATACACTAAGGAGCAGGGGATGGAGAGGGGACTCATGTAATGCCTGGGTTCAGCTCAAGAACACGTCATTAGAAATGAAAAGAGCGTTCTCTTTCTTTTTTCTTTCTTTCTTTTGTTTTGTTTTGTTTATTGAAATGGAGTCTCCCTCTGTTGCCCAGGCTGGAGTGCAGTGGTACAATCTTGGCTCACTGCAACCTCTGCCTCCCAGGTTCAAGTAATTCTCCTGCCTCAGCTTCCTGAGTAGCTCAGATTACAGGTGTCCACCACCACACCCAGCTAATTTTTTTTTGTATTTTTAGTAGAGACTGGGTTTCTCCATTTTGGCCAAGCTGGTCTCGAACTCCTGGCCTCAAGTGATATACCTGCCTCGGCCTCCCAAAATGCTGGGATTACAAGCATGAGCCACCATGCTCGGCCAAAAGAGCCTTCTCTTCATAACTAATCTATGAGGCTTATGTGTCATCATTACAGATATTAAGAGTTATATGCCTGTATAACTCATACATTCATTTATTCATTAACTTAGCCAGTATTTATTGAGTGCCTGCTGTGTGTAAAACACCATGCAGGGTACCTAGGCTATATAGCAGTGACACAGTAAAGGTATCCTCATAGCTGCAAGCTCCAGCAGACAGACCCAAGCTGTAACCAGGAAGCCTGAAGGAGGTGTATCGTTTAAATGAATGCATGTCTGTGCCCAATTCTGAGTAACAGCAGTTGGTATTACAATGAAATCGGAAGTGCCCTGTGTATTAAATTTTCTTTCGTTTTCAGTGTTTTCTTCATTTTAGTCTGTTATGTATTTTCAAATACAGTTTTTGATGATGATTAGTGTTTTAGTTATGAAATCTTCTAGGAAGAGGTCACCTGGTTGCTCTGTGATAATGACCCACATAACCATAAAGTGACTTTGGTTTTTAGTTGCACCCCTGTGTCTTCTCAGCCTCCACAAAGGAAGAATCTCTTAAAAAAAAAAAAAAAAAACTTTATGTATGTAGAGATATATACACACATGTATATTTTTTATCTGCTGTCAACTCAATTGTTTGTATGTTGGTTTTTTGTTTTTTTTGTTTTTTTTCACAGAAAAAGCAAAGGACAAAAGATCTTTCTCGGGTGTTTCATTCTTACAGTCCATATGATCACAAGGTAAGAGAAGCATGTTAATAGCATATTAAGTATTAAAGTCTTTCCGAATGTATAGTACAATTTTCACCAACATATGGTGATTCTGAAATACACTTACCAATTACATTTATATTTCAATTTAAATTTTTTAGCTCTTTATCCCTTTTAAAGAAAACAGAAATGTTATATTTCTGAACTATAATAATTATATTTTATTCACATTGAAATCTAGTTACATATTGGCACTGAAATCTCAAAGACAGTGAAAAGACACATTTTGGGGTGTATTTTGGTTGGTTGGTTTTTGTTTTTTCTTTCCAAACACTGTACTGGAGGAACTTGGGTTTTGGATTGGTAAAGATAATTGAAATGCTGACTGCAAAACTTGATTCTTCATTCCTCCTGATAGAAAGTTATTTTTCTAAATGAAAATCCTAATAAAAATTAGTACATAGCATCATGTCTGAAATATCTACTGCCTGGAGCTTTGCTACACAGAAAATGACCAAATAACGTGACGACCCACATGTACCCATCCCACAGCTTCATAGATTCATAGTCCGTCTGTGTCATTTATACCCTACCTTCTCCATCCCTCATGTTTGAAAAATTCCTAGACATCTTTTCACTTGTAAGTATTTTACAATATATTTGTAAAAGATAAGCACTCTTTTAAAAAGAAAAAATATGTAGCCATTTTTAAGAAAATGCTTAACTCCACATCTTCATGGGGAAATAGATTACAAGGTTTCAGAGACTTGTGCAAAACTTCTAAACCATGTAGGATTCCAGTAAATCTGTTAATTCGAGGTGATTTCAGAAGCAAACAAAAAATTTGCACAGTTGAAATGCTAATATAAACTTAAATCTTTATCTATGAATTTATAGGGAGACATGTGGTAGGGATTTTTTAACTAGCCAAAGTAAGTAGTGTGAAAACTACTTTCCTCAGTTGAAAATACAGAGATGTCTGGATTCAGGAGGGAAAAATTGTGCCAGTTCATAGAAGTTGAAAGAATTTGAAACACTAGCTTCTAGTGTTTCTATAGTGACCAATTGACTTAAGCACCAAAAACTCGTAAAAGAGATGTTTATGCTTCATGTGACCATGGTGATATGTAATACTAAAACTTATATCATTCCAAGTTACATTTTTCAAGCTAAATCAGTCACATTGCAGAATGCAGCAATTTGTTTGAAAGAGATTGAGAGAGCCAATAGGGTCTGACAATGCAGACAGAAGGAGCAGGCTGATAAGTAATACAACAGCAAAAGGAATGAGATTGGCCAGATTTCTGAAGGTAGTGTTGCATTTTTTTTTAGATGAAGCCACTTAATGAACATAAGTGCAGCAGTGGCTAAAGTTAACATTTAACAACAACAACAAAAAAGGCGATGGCAAATCAGAGGTTTTGCCTGGCTTGTCTAAATTTCGCCCACTTGTAACATTTTTAAATTCGCAGTTAAGGGAAATTCCATTCTTCTTTTATTAGAACTCTTAATGGAACCTAGCCATTTGCAGCTTCTACCGGCTTCCTCCTCATATCCTTTGTGGCATTGTATCAAAGTCACCTCAGATTATTTTGGCTTCCCTTCATTCCTCTACAACTTAGTCATCAGGCAGTGAGGAATTGAATCTAAATGCTTGATGGAGTTCCTTTTGATCTTTAAGATTGGTAATAAATTATTGTAAATAGCTAGACTGCTTGATGAGTGCCTTTTGAAGCTCCTAAGTTTTGGTCTGTTGCCATTCTGTTTTATTCTGGATGTACAGTAGTGAAGGAAAATGGAAAAGTTTTATTCCAGGCAGCTCCCGGCCTCCTTAGTAGCCTTTACCTACTTTTCTAAGTTCCATCCAGGCAAATCTATCCATGTTACTTTTAATATTGTCTCTCACTGATTGGAATGTCCACAAAGACTAGAACCATAGGGATAAAGTAACATGCACTATTTTCCCAATCTGAGAATGTTGCTATTTTTCCCCGCATGAATTAATAGAGGGTTGTGTTTAAAGTTATTTTGTCATTTGAATTACCCACTTATATTCAAGCAAATTGGTTTTCTAGGCAGATAGGTTTTAGTGTAAAGTGTTTTACAAGGTGTGGTTAAAGTTGGTTTAGACATCTCATGCTCAGTGAGATTTCTGGCGTGATCCTTATGAAAATATATACATATATTGTCAGTGAAAGCTTTTATGAAATACAACATCAGTTGTTTGGGGTTTGCTTTAATGCAGGCTGGTGTATTGGCTTATGCCGGTAATCCCAGCACTCTGGGAGTCTGAAGCTGGAGGATCACTTGAGCGCAGGAGTTTGAGACCAGCCTGAGCAACATTGTGAAACTCTGTCTCTATTTAAAAAAAATAAAAATTAAAAATTAGCCAGGCATGGTATTGCACACCTGTAGTCCTAGCTACCGGGGACAGGTTTAGGCAGGAGGATCACTTGAGCCCCGGATTTCAAGTTACTGTGAGCTATGACTGCACCATTTTACTTCAGCCTGGGCAACAGAGCAAGACCCCGTCTCTAAAAGAACATTTTTTTTTAAAATAATTTCAAAGAGCAGAGTGGATAGGGTACAATAAAATAAGATTGCCCATGTGTTGGTGATTATCAAAACTAAATGATGTTTGGGGGGTGTTCATTATTTTATTCTGCATTTTTCTATATGATTGAAATGTTTCATAATAGAAAGATACAAAAAGTAAAATAAACTATGGTCTGCTCCTGGGAGTGAATGTTGTGACGGTTTGCCTCTCTAGCTATATTCATTTTAATGTTCATTTTCCCCTTGACGTAAGTTTATGCCAAAAAAAGAATAGTCAGCATTTTAGTGGATTCATCATGCTGAGTAAACTCAGAAATGCAACTCCTATTCTAAACTTGGCAAAATTTCCTTCGGGTTTCATCCCAAATTATAGTGGGTCACTTAAATGACAGCTTTGCCTACTAGAAACTGTTAAAACAGTTGTAATTACAAAGGGTAGTTAGTGCAACCATTTTGTTCTCAGTGAGTCAGTTGTATTTGCTCTTCTTTCCTTCCCCCAACCAAGATTGCTCCTGCCTGACCCCAGACACAGGAAAGTCACCAGGTTAAACAAACGTGTTGTTTGAGTGAGCCCAGGTGCATTTCTTAATCATACCCCAAAGCCATTGTTTAGGTTGTAAATGGTCAGTTGGTTTTCTCTTAAATGCTGTTGCAAAAAGCAAATAAAGCTAGGAGCAAAATGTGTACCCAGAATAAGGCTTAGAAAATACTTTATTTCTTGCACTAAGAAATGTTGCTTGAGACTAGAAGAATTTCATTTTTGTTTGTTGCCTCTGGTTGCATGTCCATTTCTTAAATTGTTTTCAGGAATTCTTATAATAAATAAAGACTCATACAAAAGGGCTTGACAAAAGTTAACTCCCATTTATCTGTCCTTCTAAAAGAGAACATTAGTAAAGGTAATCCAAAGTAGCAGATAATCTGGTTATATTTTATGCATTATGTTGTTTCCTTTGTCATTTTAATAAACAGGTAATGAACATAACTTGTATTATAGTTTCTGAAACACCATACTAAGTACCAAGGAGGGTTACAGGGCCAGAGAGCTTCCAGGTCACAAAAAGTCCAACCTGGAGTTGATTTTTTTTTTTCTTTTGATAAATCACGGGTAAGTTAGAGTAGGCTATAATTAGAACACTTTTATTAAAACCATGCAAATTAGCATGTGCTGTTTGTCCTTGGCCTGAAGAAGACATTTCTCTGCACATAAAAATGTTTTCCTGTTTCTTTCTCTGTTTTTTGTTAGATTTTATCAGAATTATGTGTTTAGGGGGAAATCTAGGTTTATTAGCCAAACACACATGTTTATAATCTGCTATTGTGAAAAGTTATTCTAAAAAATTGAAATGCTTGGAAGGAAAAAGTTCTATTTACATCTACAGTGGTTTTTAACATCTGCAAACACAGTTAATCTGCATGAATTAGTGCACACTCCACCACTAAAAGTGAGTCTTTAACAGGTAGTCACTATTTTTCTGTATTTTGTGAAGTGGGCTTCTTGCTTTCTTTTAGTGGCTTGTTATATTAGTAATTTTTCTGCATATACATGTCAGTGGACACACTTGAGAAGAAACATTGTCATCTAGCTCCTGTGTTGGTGAACTGGGCTTTTCTTTTTCTTTTGATAACTATCATTATTTAATTACTTTTCTACATATATATGCATGTATCAACTGAACTAGAAGCAAATTCATATATGTCATTAAACATGTATGTATTTATGCACTTGATAAGTTAGCCTATGAGTAGAAAGAAAACTAACATTAGTGCTTTACTCAACCAGAGCATCTTTTGTGCAGCAATCCCACCTTTTTAAAACAGCTCAGAACCTCTAAAAAAGCCTATTTGGGCCCAGATTGTTAAAATTATTGTGTAATTCTCCTCACCCACCTCATTACTTCTTCGGTCCCTCATCCACAAACAGTTCAATCTTTTTTTAAAACAAATCAGTTCAAACTGATGCCTGGTTTCCCAAAACACAGTCAACACTAATAGCAGGTAAAAGAGGGTAGTTATTGCTTCAAAAAGTCAGAGCTCTAGTAAGAAGTGACAGCATCCTAAATGAAAGCAAGGACGGGCCATAAAAACTATAAGTCATTAACAGAGGAACTCCGAAAGTGCAGCTGCCCAAGACCACTTAATTTGGACCCAAATACCCAGATATCCCTATATATTTCAGTAGCCTTAGGGTAAAATAATTGGGATCAGTTTACATTCGGAAACAGATATTTTGTTTTAAAATAGAATTTTTAGAAACTTTGGTATTTTAGAAATAACTTTTACTTACCTTGAAAAGTCTCAGGAACTGCTGCTTCTTAATAAGGTAGGGTAAATGAAGTATTACTACAGAGAGTGGTTGAATAAAAGAAATAATAGGCTAAACATGGTGGCTCATGCCTATAATCTCAGCACTTTGGGAGGCCGAGGCAGTAGGACCACTTGAGGCCAGGAGTTTGAGACCAGCCTGGGCACATAGCAAGAACCCATCTCTACAAAAAAACGGGGTTTTTTTGTTTTTGTTTTTGTTTTTGAGATGGAGTTTCACTCTTGTCATCCAGGCTGCAGAGCAGTGGCTTGATCTCAGCTCACCGCAACCTCTGCCTTCCGGGTTCAAGCAATTCTCCTGCCTCAGCCTACCCGGCTAACTTTTTGTATTTTTAGTAGAGATGGGGTTTCACCATGTTGGCCAGGCCGGTCTCGAACTCCTGACCTCAGGTGATCCACCCGCCTCAGCCTCCCAAAGTGCTGGAATTACAGGCATGAGCCACCGTGCCTGGCCAAAAAATGTTTTAAAAAGAAAATTAGCCAGGTGTGGTGCTGTGTGCCTGTAGTCCCAGGTACTTGAGAGGCTGATGCAGGAGGATCTCTTGAGCCCAGGCAGTCCAGGCTGCAGTGAGCCATAATTGCACCACTGCTCTCCAGCCTGGGCAACAGAGCAAGAGCCCATATATAAAAGAAAAAGAAAAAAAAAAGCTCCGGCCGGGCGCAGTGGCTCACGCCTGTAATCCCAGCACTTTGAGAGGCCGAGGCGGGCAGATCACGAGGTCCAGAGAGCGAGACCATCCTGGCTAACGCAGTGAAACCCCGTCTCTACTAAAAACAGAAAAAATTAGCCGGGCGTGGTGGCCGGCGCCTGTAGTCCCCGCTACTCGGGAGGCTGAGGCAGGAGAATGGCGTGAACCTGGGAGGCGGAGCTTGCAGTGAGCCGAGATCTCGCCACTGCACTCTGGCCTGGGCAACAGAGCAAGACTCTGTCTCAAAAAAAAAAAAAAAAAAAAGCAGCAAAAGAGTGGTTGAATAAGTGTTGATAGTTGGGTAAGGGACCAAAAAAAATGTGTTTGAGATAAAAGATGAGGAAAGTAGAATCATTATCACCCCAAATTATTTACTTAATTAGATGCTATAAAATATTAGTCTTTGAGATTTTTATTATATTTTTGTCTTAAAGAAAGACTCCTCTAAGCTGGATGTGGTGGCTCATCCCTGTAATCCCAGTAATTTGGGAGACTGTGGTGGGAGAATCATTTGAGCCTAGGAGTTTGAGACCAGCCTGGACAACGTAAGGAGACTCCTGTCTCTACAAAAGATTTAAAAATTAGCCAGGTGTGGTGGCATGTGCCTGTGTTTCCAGCTACTCGGGAGGCTGAAACAAGAGGATCAGATGGCTTAAGTCCAGGAGTTCGAGGCTGCAGTGAGTTGTGATCGCACCACTGCACTCTAGCCTCAATGACAGAGCAAGACATTGTCTCAAAAAAAGAAAAAAGAAAAGAAAAGATAAAAGACGGCACTAGGCATAACTTGAGTGGGATAATTTTAAGTAGTGTATCAGGACAATGAATTTTTAATTGTAGTATTAAATATACAAAAAATATTGATATATATTTCAATAATCACACTTCCTATGACTACCTTAAGAACTGTTGTTAATTCATATCTGCTAGTGTACAGGGAATTCATATCTACTAGTGTACAGTAAAATATTATATAATAAAAATGTAAAATATTTTCTACAGCTTTGGGCAGAGGCATACAGCAAAAATCTATATCAAAAGCCTTGGGTTATACCACCATTCCTTCTTTCCTCAAAGACTAGGCATCTCTGTGACATCAAGTTTCTTAAATATGGAAAAGGGACAGTTTCATTTCAGATGTCACTTACTGATTTACATTTCTCTTTTAATCAGATTTGTCTAGTGATTTAAGATTACAAAAGTCACTTCACCCAGCTCTTTATGTTTGAAGAATAATGGCCATTTGACTCAATCCTGAGAGCCACGGTATTGTCAAGCCTTCATTATCTCCTGTGCTTTGAATAACATAATGTAGCAACAGAGTGCTTTGAGTTGTTTTTCTAGAGAGAGAGAGATGTGGGTTTGGATTCTTGCCTGCTGGCCCTGTTGAGCTTTGAGCTATCTGCTGTCTGGAAATAGCAAATTCAGTTTTTAATGGATCCGGCACTCTATGATAGCCAGGTTTTCATGGCACATGCAGATAAAGAAACAAGTTATTGATTTGGCATGTTTATGCCATGCTTAAAACAGTTCTCTGCAGCAGATTGTCCAAAGCCATTTGTGCACTTAACTCTATTTCTCATCTTTGGCAAAAATAAAAAAGTGTTTAAAAAGTAATTTTAGGGATGTTGTTAAATATCAGGAACAATTGAATAAATGTCTAGTTGATGAGATTCCCTATTGTTTTATTGATACATGTCCTTATACGAAAACCATGCTCAGGGTATGCCCTTGAAACACAGGGAAGTCAGTACCTCAATAAGTGTTAAATCCATTTCCTCATCCTCATTCTAAAGCCAAAGGAATGACCCAGCCTTGAAATAAGGACATACTGAAGAGCTCTTTCGGTGCAAAATCTGTGCTTTTGTTTATTAAAGTATCTTCCCTCTCAAAGTGACCATAGAGTTGTTACCAAAGATGCAGACATAGCTGAGCTGTTTCCTGCTTCAGCAGAGGGTAACCCTAGCCATTCCTTGCATCCTCATCAATGCCAACCTAATCCAAAGGCATTTTTCTCATTTTTAACCCTCGTCAGCTTGTGATTTGAGTAGCAGATTATGTTTAACAATTATACCTATACATTTTGGCCTAATTTTGATATCATACCTGTATATTTTTTCCTTTGCCTTTTTAAGATGGCATTATTCTAAAAATTAAGCATGATTTTTTACATATCAGTTTAACTTATTTTCTTACTGTAACTGCAGAGATGGGTAGAATCGAGGTATTTACAAATGGCAGAAATTCGGTGCGCTTAAGATGATATATCCAGAGACCCATAGATGCCAGAATTTTTCTCAGCCAGTTACCCTGAGGATTGACAAAGAGATTGAAATCTGAGTAGACTTTTATTATGATGATTAATATTGTAATAAAGCAACCATTTAAAGCATACCATGTAACCAGCACTATTCTCAAAGCTTTACATATGCACATAACTCATTTATCTTTATACCAACATTCTAAGGTGAGTATGCTAGTAAATTACAGAGCAGTATACGTGGAGATGGGAAAATGGCAGCAGGGCAGGAGAGAAGAGATAGGATGCCATCCTGTTCAGCTGATGGCATTTGTGACTGCCTTTTATGGACAGGTGGGGTCACAGTGCAGAGATTGGAAAGTTTCCTAGGTCATCATTTAAGAATACCCTACTTAGCAGCATATTCTCGCCCCTGCACCTCCCCATCCAAGAACTCCCAGGAATATCAGTAATAGGGAAAAGGCAAAGTTCATGATGAAATCCTTTGCTAACATTCAGTATAAAAGTATTAATAAATTAATCAACAGGTCTACATAGATATGGCAGTTACTGTATTTTCAAATTATTTACCACGCCTAAAAGTATCTGTGTTTCAACTGTCATTGGTTATATACTTCCTCTATGAAATTCACTAGTATGAGGAAGAAACTAGCAAAGGGACAAAGAGGAATGTCACTGTGCCAAGAGCCAGAGTACTTCCCCTCCATCCCGGGGCTGGTCACCTCCTGTTCTGTCACCAGTTGCCCTGGGTATGTCCCTGGTTATCAGTCTTTGCACCCAGTTAAGATGTATCCCCATTCTCTTTCTCTCTTGACGATGTCAGAGTCTTGATACATACCCTGCCCCAACAGCTCTGTTTTTTTTCCTGTATCTCCCCACCAGTGTGTGCTTACCAACCTTTCTTATCCCCATCCAGAGGACAAACTTGGCTAGCACACCATCTACTTGGTATATAAGTCCTGTTACATGCCAGAGTTAGCAAATAAAAATAAGGGACACCCCCTTAAATTCAAATTTCAGATAAATTGTTTTTTTTTTTTTTTAGAATGTGCCATGCAATATGTGGGACATATTTATACTAAAAATCCATTCATTGCAGAGCACAGTTGGTTCTCGCCTGTAATCCCAGCATTTTGAGAGGTCAGGGTGGGCGGATCTGTTGAACCCAGGAGTTTGAGACCACCTTGGGCAACATGGCAAAATCCTATCTCTACCAAAAAAAAACTACAAAAATCAGCTGGGTGTGGTGGTGGGCGCCTGTAGCTACTTGGGAGCCTAAGGTGGGAGGATTGCTTAACCCCAGGAGCTGGTGGTTGTAGTGAGCTGTGATTGCACCACTGCACTCCAGCCTGGGCAACAGAGAGAGACCCCTGTCTCAAAAAAATTTATTCATTATTTATCTGAAATTTGTATTTAGCTGTGTGCCCTGTTTTTAACTGGAAACCCTAGTTGCGTGAGCATTATACATTCCACTTGGGCAAATTGAGGCTCGAAAGACAAACAACAGCACCCACAATGGAATGAAATACAAAATGATTGTAAAACTTCCCCTTGGTTTACTACAAAGGACCTGAGGAAGCTTCTTCCTATTCCTAATCCTATCCTTGTATATAATGCACCTGGTCTCCCCATCAAAGGCTAACACGTGTGTCAGCTACAGTTTTTCAAACTTTTATTCGTTCATTTAAGAAGAAAAAGTTTTAATTTGCCTTTGGTTCTCTCAAATATGCTGACAAAGTTTTAACCTGGGGAACTTGTTTGGAAAATTGTTCAGCAGGCACAAAGAAAATTAAATTTAAAAGTGTCCATATTATATTTTCCAGGAAGAAGAATTTTCCAATCTCTCCCTACCCCCCAGAAGGTTCACTTTGTTTCTCCGTGATACATTTTATCATAAAATATAATTAATGACTTCTTTGTAGCTGAAGTTGTTTATATTGAGACATACTGAGAAACATTAATGCTGCTGATGCTTTAAACAAGGAATATAGGCATCCACTAGAGAAGTGAGGAGGCCGTTACTGCTTTTTCCTCCTTTTTCTGCGCTGCTCACATTTGAAGACTGTCAAGGGTCCTGTGATTGGTAGTTTGGGCTGATGCTGTTTGCAGACTGGGCTCCCCAGGTCTGCCTTTGTCTTCCTCAGCAATATTTTTAACAGCAGCTAAAAGGCCACTCTCAGATGATTACCAACCTCCAACACAGATTCAGGGTTGCACAAAACCATTTCCAGATTTCTGTTTACAAAGAATAGTGAGATGAAAGTATTTCCATGGGCCAATAATTTATTTTCTCTGGGGTTTTCGTGTAAGATTTAGAAGACATGATTACAGTTAGCATTTATTGCACTTTTAAACGTATACGTTAACACTCTTGAAATTGAGAAACTAGAGAATTTTAGCATCTGGAAAGAAAGTAAGTCAACCAGCTTCTCCTAATGATTGTTAATATTTTCCATTATTCAACACTCTGCCTTTGGGTACCTTTGAGAATTCCAGAGGCATTTTAAATGCACATGTCTCAAATAAAAATAAAGGAATTTTAAAGACTCAACTTTGTTTGAATTTAGCTATCGTTATGTGGTAGACACATGGGTAAGAAAGGAGACTATTCCACTTTTAATTACGTTGAAGTATAACAATAATCCAGCTACAATGCTTAAAACAGAAATCTCGAATTCAGTTTAGGCTTTGCGGGTGGCAGTGGAGGGTGTCTTTTTAAAGCTGCTTTTTTTATCTTTATTATTTACTTTTTAATTCTTATGGACACTTTCATTTCTAACTTAAAAGTTTCACTGGATATAGCTGATGTTTTTAGGATTTGCCTCACTCCCTCTCCCCTTCGTCCCGACCATCTTCCCCTCCTCTGCTCCTTTCCTCCCCTCCCTTCCTCTTTCTTCCTGTTGAGAACTTCATTTCCCTGGTTTACTTTCTGTTAGAAAGTATGAATCAATGAAATTTGCTAATACTTGCCTTAGAGGGTTGTCATAAGGATTCAATGGAAAGCATCTAGAATAGCATCTAGCACACAGTAAGTGCTCAATAAATGACTATGATTCTTATAGTAAAATCATACTTTCTAGGATGTCAGCTCTGCCACTAGTACTCACCACATGGTATATGTTCAATAAATAACTGGTTATTTTAATGTGAAGTTACAATTTTTAGAATTTAAGTAGGGATTTTGTCTATTTTGTTCAATGTTTCCTCAACACCCAAAGCAGTTCTTGACATGTGGGAGGTGCTCTGTAAATATCTGTTGATTGGAGAAATTAATAGGTTTTCGCTTCTAAAACCTCAGCAGGGTGTGTGTAGAAATCTTAATTCTTCCTAACAGTTGCAGTGGTCATGGGTTTTGTTGCTTTCAGTTTCTCCTTCCATGTTTGTTGATGATCTTCTTATACCATTCTTTATACTTATATTTTCTTAGTATCCCACCTACTTTTGCATTTCCCCACACAATTTCTTAGGGGTTCTTGCTTTTTTTCCTCTGTTGTGAGCTTGGGCTCTTCAACATGGTGCATTTGGGTACCTGTTTCCCTTCTATTGGAGACAGTAAGGTGAAAACTCAGTACTAGGTTCAATCCAAGGTTCATCCATTCTCCCTTGTAAGAGTCTTACACTATAGAGCTGGAAAGGCCCTTAGAGCTCATGGAGTCCCACCGCCCTCCTCCATCCCTCCTCTGTTGTTCAGGGAAGAGAGGCTTTTTTGTCCTGTTGATTTAATACTCATCCTTCAAGACCCAGTTTAATTTCACCTTCTTTGCCTCTTTTCTGATAGACACAGAGGATTGCTCTCACCTCTTGCTACCACTCTGACTTGTATATACCTTTATTATTTGACATTGTGTGCTCATATAATTCACTTCCATTTAACAAACATTTGAGGTTTTTCCTAGGAGGCAGGCAGAATAACTAGAGTAAGATGCTTACAATCCATTGGGGCAGGGGCCCCGTCTCCCCGAAGACCTTGAATTATGGACTAGAATTGAATGTGTTATATATATGAAGTGTATTTTACCATTCTTTGAATCTGGATACTATAACTGTACAAGGCACTTACCCATCATCCCACAGCAAATTCAGGGCTAAAATCCAGTCTTTTAATTCCCAGTTTTGTGCTCTGTCTTTGCAAAAATTAATACAGTTGGAATGTTCCAGTAGTAATAACCACAGCTGTGGGAGAATGTCCTAAGTAAGTTTATGCTTGGTTTTAATTATAAATTAAGTAATACATGCACTTAATACCCTATTCAAGGAAATTCTCCCTTTGTAACCTTATCCTAGAGACCCCTGTTTTCTTCTCCAGAGGCAACCACTGTTGCTGGTTTTGTATATATGCTTCTGGAGTTATTTTATGCATACACAAATACATACCTTCATGTAAATGTCAGTATGTGTTTTTATATAGATATGTGCTTTTTAAAAATTTAAATATTATCATACTAGAAAGTCTTCTGTTTCTTTTTTCACTTTACAGTATATCTTGGAGATAATTTCAAACAGTACCTAAAGAGCTGCCTCATTCTTTTTTAAAAAAATAGCTGTATATATTATATACCAGTTATTCACCATATTTATTTAACTAGACTCTTACTGGTGGATCTTTGAGTGGCATCTGATGTTTTTGGTCTTACAAACAGTGCTGTGCAGTGTATAATCTCACAAACATGTCATCTTATCAATGTATAACTGTCACCTGTAGGATAAATTCCTAGAAGTGAATATCTAGATATTAGATGTGTACATATTAAATCATGATAGATATTGGCCGAGACCCACTCAGCAAGATGTTCCAGTGTACATGCCCATCAACAATGTAAGACAGCGCTTGTTTCCCCACACCCCTGCTATACACCATGTCAACTAACTTTTAAAATCTTTCCCTATTAGGGAAACAAAGATAACTTCTTATAGTTTTAATTTATATTTCTCTTATGAATGGTGTCACTCAGTTATTAGAAATAGCCACAAAAACAGAGTGATTTGGTCTTTGATTTTAAACTTTTAAAATCCACGTTTTAGAATTTCTGACTCTTCCACTTGCAAGCTAGATGATGTCGGCAAGATACTTAAGTTTTCTTTGCCTTGGTTTTCTCCTCTGTAAAATGAGAATACTGCGTTCCATAGACTCTAAGCCATTATTAAGTCTTATTAATTGTAAGACTCACCATTAATTCACATAACGCTAAGGAAAAAATGCCCATTACAATGGTGTCTTAAATTGAGAAATGCTAAAATATAAAATAATGTGCATCTTAGAATCGATGAAATTTGCTAATACTTGCCTTAGAAGTTTGTCATAGGGATTAAATGGGAAGCATCTAGAATAGCATCTAGCACACAGTAAGTGCTCAATAAATGACTATTCTTGCAGTAAAGTTATAGTTTCTAGAATGTCAGCTGTACCACTAGTACTCACCACATGGTATATGTTCAATAAATATCTGGTTATTTTAATGTGAAATTGTAGTTATTAGAATGTAAGTAGGGATTTTGTCTATTTTGTTCAATGTTGTTTTTTTCCCCAACACCAAAGCAGTTCTTGACATGTGGGAGGTGCTCTGTAAATATCTGTTGATTGAAGGAATTAATATGTTTCCTCTTCTAAAACTTCAGCAAAGTGTGTATAGAGATCTTAATTCTTCCTAACAGCTGCAGTGGTCGTGGGTTTTGGGGTTACGTGGTCTTTACCTGTGCCGTCCTGTCCCCCATACACACAAAACCTCTAGACCTTATCACAAACCACCTGATTTCATTTTAAAAATAACTAAGCCCTATGGAGCTCAGTTTAAACATTTAAAAACCTTTATTAATAAAACCAAAAACTTTGAATTGAAAGAGTTCTTCAGAATATTGTTGATATTTTATCCAAACAAGAGTCAAAATGTTTTTACGTAATCTGTACAGGATCCTAATAAGAATTTGGCAAGATTTATGTAAGTCCTACATTTTAGAATTTGCATTTTAAAATATATTACACTGTCTGTACAAATCACGTGGTCTTGGACTATTGTTATTCAGTATGTATTTCCACTACAGAAAGTATAAAGAAATAAAGCCTTCTTTTTGAAGTACCACATTTTGTTTTGTTTTTTAATGGAACATGAGCTCATAGGAGTTTTTTCGTTTTTCTCAGCTATAAGAGTATGGGCTTTAAGAAAGTCTTTATTACTTCACAGAGTCTATATCCTTTATGCTTTTCTCTTTGAATTTCAGACTTTTCTCACATTAGACTACTTGGCTTTATAGACTTTGCTTTGGTTAGTTTGGTTACAGATATCTGAATATTTCCATATTGCATAGGCCTCTCTGTTTTCAACCTTTGAGAATGTAGGATGTAATACTGATTTGTTACTGTATTTTATTTATTTATTTATTTATTTATTTATTTAGAGACAAGATCGCACACTGTTGTCCAGGCTAGAGTACAGTGCCACAATGATATAGCTCACTGCAGCCTCGAACTCCTGGGTTCAAGCAATCCCCCCACATCAGCCTTCTGAGTAGCTAGGATACAGGCACACACTACCATCCCCAGTTAGGTTTTTTTTTTTTTTTTTTTTTGGTAGGGGGAGGGTCTCACTATGTTGCCCAGGCTGGTCTCAAACTACTGGCTTTTAGCGATCCTCCCACCTTGGCCCTTCAAAATAAAAAGGATTACAGGCATGAGCCACCTCTCCCAGCTGGATTTAATTGCTTTAAAAAGAGGAGATAGGAAATACATTATGTGTTTTTATGTACATTTGTATGTGTATATATATGTGTATGTATAGATGTACATGCTGTGTAAAATATGAACTCTGGCTGATATCAAGACTAGCTGAGATGACTTAATTCTCCACAGATAGCCCAGGTTTTCTGGCTAATATTATTTTCCCCACCTTATAAGTGTCTTTAAAACTCTGAACAGTGGCTGGGCACGGCATTGGGATACCTGTAATCCCAACACTTTGAGAGGCTGAGGCAGGTGGGTCACTTGAGGCCAGGAGTTGGAGACCCGCCTGGCCAACATGGTGAAACCCCATCTCTACAAAAAATAGAAAAATTAGCCAGGTGTGGTGGTGTGTGCCTGTAGTCCCAGCTACTCAGGAGGCTGAGGTGGAAGGATCACTTGAGCCTGGGGGAGCGGAGGTTACAGTAAGCCAAGAACGCAGCACTGCACTCCAGCCTGGGCAACAGAGCGAAACTCCATCTCAAAACAAAACAAAACAAAAAAACAGGAAAACTCTGAAGGTCTTTGAGTGTACTACAAATTAAGTGTGGATATTGGTGCCTTAAGTTTAGTTGATAGGGCTTGAGTCAGAGTCTTGTTAAAAACTCAACCTGTCTTTTACAGTACAACCTGGTCCTGCTCCGGGGCCCTGTGTTCAGGAACTGAAGCATTCTTGTTCTTGCATAAGCATCTCCACATGGGTGAAGTTCACTCCCACATGTTGTAAAAGTCCACTTTTATCACAGACCTATTTTTGATGTGTTTATATGACTTTACAGTCACTAACCCTTCACTTACTTGAAGAAGATAAGGTCCAAACCTGAAAGTTTGCTCTGAAAATTTGAGGCAAACCTATTATCTCCTTCTGAAATACTATCACAGTCTGCACTAGGGCTTAGAACAACAGATTTAAATTGCTACCCAGCTATCACCAAATTAGTGCCCCCCAAAGGTCAGCAGCTGCAAACACTTCCGTCTTAGGAATACCTTTCTAGGACTGATTAGTGATTCAGCTTTCTCTTTTTGTACTTGTTGCTTTAAACATTCACTAGTTCTCACTTCAGTTGTAACATGCACATGTTCTCATTTTAAACAAAGCCAAATGGTTTTTAAATCCATGGATGAAAAATCATTTTCAAATCGAGTATTCATGATAAATTTTGAATATGTAATAGATATGTACTTAAAACTTCACTCAAGGATTGCAAAATACTTATCTAAACATAGGTGTTTGTGTGTATTTTGTAATTTTCAGGACATAGTTTGATAATGGAATAGTGCTTGTTAGCATGTATCTCTATCAGGGTTTCTTCTGGCTTCTCTGGCTTCCTCCTTCACATTTCTCTTCATTTGTGTCTCTCTGATGTTGCTGCTGCCCATTCACAGTAGAGTCCTGTTCCTTGGTAGGCCATGGCTGCTCAGATGCATCCCAGACATACATGCAACAGACTCGGGGGCATTTCCTTTTGAATGGTACCCCAGCCCCACTATATCCAGGACTGAATTCATCACTGTATTTATTACCTCGATGAATATTACATCTCTCCAGCTACTGAACCAAAACCAGAATGTCATCCTAGACTCCTCCCACTCCCTTTACCCACTACTTTTGATTGTTCTCATTTTCCCAGATCTATACCTGTAATTTATCTGGGTTTGACCTCGTTCTCTTTGTGGCAATGGCAATGGCCACAAAGAGAACGAGGTCAAATCTAGATAAATTATAGGTTCACTTGGTGGCAGTTTTCTCCTGAATTTCCTCATCTCTCCCCAACTGATTTTCCTATTTCCATTCTCACTGGCTTCTCCCAAAACCCAATCCATTCTCTCACTGCTTTGATGGGGATACTTATAAAATGCCATCCAGACTGTTGATCCCCTGTGTAAAATTCTTATGTAGCCCTCAGTCACTTACAGGATACAGCCCCAACATGATCCATAAGGCCCTTCCTGGCTAGTAGCTCCTTACCTTTTACCTCATATTCCATGCTTTCCCCAGTATGCTACACTCTCTGTGGTCTCAGTGTCTACTCATAAGTTGTTTTTTGTTTCTAGAAGCCACCGTCACTTCATTCATCTGTTTCATCTTTCCCAATATGATATTGTTTGGCTGTGTCCCCATCCAAAATCTCATCTTGAATTATAATCCACATAACCCCCACGTGTCAAGGGAGAAGCCAGGTGGAGGTGATTGAATCATGGGGGCAATTTCCCCTGTGCTATTCTCATGACAGTGAGTGAGTTCTCATGAGATCTGATGGTTTTATAAGTGTTTGGTAGTTCCTCCTGCATTCATTCTCCTTCCTAGCGTCATGTGAAGAAGGTGCCTTGCTTCCCCTTTGTCTTCTGCCATGATCATAAGTTCCCTGAGGCCTCCCCAGCCATAAGGAACTGTGAGTCAATTGAACTTCTTTCCTTAGTCGGGCACAGTGGCTCACACCTATAATCCCAGCACTTTGGGAGGCCAAGGCGGGTGGATCACCTGAGGTCGGGAGTTCGAGACCAGCCTGACCAACATGGAGAAACCCCGTCTCTACTAAAAATACAAAATTAGCCGGGCATGGTGGTGCTTGCCTGTAATCCCAGCTACTCGGGAGGCTGAGGCAGGAGAATCGCTTGAACCCGGCGGGGGTGGGGCGGAGGTTGCTGTGAGCCAAGATTGCGCCATTGCACTCCAGCCTGGGCAACAAGAGTGAAACTCCATCTCAAAAAAACAAACAAACAAACAAAAAACCTCTTTATAAATTACCCAGTCTCGGGCAGTTCTTTATAGCAGTGTGAGAACGGACTAATACACCATCAGAAATCAGAGCTGCTGCTTCCTTCTAGGAGCTCTCCTGTCTTCCTCTACTCTCAGCTCCTCTGGGGAGTTAGGTGTCCCTTTCATGCGCTCCCACAATCTCTGTGCTTCCCCGACCTCATTGTGTGTCTCCCCTAGATAACTGAAGTTTTTGAGGGCAGGGCTTGTGTTAACTAAAGTCTATATGCAGCTCTGGAGGACTAGTACAGTGGCTGACACATAACAGATGTTCAATCAAAGTTCATTTAAAGAAAGAGGGTGATGTTTTCCAAGGTCAGAGTTTCTCTTACACAGGTGCTCTAGTATATGTTTCTTTCACACATCTTTTGTATTCCATGTACCCACAGGAAATTAAAATCATGTGTGGACAGCAGTGTTTCCACAGTATTTCCATATTTCATATTTAAAATCGATCTTTCTATTCCCAATTATGTTACATTTAAGTGAAATTAAGGGGAATGATTTAATAGCAGTCTGTTCTTTCCTCTGTAGTTATATAAAGAGAGTAAAGCTCCTTATAATGGAGCGATGCCCCCTCCATTCCAGAGATTCTCAAACTTGATGGCACATTAGAATCAGCTGGGGTGCTTTAAGATATACTGTGCTTGGGTCCTACACATATACACAATGTGTGTGTTGTGTTGCTTCCAAGTGTTCTAGAGAATAAGTTATGCTCATTGGCTTTATTATCGTTACCCATTCCCATCTCAGCTGAGCACTCAACCTTGATGCTTTTATGCATCTGCAGTCAGCTCATTTTCCCGCTTCTGGCTCTTCTGTAAACTTCACCACTTGCCTGAGTCCTCTTCCCTTTTCCTTTGCTTGTACTGCAGCTCCCACCCCTCATGAATCAGTTTCTATTTGTATTGCTCAAATTGCAGACGTGAGCTTGCCATTTTGAATTTCTAGTTTTACCTATGTTATGCTTAATCTGATAACCTGACATTTCCCTAAGGATATTAAGTAGCTTATTAGATATTTTATTTAGGACTATGTTATGAATAACCCAACTCATGCTGGTTTAAACAAAGAGATCATTTATATTTATAATTTATTGGCTTCCTTAATTGAACTGTCAAGGTAGTTTTTGCATTAAGCAAAGTTTGATTCAGGACTCAAGTGGTATCACCAGCAGCCTTTTCTTGGCAGTCTTTGATATATTGACTATTTTCAGGCTTACCTCCTTAGAGGTAGCAAAGTGGCTGCCCCAGCTCCACACCACACTCTTCTTACTTTCAAATACGAAGAAGAGAGATGGCATCTGTCCTGGAATAGCCAACCAAAGTTTCATCAAACCTGGTCGATTTGGGTTATGTACATTTCTCAGAATTGGGCCAGGGTGTTAATGTGTTGATTGACTTAAGCCAATCAAGATTTTTACCCCAGGAACTGAGGGTGCAACTAACCCAAGCATTGACTGGGATGTGAAGGATGAAGCAGTGGCGAATGCCCCTAGGAGAGAAGAATGAATACAGGAAGGGCAAATAGCAAATATTCACAATAATGCAAGTTATCATATTATCTGTCAAAAAGTGTTCCATCAACATTTGAGTAATATATATTTAATTCAAAATGTCATACATGTCGATATAGAGGAATTGTTTGATTGAACCATGTTGGACCTTGTTGAATTTCTAGTTAAGTGAATGCCAGAAAAAGGTGTAATATGTTTTATTTTTATAAACAATGTAAAAAGGCCAGGCACAGTGTCTCACACCTGTAATCCCAATACTTTGGGAGGCCGAGGTCAGCAGATCATTTGAGGTCAAGAGTTCAAGACCAGCCTGGCCAACATGTTGAAACCCTGTCTCTACTAAAAATACAAAAATTAGCTGGGTGTCCTGGTGGGTGCCTGTAATCCCAGCTACTTGAGAGGCTGAGACAGGAGAATCACTTGAACCTGGAAGGCGGAGGTTGCAGTGAGCCTAGATTGCGCCACTGTACTCCAGCCTGGGTGACAGAGTGAGACTCTATCTCAGGAATAAAAGGAAGGGAGGGAGAGAGGGAGGAAAGAGGAAAGAACTTGTGTCACTGAATTTATGAGTTTAAGCTTTTTTGCAAATGTTAAAACTGGCTTTACTAAATATTAGAATGGTACAGTAGAGTCTGAAGACTGACTTCAAATTATTGCTTTGCCATTTAACTACCTGGATGACCCTGAATAAGTTATTTATTTTCTTTGATCACTGGTTTTGTTTTCTGCTAGATGCAGATGTAAGTAATACATCTCAAAGTTTGTGAGTATCCAGTGAGATAATATGTGTTAAAGCATAAACACACGGTCCCTGACTTACAATGGTCCGACTTACAAGTTTTCTTTTGACTTTACGATTGTGGGAAAGCAATACATGTTCAGTGGAAACTGTACTTGGAGTTTTAATATGACCATCCTGTTTTTACTCTCAGTACACAATTCAATAAATTACATGAGATACTTAACACTTTACTATAGTATAGGCTTTGTGTTAGATGGTTTTGCCCAACTGGGCTAACAAAAGTGTTCTGAGCATGTTTAAGGTAGGCTAGGCTAGGCTACGATGTTCAGTAGGTTAGTTATATTAAATGCATTTTCAACTTAAAATATTTTCAACTTATGAATGGGTTTGTCAGGATGTAACCACATCATATGTTGAGAATCATCTGTAATGAAAAGTCAGAGTTAATTGTTACATTCAATTTTACTACCTCATTGGGTTGACTTTACCTGGCCAAAGAAAATATCATCATAATTAAAATGTAATTCTATTTTGCTAACACACTGCCTTTGTTACTTAAAACCTCTTTTGTTTTCATGTTTTATTTTGGCTGAAGACGCCTCAGAATGGCCTATATTAGAAATATATAACAAGATATTTTAGGATAAAATAAGAAGAGATGTGCTGGTCACTCACAAAATCTGAGTCACTGCCACAATTAAGAATAAAAGCTTGGGTTTCTGGGAAGCAAAGGCAAAAAGACAAACACAGCTAAATGCACAGCTCTCATTTTGTAATAGCAGAAAGTATATCATTCAAGAGGAATGACAACCTTGCTTAGGGCAAATCTCTAAATAGAATATATTCCATCAATCTTTCTGTTAAGGGGTGTTGAACAGCATAATGGACCATTGTACCATAAAACTTACAAGACCCAGTAAGATTTGAAACTATTTTGGACAGTTTTCAATGGAGGTGCAGTCTGTCCTGGGTTTGAATCTGCCTTTCACTCACTGTGCAACACTGGTAATTTATTTAGCTTCTCTGAGGCTCAGCTTTTTTGTCTCTAAAATGGGAATAAAAACAATAGTACCTCCCCAATGGGGTTATTATAAGGATTAAACAAGAGAATGTATGTTGAAGAGATTGGCACAGTGCTCTGAATGTAGTAAGCACTTAATAAATGTTAGTTGTTAAATAATAATTATAAATTCTATCCATAAGTATTTATTACTGTAACTAGATATCTGGAAAAAAACATATTAGCAGTGAGATAATTTTATTGTGATTAAAGAAAGCATGTGATTGAATACTGAAAAATATGACCAGGGTCCTTCAACTAGATAAAAAAGAAACCTAACCAGCTGGAAATCTAAAGGAGAAAAATGAAAATATTGTTCTGGTTCTCTCTGAGCCAATTAAAATTTTCTGTTGTTTTTAAAACAAGTCCATTTTGGACTAGAACTGAAAGTCTCCAACCTACTGTGAGTAGAAAAAAAGCCTATGGTAAGAAGGCTCAAAAAGCTAACTGACATATGTGAACCCAGGGTAGACCTCATAATTTACAATTTCCCAACAGTTCCTGCACCTTAGAATTTTGCTTCGATGTGTGTAGACTCAGCAGCATGTTGTAGGCACGTTGATGTGTTCCAGCCATCCACTTATATAAACACTATTGTCTTATAGGAGACTATACATTCTGACTGCAGTTTACCAAAAAAAAAAAAAAAAAAAAAAAGGAAAAAATGGAGTAATTGTACTAACTCTAGATATAATACAAAATAAAAATACCTAGAGTATTTCACACATACTAATGCATTGATGGTAGATAGCTTTTTAAGTTTGTCCCTTAAATAATCAAAGTAATAGAATATTTGGAATTATTAAATGTTAGCACTGAAAGGAGTCAGGAATTTATAAGGATCAGCTTAATACAGTCCCTTTTTTTTCTACTTTTTTTAAAAATTTAGGTATGGAAACGAAGGCCCACATGCAATTGGCTAGTTAATAATAAAATGAAACCTTGAAATTATATTTGCTGACTCCTAGTCTGATATGTCTTTCACCTCACCACAGGGTGTTTGTTTTTTGTTGTTGTTGGTTTTGGGGGGTTTTTTGTCATTATTTATTTTTGTTTCTAGCTATTGTTGATTTTTAATGTTTGCATTTCACAGAACAAGAACACCCTTTTTTTCCAAGTATTCTGTGATTCAAAACTCTAGTACACTCTGCCTTGTAGCAAATTGGACCTAACTTTTTTTTTTTTTTTTTTTTGAGATGTAGTTTCGCTCTTGTTCCCCAGGCTGGAGTGCAATGGTGCGATCTCAGCTCACTGCAACCTCTGCCTCCTGGATTCGAGCGATTATCCTGCCTCAGCCTCCCGAGTAGCTGGGATTATAGGCACCCGCCACCACGCCCAGCTCATTTTTGTGTTTTTAGTAGAAACGGGGTTTCACCATGTTGGCCAGGCTGGTCTCAAACTCCTGACCTCAGGTGATCCACTTGCCTTGGCCTCCCAAAGTGCTGGGATTACAGGCATGAGCCACCAAGCCTGGCCTGGACCTAACATTTTTATAAACCCCTGATTTGCTCAATTAAATGTGAATTTCCAGGTTAGTTGACTTTGATTGGAGACCCCCATACAGATGGCAGGGGAAGTTATAGTGGTACAATATCACACAACTACTCACCTAGAGTTCTGTAGACCTACTTGAGTTTGTATGAAAGACAGCTTCTTTGGCTTGACCTTTTTACTTGTCTACTGGTGGAAAGCCACAGTAGACTAGGTCTCAGGGAACTGCCACCACCCTGGTCCCAAGGCAGACCCCTCCACAGCCATCGCCCAAAGAGTACAGTGGCTAGGGTTGGGGCAGCAAGGTAGTGAGAAGAAGGTATGGCAGAAATTGCCAATGCCAGGACTAAAAGGACCTGCCAGCTAGTGGTGGATTTGGAATTCCTCTTTCATCAGCAATACTGTAAGTCCTCTTATCCCCCAGTTTTCCTTCTGCACCAGCTCCCAGGATGGGATTAAAAGGAGAGTGTTCCCAAAAGCTACTTCCAGGGCAGGGCTTATGATATACCAAAGTTCAAAAAACAGTTACAAAACAGTAGATCCAGTGTAAATGGCAATATTACGTATATGTCTGTGCTTCCAAATTGTCTACCTTTTATATAGTATGATTTGCATAATAAGGCATAAAAGGAGTAAGTGCTACTTTTTTTCAAAAAGGCTGTGACTGGGCCAGAGAAAATTTGGATGACTGCATTGTTCAAAATCTGGTTGGCTCTGATAGATTTAGTTGTAGATATAAATATATTTTTTAATCATGTCTTCTGGTTTAAATATAGACACTGAATTTCAGAAATCCCAGTTTATGATAAGTACTGCCTTTCAGGGTGTTTGTCTCCATTACATCTAGTTCTAAAAAGATATGTAGTTCTGTATCAGTTTAATTTCAGTTTTCTTGTTAGGCCATTTTGGCGATCATTCCCCACATATTGTGATGACAACTACTTTTATATCATGTGGTGTGGTCGGTATTGTTATGTATATAACAGAAAAGTCACCATAGACAAGTCAAAAGCAATTTGATGCAAACTACCCATTATCCAAGTTTTGGTAGCAGTGAAACAGACATGTTTCATGAGAGAGGATTACTGAGAAGACAGCTGTCATTTAACATTCCTAACACTAGAAAAAAACCATAAAGCTAGATGGCTACTCTAAAATGTTATTGATCAGTTCAGAGCATTCAGTTAATTATGTTAAGTTTTCATCGATTTGAAGTAGTTTCAGGGGAGATCTCTGCATTAGTGAAATGTTTTTATTTTAAAAATATTTTTTTAAAGGAATATAGTTTACTTCTTTCAAATAATCCCACAAATTTAGTATTCCAAAGAGACCACTTTGTGATTCTTTAAATTAATAAATAAGAAATATTTTCTAAGGCATCAGTAAGACTTTAAAATGAAAACATCATTGTTTAACCATAGGAAAAAAATTTAACCTATCTGGTAGTTAAAGCAATACAAATTTAAATTCCAATCAAGTGTTATTTTCACCTATAAAATTACTAAAAATTTTTGATTTGAGAATACAGAGAGTTGGATAAGCATATAAATTTTAGAAAGAGGCTAATAGTTCATATCGTTTAGCTCAGCAAATCAGCTTCTGGAAATCTATTTTGAGGAAATAATCTTAGAGACAGAAAGATCTCTTTGCACAAAAATGTTCACTGCATTATTATCAATAATAGAAGAAAAAGCTTGAATATCCATCATTAAGGAAATTAATTATATAAGTAAATCATGGTGTACACGCGCAGTAGATTAATACCCAGCTGATAAATGTGATTTACGCAGAATTTATAACAGTGTGGAAAACACTCATTATTAGGAGGAAAAAAATAGTAACAATTTTATATAAGTTAGGAAGTCAGCCCTATTTTGGAACTACATATTAATGAAGATAGAAGGAGATGCTGAAATTTTAAAAATCTCTTAAGCTCAGCCATTATACATAAGGTCTTATTTATGTTAATATGTAGTCATTCCTTTTTTTTATTATTGCTTGTACAAAAGTAAAAGCTGTTCTCTTTCCAAATTATCTCACATGCCAAGTTATGAGGGTCATAATAACATTTTTATCTTAAAGCAGAAATATCTTTAGATAACACATTTAAGTTTTCCAAATAATTTCACTTCATTATCCTTTTTTTATTTGTGTTTTTCAATGTATTATTTATGTATCTCATGATTTTGCTGTATTACTCTTCTGGAAGAAATTGTATTTCCTGGTAATTTCTCCTTGCTTGCACATCTGTCTACCCCCCAAAACTCCACACAACTAGAATTCTGAGACGGTATTTAGTGGCTGTTAGGAAGTCGAACCTATATATTTGTTTAAATTTTTTTTTTCAGAGGTTCTACAGAGCATGGGGATTGTTTAACATTTTCTAGGCACACATGATCCAGTTACAAAGACAAAGCACCTTGTGTTTCTATAGTTATTTTTATGTAAAGCTATTAAAGGAACAGGAAACATCTTTCGGCAGCCTTTCTCCCTACAACTGCCCCAAAAATAGTCATTAGTATTAAACATAACAGAGACTAAAATTGTTTCCCATAGATCCTTGGAGAAAGGCTGCAAAGTAACACTAAAGCATTTGGGGTTATTTATAATAAAGCCTGTGCAAAAGAAACAAGATGCCAATTCACGTGTCAGGCAGACAGTGGCAGCTGCTTTGTTACTATGTGGCACTGTCCCATCCTAAATCAAATGGGAAATGGGTACTGTTTGACAGATACTGTCATCAGTACAAACATTATTAAAATAATTAAACAGCTTCTTCTTCTTTTTTTTAATCTTAGGGACAGGCTGTTGGTTTGTTCGGGCTTTCCCAGCCCTGGTGCTCAGGACTCCATGCATATTCCTACACCAGATTTTTGATCCAGCCAAGCCTGAGCTATGATTTTTTTATCCCAGTGGGACAGTGTAGCTATGTTCTTGGCGTTTTCTGCCTATTACCAGTTAGGGTCTGTGAACAGAATCTCCATTTGTGAGAACCTCATTGTGGATAGCACGCAGTGGTCTTTTCATTTTGATTGATGGTTCTGGTTCTGCACCATCTGGCTTCTGATAGGCTGCATTAATCATATCCTGAACTAAGAAAGTGTAGACATGTCTGCTTAATATGTACCCATACATAATGTAGCATTAGTTATTCATTCATCTTGCAAAACAGTCATAATGTATGCAAGGTCTTTATATAGTAAAACATAAATATTAATATGCGACCCATTAATGCTGTTTTTACTTGTACTAACCTCCCACTAGTACATTTGTTTATGAAGATTGAAGAATTAAGAGAAAGAAGGCCATGTGCACATTTACATGAACACATATAGTTTTGCTGATGTCTCCTATAAATTTAGAGTGATGTATGTCTGAAATACTTATTTGCTCATATTTACTTTATATATATGTATCTTTAATTGCCTCTTGAAATACAGGTTAAATGCAAGCTGCAATACAGATTAATTTTTCTCATGTGAACTGCTTGCATCAAATGTAGGTCATCCATTTGCCGGGGTCGTGGGGGCGTATGTGGCCGTGCTCTTTTGTGCTGCCTCTGGCTGGGCCCACTCTGTCCCCTGCTGTGTGATAATGTCGAGAAAAAAAAGAGGGGCCAGCAGAGGCCAGATAGGAATTCAGAAGTCAAACAAAGTTTGCTCCAGATTTAGGACTGTCATACTTTTCAGGAGCTCAAATTCGGTTTTAGAAATTTGCTAGGACCTTTTCCATTTAAGAGAGATTTAGTGTGCATTAATCATAATCCTTTCAGTACCTAGAGAAGGGAGGGGAAGGGGATTTAAATTCTCCTGGGAAGTTACCTTGTACAAAATTGCTAGAGCATATTTCTTGAGATAGCAAATTAAAACCATAACTTCATAAAACACATTTTATGTTTTATTAATTATGTTTTGTCATAAAAGCACTGTATTCTGTGTGGTTACATCTTCTTGTATGTGCCCCAAATTCAAAGCATGTGTTTTAATGAATTATACTATTGCAGAATAAGTGAAGATTAATGCTTGCGTGCTGCGGAATACAAAACATAATCCACGCTGTAACAGTAATCAGTCATCGAATAATGCATGGGAAACAAGGCAAATGATCATAGTTTTTGTTGAGAAATAAGTAAACTACAGCTTCTGCTTGAAAAGTAATTGCAGTGAGGTTTAATTAGTCACATAAGCTCTATGAGCAATACCAACAGAAATTATATAAAATGTAATGCAGGGATTCAAACTGACATCTTAAGAGTTTCAAATATTAAGATAACACCATGTAGAAAGCTGGAAAAAAATAATTTCAGAAGTAAAATTAGTACTTTAATGTCCAGCTCTCCCCTCTCTTATTTTAAAACTACTTTTAACTGTTTCTTCCAATAGTTTAGATCCCATTATTGTTTAATTTCTTCTATTAAGTGATTTTTTTAAAATATGCCCACCACTAAGAGCACTGCATTGACAAACCAAACTATAAAGCAGGAAATCTTACGTAAATAGTCTATGACCATGAACTACTGATGTAGTTCTAGGAATTTGTGAAGAGTGCTAATTTTGCTTGGAGAAGGCAGAGTTTGTGTCTTGACTTTGCCTCCAAACTAGCTGAATGATCTTAAAAACAGGTTCATACTGACTGGCCTATTTCCAGATTAACCCTCATTTTAAGATGTAATAGTCTGAGTGAGATTTTTGTCTTAAAAAAAAAGTTTAATAACCTCAAGCCTGGTTTCTTATCTTGAAATTGAAGATCATCCCTGCCCTTAGTTTTAGTTGTTTGTGAGGGTCACATGAGATAATGCATGTGTGTTATAAACTTTTAAGTACTACAAAAATATATGTACTGTCATTTTTATTGATTAAACTTTCCTGGATTTCATCTGCTACATTCATGAGAGTATGCAGGATGATAGGTTCTCCTCCCATGTCACAGTAAATTTTAAGAACCAATAAAATGATGAATACATGTGTTTCCTGGTGCCTGAATTTCTCTTCTGTAAGTTCCCTCTAGAGTTTACGGGAGAGGTTAAAAACTACTTTTCCCCGGTAAAGGACCATATGCTAGTTGACTACATAATTACAACATAATTTAATTTTCTTCTTCCAGCAACATAGAAACTATTGGACTGTGCTTCTTTAAAATTAAGGACATTCATCTGGAAGCTGGGACAGGACTGAAAGGGAAGGTATTCTAAACCAAACCATTTCATTCGCTCAGGAAGGCAGTGCCAGAAAGACAGCTTTCAAGAGGCCAGTGCTCCGCTTCTCCATTGGAGAACGGGTGCCATCCAGGGGGGAGGCATGAACAGATGGATAAGTTAGAGAACCTGACAGCTTTCCTCTCCCTCCACGAGTCGTCAGTAGACTTTGATTAGAAATGTAATAAACTCCCATAATGCCAAATAAACTTCCTTCAAGTATATAAATACCAAAACACAAGTGATTTTCTTATTTGTAACATTTTAATGAATCTTAATGTTTTTGCATTATCATGAATATATCAGTGTTTACATTGGTCTTGCCTCTTTTTCATGTTACCAGCTTGTCCAAAGGACAACCAGACATGTGTATGGTTCTCCAACTCAGGGAAATCACTGTAGGCCATGTTTTGTGTTTACTTAGACTTCAAGTGAAGTTAGGTGTCCTCTGTATGCTTATACCTAGTGTCATAGCACAGATTTATATGTGTGTAAACAATGTGTTTGTAATAGGACTCAATAGTCTTTATATACAGTTTTTTAAAACTCTCATTCATTTATTGTCACTGTACGCAAGACGTTGAAAATACAAACAGTAAGATTCTGTGTGGTCCCATGTCTTGACACACTCTCAGGCTGTTGGGAAGGATGGAGATGAACAGCTAATTTTAATTCTGAGATTCATATGTAATGCCATTACTACCCACTATTAGTAATTACTGTATTATTGGTAGTAGTGTTAATAGCAAAGCATAAATGTGTTTTAAAGGAACCTTGTTATAAAAGTTTAACTGAAGGTCATTTGAAACTTTGAAAGCACAAAGTATTCAGTGCTAGCTTCATGCCTGAAAAAGGTCTGGGGGACCATGACTCATTAATTATTTCATTCAAATAAATCTATTGCTCTTTCTCCTAAGAACTAAAAATGTGTACTTTTTTTTTCTAAGATGGATATTTAGGGGTTTCTCTAAACTGTTGTGGTTCTTGTGTCAACTTCCCAAGAACACGATGGTCCCAAGGTACCTTTTTGAGTTTCATATTTGCCTTAAATTGTAACCAAGAAAACCAAGAATACCCATCCAAATAACTTGTCCAGTGCTTTTTCCTTCATAGCACTGAACTCTGATGTGTTATTTCTTTGGACGCCTTCTCAAATTATAAAGGTAACACGGAGGAATTACTTCCTAGCTGTCTCTCCTATACTGCAATAAATTATTGTCCTCTGCTCTTCCCAAAGGCCTCCAAGGTTATTGACAGCCCCGACCAGCGTCTACCATTGCCATCCCCTCGCCCCCACCCCTTACTAAAGTGTCCCACCCCACACCCTTGAATACAGATTAGAATCAAAGAAGGAACTATTGGGAGGAGAAGGGGGTTGGGACGGTCATGCATGATGCAGTTTGTCAGCATTAATGTGAACAAAAGGTCACCAAGACTCATCAGATTGACAACGGAGAAAGAACATCATTCTCTGCTTTTAGAAATTCCTTATTTTATAATTTACCTAGCATGCTGCCAATTATTTAATTTTGAGTTAAAGATATTGTTCTTGGTGAAAAACCTATTTACTTTTAATCATAGTTGATTAACCTGTATATTACTAGTTATGAGTTATTTCACTTATTTACAGTTTGTACTTGACCGTCACCGCCACATGCAGATTTATCATAAAAAGGAAGGAACTATTCTCCTTAATTTATTTTGTTTTTCACAGCCTGTTATGGTTTTTAAAAGGAGATAAGGCATGAAAAAGCCCTGAAACAATGGGCTAAAGTCATCCTCTGAATATGTGAGATATTTTTTATCTTTTCAGAGAATCTTTGTAATTTAGGGACATTTTAAGAAGTAAAACACGTATAGAATGGGATTTTTTTTCTTTTTTTAAAACAATCATTTCATTAGGTTTCTATATTAACGAGTCTATTCACAGGGCAAAATGACAGCATGATAGCTGTTTAAGCTCATTGTTTTCAGATGGCAGAAACACAGAGTAACAAAAGGAAAAGCCTCCAATATAGTTAATATAACCAAATGTTAGAGGAGGTAGGAAGATGCTTGTCAGAATCAAATAACTTATAAGCCATGGTGTCCATATTTTTCCCAGGAGTGGAAAGCCTTAATATCACAGCTATTCAGTTTTTCATTCCACAAACATCCATTGTTTATAAACATTTCTAGAACAACGCTCTGTGTAGCATACGCATATGCCTTGTGCTCAAAGACAGTTTGCCCTTGTTCCTTTTAGTCTCCTTTCAGTTGTATTCTTGCTGTTTTATTCATTTTCCCCCTTTTCCCTTTCACATTAACAAAGTAATTCACTTTCATATGTATTTCTAGAGTTGTATTTTTGTTTCAAATGATGATTACATCCCTCAACCCCAAAATGTCTGGGTAAATAGTTTATGGCCATCTGTATTCTGTCATGCAAAAGAAGATGGTTCTTCCAAATAAATTCAATGACTCAGCCATAATAACCCACATTTGTGTGTGTGTATGTGTGTGTCTGTGTGTGTGTGTGTGTGTATGCTGTATGTGTGTGGGGGGAACTATCATTTTATAATTTCAACCACAGACAACCATAACCCAGAGCTTTTTAAATGCCCATCCTTTCACAAACATAATTTTATTTCTAACATTTTTGTAATCCAAATGTGCTAAAACATCTAGGCAGCATGCTGTATATCAGAAAGAGTAAGTGCTTTGCAGCCAAGTGAACCTGGCTTGGAAAATGCTTTCTCTCATTGACTAGCTGTGAAACTTTGGGCACGTTTCCTAATCTATCTGACCCTCACATTTGTCATCTGTGAAACAGGGAAAATAGTATCTATTCTGTGAGAAATACAACTCTGAAAACAACTGATTCATAGTCAGTACTCATAAAATCTCTTGCCTATTTCCTTTCCCTTTCTTCTAAATAATTTCTTGGATAATATGTTCAGTAGTCTAGACACTTGGAAATGCTGAATTATTAAATATTTTCATGTTTCATTTCTCACATCTTTCAATGGCAATTGAAAAAAAAATACATTACCATAAGACTTAAGCACCCGGACATAAGCATGGATGAGCTCAGTCAGGCCCATCTGTATACATGAGGTCAAAGTCAGGTCCCACCCCGGAGAACACTGTAAAGTCCAGTTTGTCTCCTCCGGCAGCAAGCTTCTCCTTTCTCCTTCTGTGTGCCCTTCTTGCTGCTTATGGACTCGGCGACCTCGCACTGTCTCCAGTCATGCACAGTCAAGCCTGCTTTCAAGAGAGAATGTGAGAGGCACGTCCATTACAAGATATACATTATTGAAAAGGGTCAATAGGAGAGTCTCCCTGGCTATTTTCATTTTAGCAGAAGAGTTGGGATTTAAGCCAAAGTATTAGCTACTAATTGTTGATTCTCATGTGTTAGTGAACCTTTCTGTTTTCCAGCAGACTTTCTGGAACATGTCAATTATGATGTCCCTGAATATTATTTTTAATTGGCTCTTTCACCTTTAAGTGGCTACTTTTGATGACTTCTGACCCACAAAGAGATCCACAAATCACTGGAAACTGTTCCCTTCTGGCAGAAACCCATTTCACTTGTGACCAAGTCATCCAGTAAAATGCACAATGTCATCAAGGAAGGGAATTGGGAACAGAACAGAGGATGTTACTTACAGCAGAACTACTAGCTACAGTTATTCCTGGTCATCAACATGTCCCAGGAAAGACTTAAAGAGCAAGAAAAGGTAGAGAAAAATAACTTCTACCTTTAGTGCAAAATCAGTTTTACTGTGCCTTTCCTTTCTTGCCTTTTTTTCCCCTTGAAACAGGGTCTCTGTCTCTCAGGCTGGAGTGCAGTAGTGTGAACGTGGCTCAGTGCAGCCTCAACCTCCCAGGGTCAAATGATCCTCCCACCTCAACCTCCCGAGTAGCTAGGACTACAGGCACGCACCACCGTGTAACTAATTTTTAATTTTTTGTAGAGATGGGGTCTCACTGTGTTGCCCAGGCTGGTCTCAAACTCCTGGACTCAAGCAGTCCTCCGGCCTCAGCCCCGCAAAGTGCTGGGATTACAAATGTAAGCCACTGCTCCCAGCCTCCTGTGCCTTTCTTTAAAGTCTTTACTTTTAGAAAATATCTGAAAGCAAATGAAAATCTCATTAATAATGAAGATAATGTATTACAAACAAAAATACCTTTTTTTCCCCTCAGGTAAATTACAAGGGTATTTTCTTCACAATCCCTAATAAGGGAAAGACTGCAAAAACGCACAGATAATTGTTGATAATCTCAGCTTTCTGCTGACTTTTTGCTTCTTTCTTTGTTGTACTGTTCTGATAGAGGATTTGGGTAGATACAGAAGATCAAGGAGGAGGAATATAGAGGAATTCACTTAATTGCTAAATGTTCCCATGAAACATGAATGATACACTGTCAAACACTGGATTATATACTGCCTTGGTGTGTTCACTTAATTATATCTTAGCAACTAGACTGTACATTTCTCAAGGGTAAGGACTATGTCTTATGTCTTTGAACACCCTTAAAGGAACCTAGGCTAGTAGTTGACATTGAATAGTTTCTAAGTAAACTCTTGCCGACTGGAATTGTATTTACGGCAAAGCTACTTGCAAATTACTTGCATTGAGACCAAATGTAAACACTAGAGGAGCCAGACATGGTTTTCTTTGGACACATCTTGGACGTGCCTGATGTCCTCCCCACCTGCCTTGGGCATCCCTTTATGATAAAACTTTAATTCAGTCAAACTGGTATCACTGCATGTTTTTAAGAGACTTGCCCACTTTCTGACCAAATTATCCATCTACCCAAGGTTCTCAGTCAGGGTCGGTGTCACTCTATCAAGGGGCTATATGGAAATAGGGAGGGTTTGGTCGTTGCTAGTGGTGCTACTGGCATTACGCTCCCAGGGGCCGGAGATGCTAAACATGCTAAATGTTGCACAGCACAGTCTGTCACAGCAAAGCACTGTTGTGCTCACAGTACCGCTAGCGCTCAGCATTAAAAAACACTGGGTTCCTTAAAAACTTGTCCTGCTTGCTATGTGTATTAGTCCGTTTTCAGGCTGCTGATAAAGACATACCCGAGACTGGGAAGAAAAAGAGGTTTAATTGGACTTACAGTTCCACATGGCTGGGGAGGCCTCCGAATCATGGCGGGAGGCAAAAGGCACTTCTTACATGGCGGCGCCAGGAGAAAATGAGGAGAGAAGCAAAAGCGGAAACCCCTGATAAACCCATCAGATCTCATGAGACTTATTCACTATCACGAGAATAGCACGGGAAAGACCAGCACGGGACCCATCACCTCCCCCTGGGTCCCTCCCACAACACATGGGAATTCTGGGAGTTACAATTCAAGTTGAGATTTGAATGGGGACACAGCCAAACCATATCACTACACAAGCCTTATATTTCACCACTCCCCCCTTGCACGCTATATTTAATCCTTACTGAGCTACTTCGTTCTGGATCATGCCAAGCTCTGTCTACTTCTACATCTTTGCAGATTTTATTTCTTAGGCTCCTGACCTACTTTCTCTTCTAGCAAATGTTTTTTAATCCTTCAGGACTCACTCAGCCCAGGCACCTCCACGAAGCCTTTGCTTCTTACAAACCCAGCCTGGAATATGTGGCATCTTTACGTGCCTTCAAAGCACTCTGTGCTTCCCTCTGCCAGGACATTTGTCCCAGTGAATTATGGTTATTTACTTTCATGTCCTCCCACTAGACTAAAACCTACTTAAGAATAAGGTGTATGTCCCCGCGATTCACTCAGTGCCTGACACATAGTGGGTACTTAATAATTTTTGAATGAATGACTCAATCCATGACATTGTCAGGCAGGAATTAGTTCATTTGGCAGATATTCACTGTGTATTCCTCATAACTTTATGCCAAGGAAGAGTCTTGGCATGAAGCAACACTGGCATTATGGATGGGGAAGAAACCTTAGGAGTGAAGTAGGAAGAAGGGGTAGAGAAATTATCCACATAAAAGGGTTAGCTCAGGCTTTATTCGCTCAGTAGCCCTTAAGACTGTGAATGGGATATGTAGTAGGAGGGACCCAGCCAACACTGTTCAAAGTTTGGAGCTTGGACCCAGCCAGTCCACAAACATATTGACCCAAAATGAGGTAACTACAGAAGTTGGAGTAAGCATTTAGGAATTTGACAGAATAATTTTGTGTCTCTTAAATCTTATACTGAAAACATTGGTGCTTGTCTTTAATGCCATTTTTTCTAGTCATTAATCTTTATCATATCTTATAAATCAATTGGTTCCTGGTGGATCCAAAATTTTTTTTTCCAAAAAAAAGAAGGAAGGAAAAACATTTAAATAGCTGGTCCTCAGTAGTGTGCACCAGACTGGTCTAGGTGTTCCCAGCAATGACTGTGTTTTGTACCAGATTCCAAGTTAGATGCCAAAGAATCAGAAATTTGCTGCCAGTTCCTTCCTTCCTTTTCTCCCCTCTTGGCAAGAGAATGGCTTACTTGAGATAGAGGCAAGCAGGTAGAACAGGGTCCTCTCTGAGTACCTAGTGTTCTAGGTAAGGCAATAGTACTTAGCCAGAGCTGCCATATGAAAAAAAAAAAAAAAAATCTGCTCATCTGGATCAAGCCAGTCTGGCAGGAGACTGGGACACCATAGAATCTGGGGTGCCCAGTTTTTACCCAAACAGTAGAGTTTATGGTAACATAACTAAGGCTAGCACCTACCTCCTGGTGGACTGGTGGCCACCAATGTACCCTCCATTCTGATGATGATGAGCTCAAGAACTAAATGAGACTGGCTGGATTCATAGGATAAGGACCCTCATTGGCAGCAACTCAGCAGGTTATGGGAGGCAGTGGCCAACATGCCTAGGATAAGAGGAGCATAGTGCCAGGTATTATGAAGATTCAGACATGAGCAGTGTTGTTGACAATTTGAACCAAAAGCATGGACCAAAGTACGAATAGAATGCTTTAGGAGAAAAAGAGAAGTACAAAATGTAATACTGCAGCCTTAAAGAGTAAATATGAACTAGTTTGTGTGCAAATTCAAGCAAGGCAACGTTACTTTTACAACATTATTGGAAGAAGTTGAAGATGGTAATGGTAGTGGTACATTTATTGACTGTTAAGTAAGAAGCAGTATGACCCTCATAAAGATTGTTTATGTGTAGCAGGGTTGAAGTGCCATGTGATAAAACTCATAAGCTTTACTTACAAGAGTTCTAACTAGTGTAGAAAAAAATCCTGCCAGACAGCGTGTCTGCTTTGTTTGGAATAGAAGCATAAATATCTAATTTGCCTTGTTACAGAGAAAAATGCATGATCTATGCAGCATGTAGCCAAATAATCATTCTATCAGGCTCAAAATGTAGGGAACGTAGTTAATTTGCTTCTTTGCCCTAATCCTTCTCTCTGAATTTGTACTTCATTTAGTCATATTTCACCTCTTAGAAGCTAAAAACACAATTTTGCCAGAAGATCAAAAATAAAAGCAGCAATAGCATAAGTCAGTATACCCTAAATTAGGAAAGTTAGAAACACACACAGTAACAAATCTCTCAAAGTTTGTTTTTCTCTCAACGTTTCTCTAGTCTGTAGGTTTTTTTTCTTTTCCATGTAAGTGTTGTGTCATGAAAGCAAGTGTATCTCAGGAGTGTAAGGTAGGACCCTATAAACCTTTAATATTAGCATTTCATCACAAAAGTTCCTTTGTTAATTTTTCTGTTGAAGAAAAATGAGGGTGACTAGCAGCCTTAGACAAAAGCTTAGTTTTTGTTTTCAAACAAAATTGACTTGATGTGGTTTGGGTTAGAAATTGATATTTTATTTTCTTAATTTGTCAGGCTTTTATTTTTTAGGTGGTGCCTTGCCTGTGTTAGATGTTTCAGTTTCCTAGTGTGTTTGTAACACCCAAAAGCAAATGAATTTTTATGAAACCATAAAAATGATCAACTATACCCTCTTATATAGCATGTTCATGTGCAGCATAATTGTTTAATGCTGTTTTCTTTCCACATTAAGTCAACCTGAAAGATTATTGATTGTCACAAACTCTGTTTCTTCATGCCAGAATTCTCCAGACCTGTGTCTCAAGGGACCCTAGTCGGGAGGGTAATTGTTGCTGCTCTCTGTTGAATACCCGGTGACAGCCTGTCTGGATCGACTCAGGTTCTGGAATGGTGCATCTCACGATACTGAGTAGCCTGCCATTCTGCTGTAAAGTGGGAGTAGCCCCTCATTTATGGCTAAGGGAAGAGAGAGTTGGATGGTAAAAAAAAAACAGCACAATTTTAGTAGGTATGTTATATTCAGAAAAGACTGAGATACCATTCCATGTGAAGTTTTAAATTTTGCCTTATTTATAGATATGTGCCCAAATCATCATGTTAGTTACTTTCATTTGTGTAGTACTTTCTACAAAGTACTTTACCTATGAATCATCTCACCACCTAGCCAAATAACTCTCAAACAAGTTATTTGACTTCTTTGGTCCTCAGTTTTCTGATCTGTGAAAGTGGCATAAAATTACACTGCATCCTATTAGCCAGCCTCACAGAGTTGTGAAGGTCAAATGCAATAGAGCTTAGACATGCAAATGTTATATTCCCTGCAGCAGAGTAAAGTCACATAAATGAACAACTGTTTTTAAAGCAACTATTGAATGCTAAATACTGTGCTGTGGTCAGCGGAGTGCAGTTTCATATACTGGGAATGGATTCTGGCATTCCTGTGACATTTTATACTGAATCACCTGTTGGTCCTTAAAAACTGAAGATAGGCCAGGCATGGTGGCCCACGTATGTAATCCTAGCACTTTGGAGGCCAAAGTGGGCAGATTGCTTGAGACCAGGAGTTAGAGATCAGCCTGGGAAACATGGTGAAACCCCATCTCTACAAAAAATACCAAAAAAAAAAAAAAAAGAATTAGCTGGGTGTGGTGGCATGTACCTATAGTCCCAGCTACCTGGGAGGCTCAGGTAGGAGGATCACCTGAGCCCAGGAGGTGGAGGCTGCAGTGAGCCATGATCATTATGCCTTTGCACTCCAGCCTGGGTGACACAGTGAGACTGACCTTGTCTCCAAAAAGAAAACACAAACAAACAAATAAAAAAGATGAGAACAGGTAAATTGAGTGTGGGGTGAGGAGGGAGATAAGGGATGTGCCCTAGCTTTACATATTTTCTAAGATTTTCTGCTTGAAGTATTCTTATTTGCTTTAAATCTGAGATTTACAAAAAGTGATTTCAACCTCATGACGTGTCCAGAATAAGTTCTGCTTTGCTAGGCTTGAGCCCTAGGTGGTCATGTCCCCTTAGGCTGCCCAGAGCCTTCAGGATTGTAATGTCTTACACATGTTTCTAGGAGGGCTGCAGAGCTGGGTGGCATGGAGCTCATTTGCATGCACTTGATTCACAGCCTTTATTTCCAGGCAGTCACGTTTTCCTTCTCAGAACAATGTCCTAACTGTTGAAAGTGTGCAGATTTTCATGTTTGTTCTCAATGATGAAGAGCAGAAAGTCTATAAAAATGTTAAATTATGGTAATAAAGTAAATGTCTTCATTTGCTGAGCTGATCTTTTCACATTTAGAATAAATATCTCCTTTGTAGTAACTCCTTAGAAAAATTCCAAAAGCTTTGTAACAGTATTATGAGAAAAGATTTTTTTCCCCTCCTCCTGTGAAACTGGTTAGCAACATCCCAGAAAACTAGAATTCTCTAGTAACCCCTAGGTCAAGTGCCCATCTTCACACACATCTCTTTTATTCCACCTCACTTGTGAAGGATCAGCTTATTCCTAATTCCTAGCTGCTTTTTAGGGGACCAAGTTAATGTCAACAAAGAATGGTAAATCAGATTTGCAATCTGTGATGTTAGGGAATAGAGTGATATCAAGTAATTAGAAAGAATCACACAGATCACTTTAACCACTTCACAGTCCAAAGAAGCAAAGTCTCTGTCTAAAATTGCACGGCTGCCAACCTGGATAACGTAGCAGGATCCCATCTCTACAAAATATCAAAAATTCACCGGGCCTGGTGGCATACACTTGTAGTCCCAGCTACTCAGGAGGCAGACATGGCAGTATCACTTGAACCCAAGAGTTCAAGGCTGCAGCAAACTATGATCACGCCACTGCATTCAGCCTGGGCTGCAGAGTGAGACCCTGCCTCAAAAATAAAATAAAATTACATGGCTGGTTTATGGCTGATTCCATAGTTCAGTACTGTTGACAATAGGCAACACAAAGAGTGGTATTTCCTAAAGGTTCTAGTGGACTAGAATGTAACATTTTTTAATAAAATTAATTCATGTGAAAACTGGCTTGGAGATTGTACCCTTCTAAACTGCTAATATCCAATGTTACATCCTCCTCCTCTCCTTAATGGGTCTGGACTGCATGCACTACAGTTGCCCAGTAAAATAAAACATCGTCAAATACTGCATTAGGTATCAGGGACCAGGCATTTGTCTGAGCTCCAACACGTGCTTTCTGGGTCTTGGATTTTTCTCTGCTCTTAAATTAGAATGATTAATTTAATCATTAAATTAGATGGCTGACATGAACGACTAATGTCTTCGTGGAGTACCATTCTTCATAAAAATTGACCAAAAAAAATCACAGTTCACGTCCCAGAGCCCAGGAGGAAAGGGTGTTTTTGATTTCTGACCCTAACCTTTCTAATCTATCCTTCAAATTCAGGTAGGTTCGGCTCAGAATAAAGGTGGAAAGAGCCAATTGGACCTTAAGGTTAAACATTGGAGAGAGGAGGAAAACTCTTTTTGACAGCCTCTAGTGTTATTTGTGGGATAGACTGGTCCCTCTAAGATACTCTTAAATTTGGCCCGGCGTGGTGGCTCACGCCTGTAATCCCAGCACTTTCGGAGGCCGAGACGGGCGGATCACAAGGTCAGGAGATCGAGAGCATCCTGGCTAACATGGTGAAACCCCATCTCTACTAAAAATACAAAAAAATCAGCTGGGCGTGGTGGTGGGCACCTGTAGTCCCAGCTACTTGGGAGGCTGAGGCAGGAGAATGGCATGAACCCAGGAGGCAGAGCTTGCAGTGAGCCAAGATCTCGCCACTGCACTCCAGCCTGGGCGACAGAGCGAGACTCCGTCTCAAAAAAAAAAAAAAAAAAAAAAGATACTCTTGAGTTTACCTTTCTATCCAAGATTTCTTTGGTTCTATAATCAAAATAAAGCTTCTGTTTTCCCCTATAGTTTTCCTGTCTGATTCAGATCCAAGTCTACATTTTTGGAAGCCTGCACGTGTCCATGGTCCATCAGCAATAATGTTTATGGACGCCACGACCAAAGGCTTCTTCAGCAAGCACAGGCAGGGGATTGACTGGTGGGGGGGAAGTGAATACCTAGAACCTACGGTCCAACAGGTAGTCTTTTGCTGTGCAAGCATCACCAAGTCCAGGCAAGGACCATTTCGAGTTTTTAATACATAAGGTCATTTTTTTCCCCCAATGTTTCTGGATAAATAAAAAAGATAATTTTATTTAGTATAAAGAATGCTCAACCAGATAAAAACCTGGAAAGCTTGAGTCCACAACTTTATTAGTATGTTGCTTTTTACTTTTAAAAATGGTTTTAATATTTGATCATCCAAAACGTAACACCCGAGTAACTAACTTCCTTATGAGATTGGCAAATAGAATATGATGGGGGTAATGGGGCCATTCTGGACTCCGTGGGAGATCAGACCATCACACAAAGGCTTAGAGGTGGAAATAATAAGAATAACAAATGCTAACTTGTAGCTCTGTGTCCATTGTCCACTGTTAATTCACAAGAGCCTTGATAGTGATCAAAGCTGAGCTTCCTGGTTAGTGCCCTGCAACCAAGACCACCCTCTCTCCTTGAGTCCTGTGGGATCCTGACTTTACTTTGACTTGAGAAGAAGCTAATTATGGGTTGATTTCTGGAAAGAATGATTAATAATCACTTCCATTTGGCAAAATAAAATCTGTGGAGGCAACACTGGTGTTTTTACTACCTTATGAAGCAACGTGAGGAAGAAGGAAAAAATCATGTATAATCTTTTGCAACAAGCTATAAAATGATTTTTTTTTGTCTTTAATTAAACAAAAGCATTTTTATTCACAGAATGTTATGATCATATTGCTAGTACAGCTTAATGCTTACTTTTTAACTAATTCATTTTCTCATTTGTGGCAGTCTAGAAAGGTTTATTAAATCTAATGACTGTTTTAGGATTAAGTAGGCGGAAAGCATGTTCTAATTACGGGGATGGATAAAAGCAAACTAATTAACCAAAAAAGTGTATTTCCTTCCTCATAGATGTCTGGTCAGCCATATCTGAGATGAACTTGGCTTACCTAGCTCCTGAGTTTTTTAATCATGTTTTTAGATTGCATTTTTTACACCATCTGTACCATTAACATGACTGTAATTTCTGTCACAGTTGGAAGCTTCAGTTAATAAATGTTTTGTTTCGGAGCGGGATGGGAAGGCAGACAGGAAGGTGGGAGTGTTTATGAATGAACCAAAAGGGAAGGGACTGTGATCTGAGGAGCCATGAAGTGAAAATCCTGGACTGACTTAGAACTGTGAATTTGGGGTTGTCCTTTTCTGCCCCACCTTATAAATACTCTTAATTAATCCTTCTAAAAAAATCCAACCTAGTAGAAAGTATTAATCACCTATTAATCACCAGCTAGTCAAAAAATCTAAATAACTTAATTCATAGACAACAGAGCATATACAGAAGAATGTGTGGTTGTTTTATGAAATTCAGAAGGATTTGTTTCTCAGTGTTGTGTATATCCTGAACAAAGCACAGAATCACAGTGTTGTAGTTGAGAGTTCCAAATAAATAGGTATTTTATCCTATTTTTTTAATTACAGATTTTTCTGGATATATTTTTCTTTTTTTTACTAGTAACTACTGCTTCAGGCTTTTAAAAAACACTGATTATGTTTTCAAAGTTGAAGAAAATGGTAAGTTTTAAAGCATCTGTAATTTCAAAGAGTGATAGTATATTGATTAAAAAGTTTATAGAAATAAATAATAAAATTTTGTTTCAGGGAGAGGAATAGGCAAGACACAAGGCAAACTGTAGACTAATTCACCAAAAATAAGTACACATACTTTTCAATTTTAAAAGATTACCATTCATGACTAAAAAAGAATAAACTGTATGAAGTGAAGACTGAATTTTTAGTTAAAAGTCTTATTATACTAGGATGAAGTTTTACATCTTGTAGCATAAGGGACATTAGCTTTAGTATTATAAAGGAGATATCAGTATATATTGTGTGCCTGCTGGGTGCTTAGGGATACAAACCATTAAGATAGAAGCCTACCTCAAGAAGCTTACTGTCAGTAAACATTTGGAGGACAAGGAGTTACAGTAGAACAGGAAATGTAATTTACTTCAAAAAACTTTTTTTTTTTTGAGACAGTGTCTCACTCTGTTGCCCAGGCTGGAGTGCAGTGGCACAATCTCAGCTCACCACAACTTCCACCTCTCAGGTTCAAGCGTTTCTCCTGCCTCAGCCTCCCAAGTAGCTGGGATTACAGGCATGCCCCACCTCCAGGCCTGGCTAATTTTTTTGTATTTTTTAGTAGAGACAGGGTTTCGCCATGTTAGCCAGGCTGGTCTCAAACTCCTGACTTCAAGTAATTTGCCCGCCTCGGCCTCCCAAAGTGCTGGGATTACAGGCATGAACCACCACGCCTGGCCCCAAAAAACATTCTTAAATGATGATTTATGTAATAAAAGTACTTCAGTGATAGACAATGGAAATAGTACTTATCTGGTTGCAATGATTTGTAGGTAGTGGTCTTGCAACATTTGCTGGTGATACATCCTAAAGCCTCACGATTCCTCACATTCCCAAAAAGCCTTGGAATGTATCACTGCATCCTTAAGTTATGCTAATAAAAGTAATTGAACGTTTGGAGTGATGCTGGCAGGCCTTTCTGAAAGTGACTGCGTTCACTGAGAGACAGTAAAGAAGCCACACATAGATGCAAACACTGGGAAGTTGGCTAAGGTGACTCATTAAGTGAGTCCATCGTATCTATCAATCTTGAGTAATTCGGGAATTCCAAAATGTGCAGCAGCCAAATAACAAATGAATGTCCCGAACATTTATTTATTTATTTATTTTGAGATAGAGTCTTGCTCTGGCACCCAGGCTGGAGTGCAGTGGCGCTGTCTCGGCTCAGTGCAAGCTCCGCCTCCTGGGTTCACGCCATTCTCCTGCCTCAGCCTCCCAAGTAGCTGGGACTACAGGCGCCCACCACCACACCCGGCTAATTTTTTGTATTTTTAGTAGAGATGGGGTTTCACCATTGTTAGCCAGGTTGGTCTCGATCTCCTGACCTTGTGATCCGCCCGCCTCGGCCTCCCAAAGTGCTGGGATTACAGGCGGGAGCCACCGCACCTGGCCTGTCCTGAACGTTTCTGTTCCAACTAGTGATGGTGAGGATCTAAAAATTTCCCACATAAACTGCAGGAGTTACCAAACAGCACGCTTCCGGGGGCAAGAAAAGAATGGATGTTGGGTATTTATGAATACCCAGCAAGGTATTCAGGTTTTCACAGAAATACCCAGGTATTACTTACTGGCCTTGCTAAAAATCAAAACTCCTGATGCCTCCTTAGCGATTGTACAAGCTTGCTTCCATGGCCATTTCCTTTAGTGCAGGGCCGTGTTCTCTAAAGGGAACAGTGTAGTTATGAAGTTTGTTGTAATGAAATTTTCCCTGTGTGACCAAATCTTCACCCTTAAAACCAAACCTAGTTGGGGCAATGAAGGCAAATATAGCCAAAGCCTCCATAAAACTTGCTTTAAACTTGGCTTTTAGTGTGTGTCAGTTAGCCAAACACTCTTATCAATTAAACCAGTGACCTTGGGATTGATCAGAGGAAGCAGTCAAGTCCACTTGATATTTAAAATGGCTTCATATAATTCCCATGAAGTCCCATGAAATACAACAGCCCAAGTTCAGGTTTTGTCCTGTCAACTTCGTCCTGACAGGCTTTCTATATTCCATCACTGGCTTTCTAACTTACTCTTCCCCAGACTGAAATCAGAGTAATGAAAACAGTCAAACTGCTCATGAAATGTCACATTACTATGAGAGCACACATTATTTCTACAGATATTTTCTATCAGTCACTAGATCACTACTCAAATGACAGCAGTGCCTGCCTGAAACATGGTTTAAAAATGACAGCCCCATACTGCAAAGACTACTTCAGCAGTAAAATTTACTGATTTGTCCCTCTGATCTTAGCCTACAAAAGATACCAAATGTTACTCAGGAATAAATAAAACATTTCTAGAAAAGGAGAGAAAAGGTTATATGCTTCATTTTGCTTATCAATGTCATTTCCAAGCCAACAATTTTATTAGGGGTAGGAGTATGGGGACATGCTATTTTTAGTTTGTGGGGGAGAAATGTGACATTTAGAACAAATGTCATAGCATTTCTTCAATAAAAATCCATGCTGTCAGCTCCCTAGCTCTAGAGAATTATAGAAAAGCCGTACTGAACTAAAGGAGAGGCAACAATAACTTGATTTTTAGTTTAACCCTCTCCGACCCAGCCTCAGCGTGGCTGGACAGTAGTAACAGTTTTTGTGTGTTACCTAGCTCTGGGAAGCAGTCGTGCATTCGCACAAAGGGTATTTGTTTAAAAGAATCTATTCTGTCTACCTAAGAAATGACTCTGTGTTCAGCCAAAGCCCTGTGACCTGTTTTGTTCATTGAACCTTGAGGAGAAGCAATTTTTTCACAAACAAAAGAACTCAAATATCTACTAAAATAACGACTCCAATATGAAAGCCAGAAAATGACTTTTATTGCCTGTAAACAACAAAAACAGTAGAGGACATAATTATTAGACTTTAATAGAAAAATAAATATGTAATAAATAAAGTTCTCATTATGGAACATTTGCCCTTATCTCATTTCCCCCTTTTTTGGCATATATTCACATTCTATCGTGTAGTATCTCTGGGTTGTTATTTAACTTTTCAGGACAAGAGCCATATCTTACATTTCTCTAAATCCTCTGCAGTGCCTAGTACAGTTTTTGATAAAAGTATTGAACAATTGAAACATTAGTTTGAAAAATGCAGTTCGTATCTACAGTTTTTTTTTTAACTTTCTAGCTCTCCCTGGCGTGCGGCCTCCACCCCCAACACACACAATGATTATTTTCAGCCTTTGCCATTTTCAAGGCTCTGATTCTACTTGCTCCATCCTTACTCCTACTGAGTATTAATAGTAGTCTTTGCTGACAGTGACCTGTGCACTTTGAAAATACGTATTATCATCTCCACTAAGTGCGAAGATGGAGACATCTGTGGCGTTTTTGCTCTTCTCTCCTTTGCCCTTGCAAATAATTATGTGCTTCATTCATGATCTTTTTTCTGTCTTTCGTGTCTCAGAAGAGGGTCCTCTCTTTCTTCACCAAGTTCTTTCTTCCCCTAAACTCTCAATCAGATCCCTTCAGCCTGTCCTGGAATCCCACCAGTTGTTCCCCAGTAGTCTCTGTCTTCCTTTTTCTAACTCCTCCCCTTCACTTTCACATGGGCATAGCAGTAGTCTCCAATTTAACCTGCTGTCTTCTCTAATTACCATTAATTTGCTAAACATGAATTGAGCACTCAATAGGTACAGGCATTCAGCCAAGTAATAAGGGTATACTCTTGAGTAAGATGAAGTTCCTTCTCTAAAGCAGCTCACAACTGCCACACCGATTCAACCAGCAACTTGTCATATGACCCCCACAAACATTCACTCAGCGAACATTCGTCCAGTCAAATTCAGGTGACACAATGAGTGCTAATGACAGCCCCTGCTCTCAAGGAGCTCGTAGTCTATGCTATTTCTGGAGCCTATGCTAGCTATACCTCTTGTTTTGAACTTTTACTTATTTACTGCCCGTAATGATTATTTATGTTTTATATGTAACTGTAATATCCTCAATGCAGCTTTTCTTCTATTACTGTGAGGACAAAGACTGGTTTTCAAAAACTGAATTACTTTTTGTCTTTTGTGATCTTTGTTTAACAGATTACCTAAACACAGATCCCTATCATTCAGCCACTCCAGCCATGTACTACGCAGATCCAAGGAAGGAGTACCAAACACATCTCAGTTTAGGCGGCCTTGCGCATCAGTGTTCAAGAAATATTTCCATTCGACTCTTAGAGTACCAGCAATTTTTGAAACACTGTTCCATTTTCTAAATTTTTTTGAGTCTTTTATCTCTCCTATTCTATTTAATCACCCTACTATATAAAGCCATTTGAATAATTCATGTTCACTGGTTCAGAAGTAGGTGATGTTTTGAAAATTCATTTTTATATGAATTAGATATATATGATTTAGTAATTTGTATATGTCCCCAATTATATTCTTAACCTGTTTTTTCTAATAGTGTTTTGACATGACTTTTTAACACTTGTCATCTATATTGACAACCTCATTGGCAGGGTAGAGGTATGTGATTTCTTTTTTTTTTTTTTTTTTTTTTTAATCGTTAAGCGTTTAACCATGAACTCTCAAATACAAAGAAAAGAATTGCCTCTGTGTGGATTTATTTAAGACTGTAATGAATTAACCTAATGCCATTTGAATTTAGATTGCTTCTGCCTCTATTCTGATAAGTTAGCGAACATATGTGACATTCATTCAATTATGGCAGCTGTTTAATCATCAATAGTAATATTTTATCTTAATCATAATGTAGGCTGTATCACCTCTAGATTTGTGTGCCCATATGAGAAGACGGGTATCATTCTCTTAGCTAGCAACAGGATTCCTCTTAGGAAAGGAGCTGGCTTTGCTTAGGAAACTATCTTGATAAACAGTTCAATGGACAAAGTTAAAACCTGAGGACATGAGTTACAAGGAAACAAGACTAGGAAAGACAGAACTAACTGCTCAGCAGTAGAAAAAAAATAGAGGGATTTTTTTCTCTTAGCATAAATGAGAGAAAGGGTAATAAAAGAGAGGGAAGAAGTGGGGAATAACTAATATTCAGTTTTAAGTGGTTTGCATTTTTCCCTGTGTGGACAGAACTAAGCCAGAAAACAAAAAATTGAGAGCTAGATAAGACCTGGAGAATGCAGGTCCTCTGGATGTTTAAAGTCATTTGAGAAGGACACTGGACTTTTTTCACACAGGGCAAGGATGGGGAAATTAGAGCCAATCTAACTAGATCCAAAGGGGCGGGGAGACTCCAGATGACATCTGGGTCTCATAGATATTCATGCCTGCCTTTAATTCCCAGCCCTGCCTTTTACTAGCTGTGTACCTTTGGGAAAGATACTTAATTGCCCTGTGTCTCGGTTTCCTCATCCATAACATGGGAATCTCAAAAGTGCATTTTAAACAGGTTGTCATGGTGATTAAATTAATGCATGTGGAAGAGGTTGGGAAAATGTTTTGCGTGTAAGTACTGGTTAAATGCCACACACATCATCCATACTCATGGAAACACACATATGATAGAAGATTTGGGTTTGCTTTTTATGTGCATGCTTTAAACTTAACTGCAAAGAAGTAATACATCAAAAACCCATTCTAAGGAAACAAAGTTGGCCCAGTACCCCTAATTTCTAGCAACTTCATCTCTCCCTTAAATGGAAAATATTTTATACCCTAAACAAATTAACTAATGAGTAACTTACTTTCTATAAAACAATGTTTAACTCCATATGTCATCATGTATTTTCAAAGACCAAAATTTTATCAATATCTGGATATATTAACCAATCCTTATACTTTTGCTCCTTGAGAAAAATGTATTGCTTAGTTTCTGAAGCAATGGTGTAACTAGGTCTTTTGATATAATGTTAAATGTTTTAATCATTTGACTCTTGTCTACATGAAATGGAAATGTAAATTGCTTTCTAAAAGTTGTTAAGCTTCAGTGGTGGCTAAATACTCTACAATGTGTAAAATATTAAAATACCAGAGTAGGCTGGGCACAGTGGCTCACACCTGTAATCCCAGCACTTTGGGAGTCCAAGGCAGGCAGATCACGAAGTCAAGAGATGGAGACCATCCTGGCCAACATGATGAAACCCTGCCTCTACTAAAAATACCAAAAAAAAATTAGCTGGGTGTGGTGGCACACACCTGTAATGCCAGCTACTCAGGAGGCTGAGGCAGGGGAATCACTTGAACCCAGGAGGCGGAGGTTTCAGTGAGCCGATTGTGCCACTGCACTCCAGCCTGGCCACAGAGCGAGACTCCGTCCCCCACCCCCCCCAAAAAAAAAAAATACAAGAGTGATGACATTAAGAATGTAATTGCTGTCTATTTTGATTGCTTTTATTTAAAACGTTTACTGCTGACCTATTGGTAGCCATTTAGAATATTTACCACATTTATTACAATATATCTAGAAACTCAGTTGTAAAAAATTTTATAATTCGATTCCTCAAAATCCTTTAGAAAACATTTAGATTTAGATTTTAAAATGTTTAGAACATATTTTTCCCTAAGCAATTGTTTTATCTAGTTTTTTTTCCCCCCGAATTATATTATGTGTCATCAGCGTGTGTGAGGATGGGGAGGACAGCTTTAAGAAGCTGCTGCATTTAGTACCAATTCCTTGTACAATTGGGAGGAGACTTTTGAAATAAAATATTCTGTTTCCCCAGCTCAAGCTGGACATGAAAATCAGAAACATGGAAGGAGAAGGGGCATAGCCGTGACAGGAAGGGGAAGGAATTTGATTTGAGGAGCGCCTGGAGAAGCCTAGTCTCACCCAGGACATCACCTCCCATGGTAGCACCTTTGCTATCACTTAGTACATTTTCTGTCTTGAGACGGTGAAAGCTCTTTAAGAGCAGGCACCGTGTCTCCTTGCTGTATTTCAGTGCCTAGCACGTATAGAAGGTTAATGAGTATTTGTTGAATGAATTAGTTGATTCACTTATAAGTCACTTTGCAATTTGGTGATTATTCATTATGTTCAAGAGACCTGTTTCCCATGCATTAGTAATTAGTCCTACTGGGAATGAAATTTCATAAAATCTGTGAGAAGGGCAGCCTGACAGTGTGTGTCCAGGCCTTCCAAATGTGCTCCAGAATATATTATAAAGGGACAGGGACGGATCTGAGTAAACATAAATCTGTGAAGATGTTCATTGCAGAACTGTTTATAGTAATAAAATGTAAAGAACAACCTAAATATCCCATAGTGGGTGATGAGTTAAATAAATGTTGCATTCATATGGCATAATGGTAGTGACTAAAATCATGTTATAGGAGAATATTTAGTGATAGGGAGGGGAGCGTTCACTGATATTTCAAAAACTGAAAATGTATTACGAGATAACATGTATGTGATCCTAATTTCATAAAAATTATTATTACACATTTGCTTAGGAAAAATAAGACTGAGCGGGGCATGGTGGCTCACACCTGTAATCCTAGCACTTTGGGAAGCTGAGGCAGGTGGATCACTTGAGCTCAGGAGTTTGAGACCAGCCTGGGCAACATGGTGAAACTCTGTCTCTATAAAAAATTTTTAAAAAATTAGCTGGGCATGGTAGCTTGTGCCTGTAGTCCCAGCTACTGGCAGGGCTGAGGTGGGAGGATAGCTTGAGCCCAGGAGGCAGAAGTTGCAGTGAGCCGAGATCGTGCCACTGTACTCCAGCTTGGGTGACAGAGCGAGACCCTGTCTCCAAAAAAAAAAAAAAAAAAGGAAAAATAAGACTGGTAAAATATACACTACAGTGTTAACACTAGTTATCTTTAGCAGAATCCCTTTTTTTCCTTTTTGTGCTTTTTCTATATTTTTGAAAATTTCTAAAATGAACATTTATTCCTTTTGTAAAGAAGGGAAAGAGAAAGGAAAGTTTTCCAGTGCCATTTTGTGGAGTGATGGGACAAATTTGTCTGAAAGGAATTGAAACGGGAATGGGAGGTTTAGAAGGAAGAACGATGGATGTAAGGAAGATAGTGAGACATGGATCAACTCTGAGCTGCAGCCACTGGAGAATTTGTGTGGTGGGATTACTAGAATTCAAGCAGCTGGAGAGGTGCAGAGAGATCCCTAGGAGCAAGACTGGTGTGCATGCTGCTGTGGTTGCTTTGGCATGGAATCCTTCTAAGAGTATCAAACTGTATAAAGTAGGTAGGAAACAGAACCTTGTATGCCTGGTAAACTTTGCCAAGGAGAAGGGTCTGCTCTCTGCCTAGGCTGGTTTTTCAGCATATGATTTAAGCATATTTTCCTTTGACTCTTCATATGTGTTTATTGATTTCTTTTTCTGCGCCATATTCTTTGTTTCTACTGTGATGCTTAGAGAGATGGTAGGTAGGGTGGAAAGAGATACGCTTTGAACTTGGCAGAATTCAGCCGACATAGATTTGATCCCTGCTCTATCACTTATGAGCTCTATGACCTTGGAAAAATTTGCTCCAGTGCTCCTAGCCAGCAGTGTTAGAATGATGCTGATAATAATCACCTTGCAAGGTTTTAAGCAAGATACATTTATGTAAAGTCACCAACTCAGTTCCTTTCACGATAATGGGCAGCCAGTAAATGTTACTTATTGTTCTCAAGATTGTCTTTTCTCAGCCAGACACTGTTGTATATATGCCTGTAATCCCAGCTACTCAGGAGGTTGAAGTGGGAGGATAGCCTGGAGTTTGAGACCAGCCTGGGCAACATAGTGAGATCCTGTCTCAAAGAAACAAACAAAAAACGAAAGATTGTCTTTTCTCATTGTTCTTTCTTGATTACACAAACACAGTGTGTCTTATAATTACAAAGCCATATGCTTGTGTTGATATCTTGTTTATTTGTTTTTGTAGTTTTTACTTAAGTAATATAAAAAAATAGCTAAGTGAAAATCTTCACGAATGAAAGCAACCTCTTTGTTTGTTCCTCGTCATCCTAACCAAAATCAGTAGTTTGATAGTACTTCTGTTTCATTATGACATACATCTACCAGTCACCTAACCTGGCCTTACTGAAACAAAACAGTCTTTGAGAAATGTAAGCACATCACTCAGCCTTGTTATGGAAAACTGGCAGAGCACCTGGGTGTGCCCAGAGGGACTGTGATTTCACTTCTCACTCCATAAGCAACATCCTTCTGTTGTGAATTAAATCTTCACAGTCAAAATCTGTGTCTGCATGTGCTTGTTTATTTGGAAAAGAAATGTTATTCAGAGAGGCATTTTATTTGTAATACTTGTGGAGCAATATGATATTAAGTGAGCTTAATATTGGTAGAGTGCTCTTTTCATTTTAAAGATTCTTCACATGCATTTGTTTTTCTTTCTGGCTTTCCTCTCTGTTATTAGGCCAACAGACAAGTTATATTTTATACATATGTGTCAGTATGATGCTTTACATGTGTTTATAACATATATGAATATGGTATATACTCTTCTGTTTGTGAATTGCTGTGCATATCTGAGGATACGCATGTTAGTGAACTGGTTTCAATTTACACAAGGAGGTTTCTTTTTTCTGCTTTCATCCAACCTTTATTGAGGACAGTAAATACTGCCTCTTATCTCCCATCCCAAGCTGAGTTCAGCATCTGGAGAAGCTTAAGGTCCCAATGCATCAAATTATCTTGCTCAAACTGTTGTTTATTACAGTCAATTTTGTCCTGTCACTCCAGTGGCAGAATGTCAAAGCTTTTCTTTGCATTGCCTTCAGCTTTTAGCCTCTGCAGGGATCTGATATGCTGCTCCTGCTTTGCCAGGGGGTGGGTTGGAGGGGACTCAAAGGGTCATGATGAAGCTCCAAGCCAGATAACTACAGCACTGGTTAACCTCCTTGCTAAAGCTGGGAAGGGTTTATGCCCCACCATTTCACTCCCTGGACCACAAACATGCACTTCATTTTATGAATGTCTGTTAATTTCCTATGTTTCCATTTCTTTTCTTTTGAGACCTGTGTAACCACAAGCAAAGCATGTATGATGGTATTCATAGAAGAATAGACAGTGTAAGTCTAGAAACTTAATGTGAATTTTGTCACTGACAAATATGTATTCTGTAATCTGAACAGTTTAATTTAGATAAATAGTTTATCTTTTAAAACTCTGACTAGAATAAACATTCACATGAATTTCCCATTTAAGTGTTTAAAACTTCAACTTCTAACCTTTTTTTCAGTTAGAAACATATATGTACCTAATTATTTCTTTTTAGTTTTATATAATTGTGATCATGTGTATAATTATACATGATGTAGCTTTCTGGGATGAAGTTTTGTTGTGACAAAAGGTGCTTTCCAAATACGTTTTTGTTTTGACCATTGTCAACATAGTTAATAATCTGTAGAAGTTTGCCTAATGCCTTCCTCTGGGGCTTCTTGACCTTGTTTTCTGAAACCTCCTTTTTTTTTTTTTTTTAATTTTTTTAATGACTCCTGTAATGTCTCATCAAAAAAAGCAGTTTCTATAGTATTCTTGAAAAATGAGTGTAATAGAGTTGGGGATGATAAATATATTTCCAGGATGGAATACAACTTATTCAGATAAGAAAAAATCTGGCAATAATGAAACATTTCACACTGATTATAAGCTAGGAAATATTCCTGTGTTTCTACTTAAAATCAGCTTTAGCCCAAGCAACCTCTTCTTTTGCTTGGACTATGGAAGTTGCCTTCTGACTGGTCCCTCCATACCCATTCTTGTTCCTCTCTCGAATCTGTTCTTCCAAGGGAAACTAGAATGATCTTTTATACAAGCTGTCATAGCAACCTGTGACACTACTCTTCATATACATCACACTTGCCATTTTATATGTGTGTGATTATTTGATCACTGTCCATCTCCCTTACTAGATTGTAAGTTCCAGAAGGGCAGAGGCCATGCCTGGCCTATGGTAGATGCTCAGTGAAGAGTTATGGGACACTTAAATGAAGACAGTCAGATCTGTACTAAGTTTTGTGTTGTGAAAGTATGTCCTCAGTTGTCCTGGTTTACACGGTTCTCACAGATAATCCACTCTGAACAGCGACACCTAATTCACTTAACCACCACTTGGTTGAGATCTTACCTCCTGTTCTGAGTCCGCACCATAGGCTAGCCTTTTAAAAATTAAACCCTTACTTCAGGCAGAGTTTGAGATTCAAAAATTTCTCCATAGTTCCACCCAACCCAGATTGGGTTTGAGAATATGCTTATGTAACAGACAAGAGTGGGAGATTATTGACTTCCTAGCTGCTCTTGAAAAAGATCTTTGCAATGAGGCCTGATTATTTTCATATCATGTATTTCCAGAACAAGCAATGTGCAAAAACCCTCTGTGACACCAAATGTATAGGATTTGTTCTTGTGATTTTGGGCTACTTTTTGCATGTCTCAGTTTTCAACAGTTCTCTGAGGAAGCACTTTGCTTATTTGGCAAAATAAGCATATTCGTGGTCCACATTGCAGACCCGCTTTAAGTCACCTATCTCCAGGTTTGAAAGTTTCCGTGGAAGAATCAATAAGTCGCTTTTGGCTCTAAAATGGCTCCTGAGCAGTCACCTTTTTGTTTTCATCCCATCTGTTGTTTTCGAATGGGAAATAAAGATTTTCTTTTTTTTCTTTTTTTCTTTTTTTTGAGATGAAGTCTCGCTCTGTCACCCAGGCTGGAGTACAGTGGCGCAATCTCGGCTCACTGCAACCTCTGCCTCCCGGGTTCAAGTGATTCTTCTGCTTCAGCCTCCTGAGTAGCTGGGATTACAGGCGCCCACCACCATGCCCAGCTAATTTTTGCATTTTTAGTAGAGACGGGGTTTCACCGTGTTGGTCAGGCTGGTCTCGAACTTCTGACTTCGTGATCTACCCTCCTTGGCCTCCCAAAGTGCTGGGATTACAGGCGTGAGCCACCGCACCCAGCCAAGATTTTTTTTTTTTTATTCACTGTAATTTTTGGACACAGACACACACACACACACACACGTGTGTGTGTGTGTGTGTGTGTCTGTGTCCAAAAATATATATATATGTATATATATTTTTTAACTTTAATTTCTGGTATACGTGTGCAGAACATACAGGTTTGTTACATAGGTATACATGTGCCATGGTGGTTTGCTGCACCTGTCAACCCGTCATCTAGGTTTTTAGCCCTGCGTGCAGGTATTTGTCCTAATGCTCTCCCTCCCCTTGCCCCCCACTCTCCGATGGGCTCTGGTGTGTGATGTTCCCCTCCCTGTGGACACATACATATTTTCATTTAAACAGTGGCTAATCCAGTCAAGAGAATAGATCCTGGAAGATTAGAAAATGCAAATTAAGAAAAAAAATAGGGATCAATGGTAATACAGGAAGCCCCTTTTGTTGGCTGGGGGGGTGCAGTGAAGGTAGTGTCAAGGAACAGGGAAGACAACCACCCTGTTGCTGGTGACACCCAGCCTGACCTTTGGTGTCAGCTCATAGTAATCACTTTGCTGTCCTGAGTTAAAAGCTATCATGAAAACCTTATGTTGAATGGGCCCATCTTCCTTATGTACTTGACAAGGCTACATTTTTTCCCTCCCCTCCAACGATATCGTATGAGATTGACGTTATCAGAATAAAAATACTATGGATTGCTGTATTTTTCAATACAGCACCAGATCAGTAAACACCATCTTATAAGTAACAATGACTTTCTGCTTCATTAAAAAATTATTTATGCTATAGAAAAACAATATTGAATGGTAGTTCCTTTGTAGAAACTACAGCTGGTGCATGCTGTAGCTCTCTTTTCAGTCAGTGTAAGAGATAAACTGTTAGCAATAATAGAGAGATGCCCATTGAACTGAATATGCTCTTTTTAAGATAAAGAACTTTTTGGTGGTGTTAATCACTTATTTGCCTTTCTAGAGAATGTATCCACTTAATATATTTATAGGGGTGATCTACGTTTCAGATTTATAAAGTCTCTGAATATATATTTTTAACTATACACATAAAAATTAAATTTAGAGAAAAGAGTCTCAAAATTCACTCTTCTGTAAAGCTAACATATAAACTCTGCTTCTGCATGGCTTCTTTTATGGGCTTGGAGTAATTAAGCAGACATAATATAACACATAAAGGAATTTATTAGGCTTTTATTAAGGCTTGATAATTTGAGTTTCAGATTTTAAATCTCAAAGGGCTCATAATTGTTGTCATTTTCTACTAAAAGCTGCATTTAGAAAGAAGTTAAACTGTGGTGCAAAGGAAAGGCACGTTTCAATGGAAAATTCAAAATGCCTTTTTCATTAATTCAGCACTTGAATGCAAGTGCCTATTGTGCCTAGCGGGAGGCTTTTAATAAGTAATACAGACGCTGCTTACATGACTTAATTTATGCCGATATTTTCTTGAAACTGTGTTAGTTGCAGGAAGTAGAGGTTTGAGGTTGAGATATGTCCTGGTAGAGAGGGAAGAGATTATTTCAAACTCCAGAAATGTGAGTGAATTCTAATTTGCCAAGCCAATTTAAGTCTTAGAAGTAAGGTTTTTAATTTCACTATTGACTCAAGAAATCACTGGGACCATTCCAGGTCTCTGCAGGATGAATTTTGGAATAGTTTGTAACATTGAACAGCCATCTTCTGATTAAACATCTTCTCTCCTTGTTAACTCCTAATTCCCCATAAAATAATCTATTTGGGGTCATGGAAATGTTCCCCAACAAAAGCAATACTTTAAAATTTAAGAAACCTAGAACTGAAAGCTGAACCTCTGATGGAAAACAGGTAAATGGGGCATTGAACTCTGAGGCCCATTCCATGGTTTTGCCCAGAACCAGCTCTGGCCTTGAGATTTGAGTTAGCAGAATTCCAGTTAACTGAAACTTTGCTCTAGAATTGAAAGTAAAAACAAAAGCCACCTGACTCAATCAGTCTCAGCATCACATATGTAACTTCCTTGATGCTTGTTAGCTTTGAAGGACCTAGAAAAAGTCTGGCCTGCTGGGCACAGTAGCTGACGCCTGTAATCCTAGCTACTCAGGAGGCTGAGGTGGGAGAATCGCTGGAGCCCAGGGGTTTGAGACCAGCCTGGGCAACATAGCAAGACCTTGTCTCTAAAAAAAAGGTTTTCTTAATTAGTTGGGTGTGGTGGCATGTGTCTGTAGTCCCAGCTGCTCAGGAGGCTGAGGTGGGAGGATCACTTGAGCCCAGGAGTTTGAGGCTGTAGTGTGCAATGATCACACCTATGTATAGCCACTGCACTCCAGCCTGGGCAACACAGCAAGAACTCATCTTGATGGAAGAAAGAAAGGAAGGAAAGGACAAGAGGGAAAGGGGGAGGGAGGAAGAGAGAGAGGGCCTGGCTTGAATAGCTTAACTAATGCCACAGCTGAACCCTTCTATGGTAATCACAGTGAGGCCAACTGGGACAGAACAATATTAGGAATCAACTCCCTAGCACACAAAATCTGCCTTTAAATTTAAGCCTGATGTATAACGCTAGCAAATGCCCGTTTTGCCTCCTCCTCACTGCCAGCACAACCTTGCCTTGTGCAAAAGTCACTTCTCTTGAGATTACTGCAGATGTGGTGGTTGTTCCTGAGTTCTCGTTCATGAGCCACCTTCCTGGGGTCGGTTTTATAACCTCCTCCACTTCATTCTCTCAGTGATGCAGAGGCCTCACATACATCATTAGCTGCTTTAGACTGGATCCTGACCTCTTAATCTTCACAGTAACCCAAAACAAACACCCGCTTGGGGCCACCGGCAGAACCCACCGTGGTTTGGGAATACAGTAGCCTTTAGTGTCTTGATTTCAAGTCACCATCTTTTTCACTTTCCTCATCTGTTTCTTTTTCATCCTAGTCATGTTCCCTCTCCCTCAAAAGTTCTTTAACCAATCATCCAAAATCCTTACTGTGGAGGCCTCTAAACCACAGGCGTTTGTCAGATGAAAATCAGAAAAAGGCATGTGGTGTTGAGTCATAATCTTAAACTTTGTAGTCTTGAAATAATGCTGTTATCTGGCCGGGCGCGGTGGCTCATGCCTGTAATCCCAGCACTTCAGGAGGCCGAGAGACGGGTGGATCACCTGAGGTCAGGAGTTTGAGACCAGCCTGGCCAACATGGCAAACCCCATCTCTACTAAAAATACCAAAATCAGCCAGGCATGGTGGTGCATCCTGTAATCTCAGCTACTTGGAAGGCTGAGGCAGGAGAATCCCTTGAACCTGGGAGACGGAGGCTGCAGTAAGCCAACATCACACCATTACACTCCAGCCTGGGCAAGAGGAGCGAAACTCTATCTCAAAAACAAAAAAAGAAAAGAAAAAGAAATAATGTGTCTATTTTAGTTATTAATTAGGCTCCCTGTCCCTAGCATTGCCCCTCTACCTAGCTCCAGAATGACCTATTCCACTGCTCCTAATTGTTGGTCTACTAAATGCTGGTCCAGGATGACATTTTCACCAAACTGCAGAAGAGATAAGAAAAACAAAGACAGTACAACTTACAGCTTAAATTGATGATTTAAAAGATTTAAAATCACTTCCTATTTTGAAATGATTTATTGTGATCATAGATTTGAAATTTTAAAAAATTATGTACCTGCTTGTAGAATGAAAAGTACACAACCTTATAAACAAGCTGGGTTTTTTAAAAAATTTCCACTCATTTTACTAGCATTTAGAATCTCAAAAACTGGGACCTAGATTTAGCCAGAACCCAGAAAACTGGGACCTAGGATCTAGCCAGAACCCAGATTTAACCTCACTGCCATGCCTCATACCCTATAGCAGCCACTGTAACCTACAAAAGCAAGTCCAGGTGCTTCAACCATAACACACACAGACCGGGGCTGGCCCTTTACCACTATCCATCATTGTCTCCCAGCATTCCCTGTCCTGGAACTAAATTGGCTTGATGCCATTTATGCCTAATATTGCTAGCCAGGTAAAATCCATCCATGATGGTCAAGTGTAAACTTAGAAGCTTATATTCATAAACACAGACTCAAAAATTCTCAGCATCAAAGATGAGGTCAGAATGCCCCCTCATCTTCCCTGACTACTTTCTGCTTGAAACAGGCTTCCCGCCTTTATAAACTGGATTCACTGTATTCATCATCCTTGAAGCTTGACTTGACCAGCTTTGTGCCAGCCTTTAAGCCACCACTGTAGCTTGCCTCTTCATCAACAGCATGTATACATAATATTGGAAAGAATCTTTTTAAAAAAATGTCTTTGCCATCACTAGGCTGTAAAGCTCCACCAGAGGAATCTAATTCATCTTCATGGCATAGCACACACTGGGAAGATTTCTCTTTAAACTGAAATGAACGAATAGACAGCTAAGATGTGGTTAATCAATGTGAAAGCAAAAACCCTTTCTTTCCTCCTTCCCCAGGTGTCTCTTCAAAGGAATAAACTTCCTTCCTGGCCAAAGCCTTGTGGCAAAGTAATTGACCACAGCTTTGACAGCAACAAAGATGACCTCTTCACATCCACTTCCTTAGCCCTTTCCTTCCACTTTCTGTTTCAGGAGAAGAAGGACCATTTTGTTGTTATTAAAATGACTATGCTGTTCTAAGAATTTCTGACTGATTACTCCACTCCTGCCATCAGCTTCTTCTTTACGGCCCAACTCTCCTAAAATATGGTGCTGGATTTGTTGTGTTGTAGAGTAAAAATAATATTGTTATTGTGAATTCTAAGGTCAAAATATAAAGAGTCAGAAAAATAGCTGATAGCTAATGGATTCTTTTTATTTACTCCGAACAGTTCTAAAAGGATATAGCAAATATGTTCATAGCTTCTTTTTACTTTTGGGAGTTTTTACATTTGGGATAATTATTAAAAATCTTTATAATTATCCATCTCCTTCATTTTGCTTTACAGAGAAGGAAATATTGAAGTTAAATGCTCTGATTTGAGAGCTCGTAGAAGAAACAACATTAGTAAATTACTGTGTTGACGTATAGTTCTCATTTTCATAGTATTTTCCATTTCATTCAACCAAAGGCATTTCTTTAGCACTGACCATGTCATGTGGTAGCTGCTGAGGACAGAGGATGAGTAGGACACTTCTTACTGCCTGAGTCAAGGAGGCTACTAGGAGAGTCTGTACTCTGCGATGACAGCACAGTGCATGGCATCCTATGAGCGTGCTGACTTAAAAGAGAGAGAGCTTTACGCACCTGTGGGCAGGAGTCAACTCAGGGGAAGTTTCCCAGAGGAAGCAACACTTGAACTTAAAGCCTAGTTCTGTGATTAGGAGGTGATTCTGGAAGTAGACTGCCTGGATTCACATCCTGGCTCTTCCACTGACTACCTGTGTGACCTTCGGAAAGTAACTAACCATTCTATGCTGTAGTTCCCGAATCATCAGATAGGGAATAATAATAGTGCTTACCTCATAGAGTTGCTGTGAGCATTACACATGTTACATATATGAAGTACTCAGAACAGAGCCAGTACAGAATTAGCATTCATATTGTTAGGAGTTGACCTGATAATTAAATTGGGAAGAAAAAGGGGGTAGTCGTAGGGATACAGATGTGTGAGAGAGCCTGCCATGTTCAGATAACTTCATGTAGTTTTTCACTATTACCAGAAAATGAGGTATGACGTGAAAGAGTGCAGAGAGGTGGGAATTGTGAAAGCAGACTTTATTCTGTAGGTAATGAGGGACCGTTAAAATGTTTCAGGTGATTAGATTTGGACTTTGTAAAGAAAATTCCCCTACCAGTTTTAAGGCTGGAAGAGGGAAAGGTAGGGTGAGTTTGAGGATAGCATGAAGTAGATCATACATAACATGCCAGGCACGAAATGGCATAGACCTGCAGGAGTGCCAGTGGAAAAGATGCTACAGCTTCTCCTGCAGCAGCTTCGTTAAAGGCTAATTGCTTTAATAACTTCTTGATAGGCCAGGTCCTTTGACATGCTAGCCATCAACCAATCCAATCTCCTCATCTGAAATTTCACTATTAAAAAAACTTCAGTGGACAAAGGTTTAGCTTTCAATAGACTAATCAAAGAGAGCATAGTAGAACATTTTGATTGAAAAGGAAAATGTTTTACCTGCTAAAAAGTATTTGGATTTTTAAATTTGGGATTTAAAAAAAAGCAGAGAGATAATCAAGTAACTGTGATGCAGAAGTTGCTAACCTCATTGTACCCCACTCTGACTGTCTGTCTCATGTGATGCTCCTATTCATATCTACATCAGTGCCGGTCTCTTAAGAGGGCAGGTGTGAAAGTGAAAAGAAAACAACCCTTGAAGACAGAACACCCAGACTGACATCTGGTTCCACCATATACCAGCTGGGTGACCTTGAGTATGTCACTTAACCTCTGGGAGCCTCAGTTTCCTTATCTGTGTCCTAGAGATAATGATACTTCAAATAGTTGTCATGAGGAACAAATGAGATAATGTAGGTGAAAGCAATGTGATATCAGAAAAGCAAAACAGGCACTGTGGCTTGCCTGTTTGTACATCTATTATGGGCTACGGTTAGTTTATGGCATATCCTGTAGTTCTAACAAATGTGCGCTTAGTTTCAATGGTGTTTTTGAGCCCGTGAGAAAGAGTTTGAGTAGTAATGCCATTAGATTTTAAGTTTAGAGTTGCTTTTCTAAAATATTTCTGCCAAAGGTACTGTCAAAGCTGACAACCAGCTGACTTAATCATTTCTAATTACTGTGCCACCAAAAGTAACCATGACTGATTCATATGAACTATGGCAGGACTGTTTTATAAATATTAGAAAACACTTAATTAGCCTGGAACCAAAGATGGCAATTAGTTTATAATAGATATGAAAACCCTATCCAACAATAGCCACTTAACTTTAAATCATTTAGCCCATGTCACCAGAATTATTCTTTTAGGACCTACTGTGGTCAAGAATACACACTCTCGTTCACATCAAATTGATGGCAAGTCCAAGATTCTCAGTATTCTATTCTTTGACCTTCCTTTGACACCTTAAGAATGCCCACTCTCAGATGGCTACTGCAAAGCTTGTAAACTGATTAAGTGACCAAAATCTTAACTGTATTATTAATGGATGGCCATGTGACAGTACCTTGTCTAAGACATTCTTCACCAGTGAAATAAATCAGGAGATTCCATTTTATTTAATAAATTAAATTCATGGCTTCATAAGCCTTACTCAAGGAGACACAAGGCACTGCCAGCTGATGTTATAATCTATGTCGGAGCTTCTAAGGCCCTCTGTCATCTCATTCCGCAGATGTCTTCAGAAGCCCTTGAAACTATTGCAAGCTGATAAGTAGACGTGCACACCCAAGAAAGTATACTAAATTATAAACAGCTTTGCAGAACTGGCAAAGCATTATCGTTTGGCAGTAAACCTGAGGAATGGTTAAGTTATGTTCCAAGCTGCATTTGAGATATCCTGCATGTAGTCAAAGACTGCAGTTGACCATAGGAAGCATGCTGACCGGTGGCTTGAGCATAAAAGCCGAAAATGCAGTTAAGTAGATCAAGATAATCAAGTTGAAGTCAATGTAAATCAAGTCAACCCTTCTTTCTGGGGGCAGTTGAGAACCTCAAACACCGTTGTGCCCAGCCTTCTGCTCCTCCTCCTCCTGAGAACCAGATCCAAAGCAGATAACATCCAGGTGCTCCATCTGTTTCATCAGTGCTGCTCAGGAAGGGCATTTGAGATTCAGTCAAGATGGGATCATTTTCAGGTTCCTAACATGTCAAGCAGCCTAGAAAGACAACTCATTTGAGCAGATGCTGTACAGGTAACATATGGAAGCTACAGAGAGATTAATTTTTATTCACTAGTGGGAAGACCCTTTAATACTTAACTGACATAGCTACACATGAGAAAAATTTCTTTTTTATATAATTGCACATTTCCTTGGACTCAAAGCTATTGTCTTACAAATCAGAAAGTAATACACCACAATTGGGAAAAGTGGAAGGGTAATTTCAAAATAAAAAGCATACCATCTGTTTCTAAGGGCTAAAGGAATGTTCTAAAAATCAGTGTAGTTTCAAAGAGCTATAAATACAATTTGTAATGTACTGTCATACCCATACCCACATAAATAGCAGGCTTTTACCAGTTTTCTTTTAGGTAATGTATTTAGTAACCAACAGAGCCTTGATCAACAGAGCTTTGATATTTTTCTGTATTTTTGTCTTGCTTTTAATTCGCATCTATCTCTGTTTCTCTCTCTCCCTCATATACCCTTTTCTCCTCTCCTCTTCTTTATAAATATCCTTCTTCGCCAAAACATAAATATGTAAGTGTATTGTTTTCTGCCCAAGACAGGAGCTAATTTAAGGTAGATACACCTCCTGGGCTGCAAGACAAAGTTCCAGATTAGTCAAGACTTGTGAGAAATTCATGTGAGGGGCAAAGAAGAGATTATTTATGTGGAGAAAGTGGGAACCTACATAGGATTATTTTTATCCAGATGAAAGAAATACGGGCAGAAGCAAACTAAAATGGTCTACAAGTTGGGCATTAAAAAAAATACAACTGGAATATTTTACAAAGTCTGCCCCATGGTGATAAATACACACGAGCAGATATTACAATGCCATGCATCTGTGTCCCCACCAAAAACCTGTGTGATTTAAAAAGTGATGTTAATCCGACTAGCATAACCCTTGGTGGGTTCATCTGTTTTCTGACAAGATGAAAAAGTGATAGAAAAGTCATCAGATCTCTGGCTGACACAGTGGCTTATGCTTATAATCCCAGCACTTTGGGAGGCTGAGGCAGGCAGATCACTTGAAGCCAGGAGTTCAGGACCAGCCTGGCCAACATGGCGAAACCCTGTCTCTACCAAAACATACAAAAATTAGCCAGGCTTGGTGGTGCATACCTGTAATCCCAGCTACTTGGGAGGCTGAGGCAGGGGAATCACTTGAACCCGGGAGGGAGAGGTTGCAATGAGCTGAGATCGCACCACTACACCCCAGCCTTGGGTGACAGAGCGAGACTCTGTCTCAGAAGAAAAGTCATCAAATTTCTGATGAATGTGGTATATTAGTCTGTTCTCATGCTGCTAATAAAGACATACCCAGGACCGGGTAATTTATAAAGGAAAGAGGCTTAATCGACTTACAATTCCACATGGCTGGGGAGGCCTCATAATCATGGTGGAAGGCAAGAAGGAGCAAAGTCACATCTTGCATGGTAGCAGGCAAGAGAGGGTTTGCAGAAGAACTCCCTTTTGTAAAGCGGTCAGATCTCATGAGACTTATTCTCTCTCACCAGAACAGTACGGGAAAGACCCCCCCCACCCCATGATTCAGTTACCTCCCACTGGGTCCCTCCCACAACATATGGGAATTATGGGAGCTACAATTCAAAATGAGATTTGGCTGGGGACACAGCCAAACCGTATCAGTAGACAAATTCATACCTATCACTGAAAGATGCAAAGTAATGATGAAGACAGCTAATGTTCTGTGGAGCACACAACTGAAGTTTAATGTCTGCTGTCTTCAGCCTTGTCTGATAAAATGCTGGAAGCATGGCACCTGAGATGGTCACTGGGACCATATTTTACTGTCTGCAGAAGAAGCACTGGTGGGATGAATCACCTCCTGTAATACATGGGTTAGGAAGAAAAATAACATAAGTAGTTTTATTAGTTTTCTTATTTTAAATACAGTGTCTACTTATGAGGTTGGTTGGTTGGTTGGTTTGTTGGTTTGTTTTGAGATGGAGTCTCACTCTGTCACACAGGCTGGAGTGCAGTGATCTTGGCTCACTGCAACCTCCAGCCCCTAGGTTCAAGTGATTCTCCTGCCTTAGCCGCCCGAGTAGCTGGGATTACAGGTGCCTGCTACTGTGCCCAGCTAATCTTTGTATTTTTAGTAGAGACAGGGTTTCACTATCTTGGCCAGGCTGGTCTTGAATTCCTGACCTCATGATCGACCCGCCTCAGCCTCCCAAAGTGCTGGGATTACAGGCGTGAGCCACCACGCCCGACCGTACTTACCGGTTTTTAAATATTTTCTTTCTTATTAAGTTTGGCATTAAAAAAAAGTCATGACACTATTTCTAAAATGTTTCTGATGCAATGAATATGTTTTACTGATATTTTCATGTTGAAGGTAGGGAAAGCTTTGTGTAATTTACAGAGGCCGAGGAAGACAGTAAGTACCCTAACCTCCCCAGACAGATTCCACTGCTTTTAGTTGGTACTGTTAGGCTATTTAGAAGACTTATAAATGATAATCTGTTTACAGCCCTGTCATTAATCAGCAGTATTTTTAAATTATCTTAATACTAAATGAAAAGTTGAAGTAATATTGTCACCATCACCACGCAGGGAACAGTAGCTCTGATCACCTGATTACCCACTTTTATTAGTAAGATATTTTTAAATGGCTTTGATTTGATTGTTTAAAAAATATATAGAAAATCTGAAAAGTAAAGAGAAGAAACAATAAAAAAATAATTAATCACTATGGTCCAGCACACAGGTTTCACCATTATGATCAGTTTGGAGTATTTGCTTCCTTTAGACCTTGGGTATTTATTTTATTTTACAATGCTATCATTATATTGCATACAAGTTACTTCTTTTTTTTGAGACAGAGTCTTGCTGTGATGCCCAGGCTGAAGTGCAGTGGTACGATCTCAGCTCACTGCAACCTCTGCCTCCCAGGTTCAAAGGATTCTCCTGCCTCAGCCTCCCGAGTAGCTGGGATTACAGGCGCCCACCACCACACCTGGCTAATTTTTGTATTTTTTTAGTAGAGATGGGGTTCACCATGTTAGCCAGGCTGGTCTCGATCTCCTGACCTCGTGATCCGCCCACCTTGGCCTCCCAAAGTGCTGGGATTACAGGCTGAGCCACCCTGCCCAGCCAGTTACTTCTAAAAATCATACTGTGAGCACTGTTTTGTGTCACTGAAGTTCTCAGAAACCTTTTCTGTAATGGCTACATAATACTATGCCATTGAATGGATACATCACTTTATTAACTATTCCACTATTGTTGAGCATTCAGGTTGTCTCCAATATTTTATTAGTATAAATTACTCCATAATAAATACCTCATACTATAGATGTATTCTTAGAAGCACAATTAATAGGTTAAAGGATACAGGTACTATTAGGTTAAAGGGGTTTTGGTAGAAACTGCCAAATTGCTTTTTAGAAAAGCTGTCCACACTCCCACCCCAGGGCCTTCAGTTCCAATGATTAACCCTTTTTTGTTATTGGTGAAGGATTTGTATAATGTGCCTTTGTATTTATTTTGCTTATATTTCATCCAGATTTTTATTTTGCATCGATGTTCAGAAGTAAGATTCATGTGTAGCAATGGATCTGAACATTTTGTGGTCTGTGACTCATTCGAGAATCTCATGGAAACCGTGAACCTTCCTCTCCAAAAAATGAACATACTGATACATATGCAGATTTTCACATATTTTAAGGGAACATGGACAGTCCTCCCCCTAAAGCCAGTCAATATTTTGTTGCTCACCTGATACTAAGTGCTTTATATGGGGGTTATTTCCTTGAACCCTCACAATCGGGGGTATCACAGAGGAAAGTCACTTGGTCAAAGTGGTATCACTATGAAATGGTCAAGCTGGGACTCACTCTCCAGAGCCTCCTGTCTTCATGATGTTCGTACCCCAAGGGAAAGGATCCCCTGTTTTATTATTCCTCTTCCACGCCCCGTGGTCAGGGTTTTCCAGTCATAGTCATGCTGCCTTCCTAAAATCTAGTGGGATCATTTTCTGTATTTTTTCCCATGCTCTGGATCTCTTTCTGTAGCATGGGGATTGTGTTTCTTGAAAGTTTGAAAGCTTTCTTGGCTGGGCGAGGTGGTTCACGCCTGTAATCCCAACACTTTGGGAGGCAGAGGCGGGCAGATCGCTCGAGCCCAGGAGTTCAAGAACAGCTTGGGCAAAGCAACATAGCGAGACTTCTTCTCTACAAAAAAGATTTTAAAATTAGCCAGGCATGGTAGCATGCCCCTATAGTCCCAGCTACTCAGAAGGCTGAGGGGGGAGGATCGCTTCAGCCCAGGATTTGAGGCTGCAGTGAGCTAGGATCATACCACTGCAATCCAGCCTGGTGACAGAGCAAGACCCTGTCTCTAAAAAAATTAAAAATAAAAATTAAAGCTTTCTTCTCTAGAGTTTTTTAGCAGGAAATTATTTAATGACATTTTCAGTTGCTTGTGTGTACATTGGTTTCCTTTGTTAAAAATTTTTGAATCAATTTTTATAATTATTTTCTCCAATGACTACGCATTTCATTAGAATATTCTTTTTCATATTTATTAGCATAGAGTTGTATGTAATATTCTCCTGGTTCTTAGCACTTCCTTTTCATTCCTCATTTTGTCTTTTATCTTTTTTTTTTTTTTCTTGATTGGCTTTGCCAGTGTTTTGTCTGCTTCAGTATTAATTTTTTGTAAATTTCATTTTGTTTTTGTGAGGTTTTTCCTCCTTCACCTCCCCACAACACCCTTCTTTCCTCCTGCATCCCCCCCACACACCCAAAAATACTCTTGGATGAGTAATTGTGCCTATTTTTATATTTTATATTTTTGTAATATTTTATATTACTTCTTCATTTCTTAGGGTGTGGATGTTGTTGGAGTTGTTCCTCTTTTTCTAAATGCTAAAGTTGAATGTGGTGTTTGTTTGTTTTTTAATTCTTCCATGCGTAATGGTCTGATCTTTTCTATTTTTCAATCGACTTGTTTGGACTTTAATTCAGTGCTTATTTAGGAAAGTGTTTTAAATTTTCATATGTGCTATTTTTATAAGTTAATCATTAAGTTTTGGATAGTAGAATCCTAGGTTCATTTGTTCAAGAAGTTTGACCATTATAGGGAGAAATGAACATGCATTGACACTCATTGATGAGAAGAGAAGCTTGAGGGTCCACATTTTCTATTTTGTTTAGGTCAAAAACTACTTACTGATTACCTACTGTGCTCGAGGACCTGTGCTAGGTAGTGGGGCTATAACTGAAAGTTTCCTTTCTCATGGAAATTTTGGTCTACCAGAGAATGCAGATGAATACACAAGCAATTACAGGAACTGCAGGAAAATCAACTGAAAAACTAATAAGACCATTGAGTTTGAGCTAACTACAAGATACCATCAAAAATAAAATTAAGGTCAGACGCAGTGACTCATGCCTGTCATCCCAACACTTTGGGAGGCTGAGGCAAGAGTAATCCTTGAGGACAGGAGTTCAAGACCAGCCTGGGCAACATAGTGAGACCCCATCTCTGTGAAAAAGATTTAAAAATTAGCAAGGTGTGGTGGCACTCAACTGTAGTTCCAGCTACGGAAGGCTGAGGCAGGAGAATTGCTTCAGTGCAGGAATTTGAGGCAGCAGTGAACTGTGATCACACACACCTCTGCACCCCAGTGTGAGTGACAGAAAAAAAGAGAGATCCTGTCTCAATTAAAAAAAGAAAGAAAGAAAAAATTAACAGAAAGGGACAAATTAAATAAACACAATAGAAAAAGATCTCATTCGCTAAAGGAACTAAGCAAATACACCTGGAAATAAATCTAACAAAAAATAAATGTTGTAAGACCTTTATGATGAAAAGGGATATTTTTCTGAAGACTATAACAGATAATGTATTCTTGTATAGGACAGTGTAACATGATGATGATAGTATCAACTGTCCCTATGTTATTCAATAGAGTCGGTATAATCTTAGTCAAAAGTTCAACAGGGTTTTTGATACATTTTAGTACAAAGTAGTAAAAAACTTACACATAATGAATGAGGGTAAACAAAGTTTAAATGAGGAAAAATAGTCTCAATAATTGTAATTCAGTTATTATAACTCAACAGAAAAATGGACAAAGAGATTCAATAAACACATGAAAAGAATTCCCTCTCAATAGCAATTAAGAAAACAAAAACTACAAAAAAATATTTGTTCCCCTTTTATGTCAACAATTAAAAAATGTTATATACAGTATTGTTGGGTGTAGGTAAGAAAACCCTCATAAACTATGTGGAGAGAGGCTGTGGTCACAGTGCTAAATGATGCCAAGAATAAAAAAACACATTGATAAGGCCATTTTGGAGGGCAATTTAACTATATATATATATATATGAAAATCAAAAGTATAACTATTCTTCCTTCAACCTAGTAATTCCACTTCTAGAAAAATGCTCACCCCGTATCCAAAGAGATATGCGTTATTGTTGGTAATAGCTTAAAATTGGAAACAAGCCAAATGTCTATTAATAGGAAAGTGGTTAAATAAATTATGGCATCTTCATTATATGGCCTCCTGTGCACTCATCTGAAAAATAAAGTAGGGCTTTATGTGGCAACATAAGGCGCTGGGCTTTCTCCTGAGAGCAATGGGGAACCATTGTAGGGTTTTAAGTGGAGGCACGACATGACCAGACTTGAGTTTTTAAAATATCTCTCTGGATGGATTATGGATTATGGGAAATGGATCAGAGAGACATAAAATAGAGTCAAGAATCCCATTAGGAGGCCATTTATCCAATTGGGCATTAATGGTGACTCCAAGATATGGCAGAGCTGAAACTGCATTTACACAGCCAAAAGATACTTAGGTATGGCAATACATTGTGGTATTTTATTTTGACGTTATTTTGGGCAGCTTTGGCTTACAAATCACTTACCTAGACAAGGATGATAAAATAGGTTTTCTGACTATAAAATCTATTTACTAAATTGGTTAGAATTACAAGTCTATTCATTTTGTTAAATTTGCTTTCCAAATAAAGCTGCTCACCCCTCTTTGTTGAAACAACAAAGCTCATCTAGGTGACCATCCCTCTCTTTTTGCCTTGACTCTCAGGAAGCTCAGAGACAAATTTAGCACTCAATGTAGTGACCTATACTTAGGTTTAGATTATAATTAGCTTCTACTTTTTCTTCCACAGATTTAGCCTTTTATTTTTATTTTCAAAGGCTACATGGTTATGTGTGTCATTTATTGTACACTGATTTCTCCATTTTTAAAAACCAGACAGGTTTAAAATTACTAATAAATAAGTGAATGTTAAAGTTACCATCTTAGCTGCATAGTCTGTTTGATCCCTTGGTGACTTGAAAGGTGTTGTTTGACTTTTATCTCCTAAAGTTGTGAATATTTCATATTGATTTAGCAAAGGTCTTCTAATAAAGAAGGGACCATTTTAACTTCACAGCAGGCTTCATGGTAGTAATCTGCTCCTCAAGATTAATTAAGCATTTGTAACATTACTTTATAACTGTCACTTGTCTGTAAAATTGAAGAGGTAGCATAGCATGGTAGTTTAGAGCTTGGCCTTTGGAGCCAGACTCCAGGGTTTGAACATGGGCTGTGCCCGTCACCTACCAGCTGTGGGACTGTGGGCAAGAGACTTAATGCCTCTGGGTCTCAGGCTCCTCATGAAGAGATCTCTACTGCATGGGGTGTTTTGAGTATTGAACTGGCTAATATTTGTAAATTGCTTACTATAGTTATTTGTTAAGTGATAAAATGGAATGGAGATTTCTTTTCCTGTTGTACATCCTTAGGTGGAACAGATGTTAATTCATTTAAGACTATGTGATAAGAGGAACATTAAAGGTTTAACCCTTGATTCTTATTTTTGTATGCATGTAAGTACAGTTCTAAAAGAAAACATTTTTCTATACATTAATGAATTTAAAATCATAGATTGTTTATGCGTGTTTAATGCTGATTAATTTGGTGTTACTGTTGCAAGGCCAAACAGTGACTCACAAAGAAGTGAACAGACTGGCATTTCAAACAATGCACAGGCAAGACAAGTGAGTCTGCTAAATATGCAGCTCATCTCTTCAATGGTGAAATTTTAGATCTGCTTGGTTTCTTTGGTAAATTATAGTCTAAAGGAGACCAAAATATTGCTTGGAATTTATTTGCGTAGCAAGCCGCCTGCACATGAAGGATAGTACACGTGTGCTAGAATGTGAAATCTTATAAAGCACAAGGCAGCTTAGGCAAAGGGTCTTCCTGTACCCGTAGTCTGAGAATGTCTTCATGGGCTGGATGTTGGTTTTTTTTTTTTTGTTTTTTTTTTTTTTTTGAGACGGAGTCTGACTCTGTCACCCAGGCTGGAGTGCAGTGGCACGATCTTGGCTCAGCGCATCCTCCGCCACCCGGCTTCAAGTGATTCTCTTGCCTCAGCCTCCTGAGTAGCTGGGATTACAGGCGCCTGCCACAGTGCCCAGCTAATTTTTTTTTGTAGTTTTAGTAGAGATGGGGTTTCACCATCTTGGCCAGGCTGGTGTTGAATTCATGACCTCATGATCCACCCGCCTCAGCCTCCCAAAGTGCTGGGATTACAGGCGTGAGCCACTGCGCCTGGCCAGATGTTGGTTTTTAAAAAGCAATCCTCACAGCCCCCTAACTGTTAGATAAGAATTATGATTTTAAAAATCCACAACTCTGCTATTCATTTGAATTATTTACATAAGCAAGGCCTCTCCTTCTCAAATTGGAATCATACTGCAATATGCTTTTTGAGGCTTTTGGGTATTCTCAGTTAATTTAAATAGACTTGAGTAGAATGAAAATTGATCAAATATTGCATTGTTTTTAAAGTTAGGTCTCTTGTTTTTCACTTGAGAGATTTTTTTCCTCCACTTTAATACATTGGCTCATTTCCATTTTTATATTTCTTAGATATCATGATAATTATTGTTTTGATAAATTCCTACTCCCCATCCGCCCTTACACATACACACTTAATTTTGTTAGAGAATGTATCTGTTATCAAATACATTAAGAACTACCTCTGCATTGTAATGATTATGAATTTTTCAGAGATTTGATTTAACTGCCTAATTCTGTTTAGAAGCCTCAGTTTATGAGTTTTTTTCCCACTGTCCTTTCATTAACTACTAAAAATGAATACATTAAGAAAGTAGGTGTTTTAAACAAAACCAGAACACTTGATTTATAAAACAAAAGCTTGATTTAAAGAGTATGATATGTCTTCAACCTGGTTGGGTATTATTTAAAGTTTTCCTCTGATCTTTTTTTTTTTTTTCAGTAGCAAAGAGATATATTATCTCCAAAATGGCTAATGGATCTATCCAAACATTGGTTTTATAAGGAAATTGAAGAATCATTATTTACGAATATATTTGACAATTTTCCAAAAAGATAATGAGAGCAGACACGTGGTGTAAATAGTATGTTTTTGATAAAAATGTTCTCTTAGCCTAGCAACCAAATCAGAATGTTGAACAAACAAAATGAGAAGTAAAATGTTAAAATGCATTCTGTAGTATTTTAGTTAATAATTTTATATATGGTTCTTTAAGCTTTTCCCATTTTATAATTGTCAAAACTAAACAGCTTGTCCAAACAAAAGTTAGAATCTCACTTGAACCCAACCTATCACCCACTGATACTTTCTTTAGTCTATCAACTATGTAATGAAATATGTCATGAAATATTATTATTAAAGGCTAATTCCAGCCAATGTTGCAAGCATAAGGCACAGGAGAAGATGAGAGATGGAGATTTAAGGGGCAATCATATAGTATCCAAGGAAAAAGCCTTATCATGGGGAAAGAGTAAGATGATAGAGAAAAGGAAATAGTCAAGAAATTAACATTTCTGATCATCATTCTAAACTATATGATGGGGGTTACATATTTAAGGATCTTTTATAACATAAAATTCCTGTACAAAGCCAGTACCTGTATTTTCTTTGTAAATCCATTACCATTTATATTGTAATTCTAATGATATTGGAGAAAATATGAATTATGAGTGTGCTGTTAATATGATGTGCCCTGTGTAATTCTGAACTCAAATAGTGAAGAGGAAGCCATGTTTATTTAAAATGTGGGAGCATCATTTTTCTTAACATTTATTTTTAGTGTTAATTTTATCTTGCATATAAGACCTTACTTGGAAAAAAGAGAGGATCACATGGTGAAAGGTGATCTTGTTAAAAGTCATTGCAGAACAGGTTAATTTGATTGAAAATGATCCCCCCACAAAAGTTTCCAAATTATAACTTAGTCTCTTGTACCACATGGACCTTTCTAGTTATAATGGTGATATCAACATCCCAGCAACCTACATTCGTATAGCAATTTTCAGTTTCCTAAGGGATAGCACCTGCTCTCATTTGTTAAATGAACTGGTTATACTTGGTTCTAAGTGAGGATCCAAGAGGACTTACCTAAGCACAGGAGGGCTTGAAGCCGAACTCCAACCTCTGCAGGTTTCATGGTCTTTCTACAGCACTCTGATAGCTCACAGCAGACTACACAGCTTAGGAAATAATTACAGCCTGCCACAATTTTTCTTAATTTTTAACTGAAAAACAAAATCTCAACTCTAAAATTTGATGGACAGTGAGGTTAGTTTGAGAAGTTGAGAAACTCTTATTTTCCATTATCCCTGTTATCTTTTCACCTAGGACACAGCAAGTGACGTGCTCATTGCATGGGCAGAGATTTTCCCACTCCTGGCACTGCTTTTATGCTGTCACCTCTTTTCAGGGTGAGGGAGGGCCACAATAACTTTGCAAAGAAAGTCCCAGGTTTTCAAAGAGAGCAGAGAGTGTGGGGTGGAGGTGGGAGAGAATGAGACCTTAGTAGAAACACTACCTGAAATAGGCATATAAAACAAATTACCCCAAATCAACAACTCATTATCATTACAGGGTTTACTTGTTCGCAGATGTTTCCTTCATTTATCAGTCTAGGGCCTTATTTAACCTCAAGACTAATACTCAACAAAGCCACATGCTAATCATGAGGACACCTATACAGGGGCAAGTAGTTCCTCAAGGGGCATTTATTTCCCTGTATTTTCTAGGAAATGCTATTGGGAGGGTGTATTTTAATAATTAGCATTAAATTTGTTTCATATTTTTGCCTAGTAGCTTTCTCTCAAGCTAAAGAATTTGGAAAGACTTGTTTATTCATTATATATTTGTACAAAAATCAGAAATAAAGTTTTGAGGATTGAATATTTTAAGCTGTTATTACCTTCCTAAAACAGCATTTTTGTTTGCTGCAGTAGTCTTTTTCCACATATACTTCAAGTAATGGAATACTATCACTTTGAATTTTAAAATGTTAAGCAAAACAAAAAAAGAGGCTGGTCCTGGTGGCTCACACTTGTGATCTCAGCACTTTGGTAGGCTGCCTGAGTCCAGGAGTTCAGGACCAGCCTGGGCCATATGGCAAAATACTGTCTCTACAAAACAATACAAAAATTAGCTGGGCGTGGTAGCATGTGCCTGTAGTCCCAGGTACTTGTGAGGCTGAGGTGAGAGGATTGCTCAAGCCCGGGAAGTCGAGGCTGCAGTATGCTGAAATCATGCCACTGCACTCCAGCCTGGGTTACAAAGCGAGACCCTGTCTCAAAAAAAAAGAAAAATCACCAGCTTCACCATTATAAACTATGTGATTCTGGGTAAGACCACCTCAACCCAAAGGGCATTGGTTTCCTGATCTGTTGAATGAGAATAATGTCTACTCACCCTGTAGGGTGTTTGGTGACAAAATAAGGTAAACCATTTCATCACCAGAACAAAAGTAGTGGTATGGTAATGCTTGTGTTCATAGTCATCATGGTGGTTAGTTGAAGAATCAAATTTTCTCCATCTGATGCTTGAACTTTCTTATGAATCCTTCCTACCCACTACCACCTTCATTTAAAACAGTGACTCTGAGACCTTTAAGTTTCTTTTTTTTTTTTTTTGACCTTTAAGTTTCATACCACACTTGCCAGTCCTTGTGATACCAAATAATACGTCAACTGGAATACACCAGCAGGCTTGTTTTAAGTCAGCTATTTACAGCTGCTAGTGTTTTTAGAAGCAAGCAGAAGTTAGCTGTCTGGTCCCAATGGTAATTATCTGATCTTACACTGATTTCTAGAAAGCCTCAGAGGGACACCACCTGAATCAATCAGAAATAGCTAGTAAGGAAATTGAATTAACATTTTGAATTTAAAAACTTTTTTCCAGATACATTTTTTTTTTACTATGTATGAGTCACCCTTAAGGCTACTAATTTTGCTCCATTAATTTTTATTCATCTTGTATGTCTGCTAAAAAAGAAACAGCAATTACATCTTTTCAAAGACCTTTTGTAGTTTTTATCTTCTGTTTGTGATCTGGTAAGAAAAGAACTGTTTATATCTGAGTTTCATTTTCCCCAAATCTCTGCATTAGTTTGAATGTATCTCTAAAGCTTATGTGTTAGAAACTTGTCTTAGTCTTTTTTTTCTGCTGCTATAACAGAATACCACAGACTGGGTAATTTATAAAGAAAATAAATTTATTTCTCACAGTTCTAGAGGCCGTGAAGTCCAAGAGCCTGGCAGCAGCATCTGACCAGGCCCTTACTGCTGGCAGAGAGATCATGTGGTGAAGAGCACAGGAGACAGAGACAGACACAGACAGAAAGAATGCATGCATGTGCAAGAGGGTAGGAGTAAGAGAGAGCTGAGAAAGCCACACTCACCTTTATAAAAACCCACTGTCGAGATAGCTAACCAACTCCGGAGATAGCAACTTTAATCCTTCACAGGGTGGAGCCTAAGCTTATGACCGAATCACCACTTAAAGATTCTACATCTCAACACTCTTACAATGGCACTTAAATTTCAGCATGAGTTTTGGAGGAGACATTTAGACCATACCAAAATTTGATTCCCAATGTGGTTATATTGGGTGTTGGGACCTTCAAGAGGTTATTAGGCCATGAGGGCCCCCATGAGTGAATTAATGTTGTTATCATGGGAGTGGTTTCTTATAAAAAGACAAGTTCAACCCACTCTTGCTGTCCTCCCTCTATTGCCTTCTCTTTGCCCTTCTACCTTCTGCCATTGGATGATGCAGCAAGAAGGCCCTCACGAGGCACTGGCACCTTGATCTTTGACTTCCTGGCCTTTAGAACCATGAGAAAATAAATACATTTTCTTTATAAATTATCCAGTCTCAGGTATTCTGTTATAGCAGCACAAAACAGACTAAGGCAGAGATCTAATCACAAATTTTACATGTTGATGTTAAAGATAGTTTTCTTAGTCAGTATTTTGATATTAACAGGTCTGTATTTTATATGTTGTAACCTACTACAAAGCAGAGAACTTTTATATGGCCATTTTGAGAAAATATTTTAATTATTTCTCTTCCTTCTCTACTGGTAAGTGAATGGTAATAATGAAAATTTCTCTTTCATTTGCCATTTCTTTCTGCTTTACTGTACTGATAGACTACCTGTTATTAATGGTCATTACAGTACCTCTTATTTTCTCTTAAAGAACTTGTTTTATGTTTTCTTCAAGACACGTAATAAGTAGCAAAGAGATGGTCCAGCATTGTTTACTGCAGAAAACAGTGCACTAGGAAGTTTGGCACCTAAGACCTATATCTAACTTACACAGTATCCTGAACCAAGGTACTTAAATTCTCTGTGCTTCTGTAAGTTGGCAACCACAAAAGTCTATGTGAAAGTGAAAAATAAGAAACTAGATGAAATAAGATTATTATAGCTGCTCTTTGTTATGAAGATGATAACAAAAAATACAGCTATTCTAAGGCCTTCAGAATAAATTATAGAATTAAATTTTTGAGAAAAATGCCATTGATTTATTTCAGTTTAGCAATTTTTCAAAAGGTTTCAGTGCTTGACAGTATAACTGTAAGAATATCACTATTTATTAAAAGAGCTGCTTCATTCATTTACATTTATTGAGAACCTATTGTGAGTCAGGCATTTAGGTGCTAGGGATAAAGTTACAAATGAACAAAATCTCTACTCGTGGAATTTAGAATCTTGTGAGCATTCTTCTAGGTTATTTCCCTTAAAATTTAAGGTAACTAGTTTGCTGAAATTAAAAGGAGTATTTTACCCTGCTGTAGTGCTATATGTGTGTATGGTTCTTAAACTTCACGCTGTCCTGTGTACTGTTTAGTAACAGAATTGTTTATTATTATGATTCTGGTATGTTAATGAAGGGGTACTCATTTGCAAATAACTGTTTAATCTGTGATTAAAATCTGGCAGCTCTCTTAAAAATAAAGAACAGTTAAAATGCATAGTCACTGTCCTGCTGTATTGAATATGCAATTGAAAAACATTAAGAAAGGCATATCCTATTTATCACTTTTAATGAATCTTTCACCCTGGTCCCACTGTAAGCCCTTGATGGTATTCCTGTCATCCCATCCATATGCTCCTAAAAGCATTAACTATTCTTGGCTCTGTGCATGCCTTAGTATAAAATCAAAATCTCTAGGTTTTGATCACATATAAGCAAGCTTAAAAAAATCATTATCATTACCATATCCTCATTAAGATGATGGGCCCCTGACCATCTCTTCATGTTTGCCTTGCAATCTAAAATTCATGTATGCAAAGGGAATTTTTCTTATCCTTTTGAAAGAAGAATGATAAATATTTATACAGCCTTAACTCTTTCAAGCAGGCATAGGATCATGTTTTAGAAATGACAGTAAGCTGCTCTAGGTTTTTTTTTTTTTTCCAGCATAATTCGTCTTTCCAATAGCTACTGAAAAAAATGAATTGCAGATTTATCAATATTGGAGAATTTTCCTGCTCTCTTCCCATTAAATATGTTTAGTCTTACATTTCTGCAACCCTTTTGAGCCATGGCTTCGAAAAGGGAGCAAAGAGGTCCCTCTGCTTTTCAGACAGGGTTCCTCCAGAGGGCTGGCAGTACGCCCACCAGGAGTGCTGACCTGTGCTCAAGCCCAGGATCCTAATTCCTCCGGCACCTTTTTGCTTTTTTAGCATATTTAACAATAATCTAGACTCTAAGTAACTAGTCACATATCCGTACAGTGTTGCTTTCTAAAAGTTACTCCTCTCTGAAGCAGCAATTAGAGCTCCAAGACAGTTTTCTACTTGAAATTAAAATTCCCTCATGACTACTTGAATAAAGACGTCCAGTAGTAATGTTGAAGTTATGAATGTGTTTCAGCTCACAGAGCTGTCTTCTTATAATAAATGGAAGATGTGTGTGAAGTTGGAATTTAGTTAAATATAGACCATCCTGGAGATAGTAGAAGTGCTGCGGGTTATGTTACCAACAATAATCTAACTTGTCCTGCACCTGCTGTTGGACCTCCTCCATATTATTACTTCTGCCACTGACTCCCAAAAGCCAGGTTATTAATCTGAAGACAACTCAAGACCCAAGCCACATCATTACTGTTGTAAACCAGAAATAAAATTCTAAGCCCCCCAACCAACTGAATGCACCCCTCCTCTTGGCCGGGGGCATTCAAAGTTAACCTGAAAAACTGATACTTTAGGCCATGAGAGGAAGCAGGGACTGGGGGTTGGAGGGGTAGGTTGGACATGCCTCATTATGCTCTCCTCTGTTTGGAATTCAGGTACAACTGACCAGCAGTAACATTAAAACAGAGAACTTAAGACTGACAAAACAGACTTTTTGTAACAATAAGATACCAGATTCCAACCTGATTCTGGTATAGCATCACATGACAGATAACAGGCCCTAAAAAAATGAAAATATTTTACCCCGAAATACATTTCTTTGACCTTTTTTTTTTTTTTTTGAGGTGGAGTCTCGCTCTGTGTCCCAGGCTGGAGTGCAATGGCACGACCTCGGCTTACTGCAATCTCTACCTCCCAGGTTCAAGCGATTCTCCTGCCTCAGCCTCCTGAGTAGCTGGGATTGTAGACACCCACCACCATGCCCGGCTAATTTTTGTATTTTTAGTAGACATGGGGTTTCACCATGTTGGCCAGGCTGGTCTCTAACTCCTGGCCTCAAGTGATCAACCCACCTCGGCCTGCCCAAAGTGCTGGGATTACAGGCGTGAGCCACCACGCAGAAACCAGCTCTTACATGCTGAGTAGTTCACCACACAGAGAAAGGCCTTTTAGAATTCAAGTGATCTTCTAAGGTTTATTTTAACTGTATACTATCATGTGCAAAGTATCATAGCATTAAAATATCTCACCTTAGGCCTCCAGCCAATGCTTTTATTTAATTAATTAATTTATTTATTTGAGACAGGGTCTCACTCTGTTCCCAGGCTGGAGTACAGTGGCACATTCATAGCTCACTGGTGCCTTGACCTCCTGGGCACAAGCAATCCTCCCACCTCAGCCTCTGGAGTAGCTATAGCTAGGACTACAGGTGTGCACTACCACGTGCAGCTAATTTTTTTTTTTTTTTTTTTTTTCTGTAGAGATGGGGTTTCACCATGTTGCCCAGGCTGGTCTCAAACTCCTGGGCTCAAGTGATCTACCCACCTCAACCTCCCAAAGTGCTAGGATTACAGGGTGAGCCACAGTACCCAGCCTAAGATTTGAATATTCTCAAGGTCTCTTAGTTCCTACAATGCAGTAATTTTGTAGCAGTTTGAAAATCCAGACATACTATATAGGTTTTCCCAGCTACTCCTTGAGTTGGCTTTGTTTCTGCTATTTAGTCTCAGGAACTGTTGCAGTGGTTCCTATCTACATCTGTGATAAACAGCTTTTCCTAGAACAACTTGCAGACATGGCAATGTTCAGGTTTAAGTAGACGATGTACTATTGTGTTTGGCAGGAGAGGCCATTAAAAAAAAAAAAAGCAGCCCTCATACTAAATTTCTTTTGAAAGGTGTTACTGATCAAAAAATATAGCTCAGAATTGAAAATTGTTTGGACTAAATAACTGTGTCCTTTCTCTCACCTTCCCATTCAATCCTTCCACCTAAGTAGATTGATATGAAAAAGTACATAGGATTGCTTAAAGCTTTTATCTTTGTTAGTAATCACCCTGGAAGAATTTTTAAATTATTGATTTAAGTAGAATCTTTTATTCTTGGTTTAAATGTATACAAAAACTACCTACATGCTCACCTACAATCTCGATTTTCTTTGAAATTCATCTATTTTCTCACTTGTCTACATCAAGGGGAAATAGGGAGCGAGGATAGGTCTGAACCAAAGTACTCCCACTTAAATGGCATGATGTGTCTACGTATCTATGTGTGTGTGCGTGCCTGTGTGTGCACATAGCAAATTACTGGTTGCAATAAAATTTGTTAGAATTTCAATTTGGCTTCATTAAGTCTGAGACAGTGAAGTAATACTAAGGGAGAAATAGAATAGGTGAAGAGAAATAAATACTAGATCAATTTTCTTTCAAGAAAGACGTTTTAGAAGAAGTAGTATTCATTTTTTAGGTCATCATTGACATTTCTCAATATTATATTCCTATAAACTGCATATCAGGACTTGTATGTGCTTGAGGAAGCTACATTTTCACAGCAGGAGAGGAAATCAGAATAAAGCATTGAGATGCAGGTGCACAGTAATACAAGTGGGCTCTTTCCCCTGCAGCCTGAATGCCTGGCCAATAATGCAGAAGCTCTTGGAGCCGGGCTCTCAGGGTCTCCCGGAGCTAAGCCAAGAAGTATGGGGGTGGGGCAGGGGGGGTCAGGAGAGAATAATTGTTATTCAGTCTTCTTTAATGAGATGTATTGCCCACTGCTGAAAGATTGTGGCAGTGCCTTTTGTTATGCTAATTAGACACCATTAGAGCTTGGCTCTCTTTGATTTCTGCTTAATCTTTTCTGCTTCCTCAGCCTCAATCCTGACTGGCAAATGGTTGAAAGATGGTGGGGTGTACTGCACGTGTTATTTATTGCTCACATCTATGCTGAGTTCTTTGGGGAATGGGGGGGAATGTAAGATTTATCTTACCAAAGGCAGTTCCTATTTTGGACGTTCATTTTTGGCTTATTTTTAAAAAATGAATTTTTTGATAATGATTACTTTCTGCCTTTTAAGTCCAAATGCCACTGTTTTTTATATGGTTGCTTTTGCAGCCACACTGAATGGAAAATGACAGATTGGAAAATGTAGATGGCCTCTCCTTGGTTGCCTGATTTTCCCTAAAAACAGTGAGCAAGCTGATCATGCCATAAGGTTTTAGAGATGCTGTGGTCAACCAGAAAAATGGAAGCAAGAATAATTTAATGGTCAAAAAGAGCAATTTTGCTATTCAAAATTCCTGCCTTTACAGTTTATAGACATGTGTATACATTCCTTCCTAAAACTAAAACATTACATTTACATGATTACCACAGTTAAGAGTGTGGTGAGGTTTTTTTTTTAATTTTTTTGAAAAATGACTAATATCCTTTCTAAAACAGTGAAATGGTAGATTTCCGTTAAATTTTTAAAAACAACATCATAATGTTTTAGAGCAGCCCTCTCCAATAAAAATATGGTATCAACCACAGATGTTACTTCACATTTTTTGATAGCCGCATTAACAGAGTAAAAAGAAACAGGTGAAATTTGTTTGAATAATATATTTTATTTACTCCAGTATATCAAAACTATTATCATTTCAGCCTGTATTCAGTATAGAAATTAATGAGATGTCTTACATTCTTTTATTCATGTGAAATTTTTGAAATCCGGTGTGTACTTTGCACTGGTGTATGTTTGATAACACATCTCAATTGAGATTCGCCACATTTTAAGTGCCCAGTGGCCACATATGGCTAGGACTACTGTATACATGGTGCAGTTTTAAAGTAATTGGGTAATTCACCACTTGCCTAAAACAACTGGCAGGATAGAATCCATTTTTAACATTATAGATTAAATATTATGAGGTATGTGACCTTGACCAAGTCACTTAATCTCTAAGGGACCTGTATTCTCATCTGTAATATGAAGAGTTTGTCCTAAATGATCTCTGAAGTCCTCTCTTCTATCCAATCCAGCTCTGAATTCATGATTTTAAAAATTCTCATTTAGAAGTTGGGTAGGCTGGAGCTTATCCATCCTTTCTCATAATTTAGTATTTGAAAAGAAGCTTTCTTATGCCATAAAGATAATTAGAAAGCGTCCTGCATACCACACCCACACCTTTTTTTCTTCCAAATGTCTGAATCTTTCTTGGAATTATTCTGAGTTTTATACCATTGGTAATGCCTGGTGGTGTAGCTCACTGAGTTGCCTGACTCCCCATGCTTTTGGAATGAGGACTTGGAGCAATGAAGGTGTGAGGGAAGTTGGCAAGTAGTTACTGCAGATTACTAGATTACATAAACAATCTCTCTCTCCAATGCTTTTGCTTTTGCTTTTCTCTTTTTTTAAATTTGGCTTACTTTTTGTGTCGTCAGTGAAACAAAACTTCTACAAGCACCTTCCAAGAAAGTGACCTATTAAATGTTATCACTGGTCACTTATGTACCTTTTGGGGATGGGGAATGTATGAAAAAAATTTTTTCCCAGAAGCACAGCCCAGTTTCATACATATTTTTGCCCATTTGTGAAAAAAAAGGACATTTCCTTATTTTAGTGTTTATTCGTTGAAAATTAAGTGAAACTTTTTTCACATATGTGCTGTATGTAGATAATTTAGATTTTTGGTTTTGAATTGCTTTTTTAGCAGTTTGTTTTTCTGTTGGGAACATTTATTGTTTTCTTACTGTTTTGTAAAGGCTCTTCATATTATATAACCTATAACATGTCATTAGTATATATGTCATACTTGCAATTTTTTTCTATTTGCTTTTTGACTTTGTTTATGACAATCTTAATATACTTTTTTTAATCAGTAGTTAAAAACTTCTCATTTATGGCAACATAGCATTATGTTAAAAATGTTTCATCAACACGTTACATGTCTAATAATTTATATTTCCTCCAAGTATTTTGTGGCTTCTTCTTTTTCATCTTTTCAACTGACAAATAAAATTGTATCTATTTAAGATGCACAACCTACTTTTATGAGTAGGTCCCTTTCTGAGAATCTGCTCTCAAAGAAGACTGGCCTAGACTTGCCAAGTAATGGCTGAGAGAGACCAGTGGGAATAGATCAAGAGGGTGGAAGTGAACGGAAATTCTGTTCAATTTTTAGGTTTGCGCTTTTCATAAAAAAGTTCTACACTTATATCCAGTGTTGGCTCCATGGGCCCTTTCCATGAATCAGATCTCATGGATAGATCTTACTGGCAGTATCTGGCCATAGAACTTCAGTTTTCAATATTGAGCACTTTCCCAGGCTGCCTGGGCATGACAGAGCTTGCCCAGTGTGGGGAAAAACAGACCTGATGTACTTTGTGCCGGCTCTGTGATAGGAGGGTCAACTTGTTTGGGTTTGTTGAGAGGGTAGATTTCATGTTATATGTTCTTACCACAATTTTTTTTTTTAATTCCACAAAAAGCTTTATAGGCAATACCTTTGAATGCTCTAGAATACTCAGAATGTACAGGCAGGTGGTTAAAATGCAGCTGCTTTTTGAACTGGCAGTTTAGGTAGCACTAGATTTGGATCCCTGACGCCAGGCAGGAAGGCATCAGTGTGGCATTTCCTGTGTAACTATTTGCTCTTACTATTGGCTCTCGATCAGCAGATGAAAATAGCTTTGTTACTAAGAATGGGATTTTGCCCCCAGCTGGGAAGAGACTACCTCGGATTGTCTTCCTCTTACTGGGGTAGACACGGCTAGAAGAAAACCAACCAGCGTGAAGAAAAGCACAAGGAGATTCTTGTTAGAAGAAACTTCATGGTCTGATTCAGTAGAACTGCCTCGGGCCTGGTCTTTGTATCTTGTATCACTGCACAAAGAAGGGAAGAATAACTTTTGAAAAGCCAAATTGTTTTACAATTTTTCTTTCTACTTAGGTTATTTCTGAAATGCAAAGAAAGAAGAAATAAAGCTACTAAGATACTCATGGCAATTAATAGATAAGCATATATACTTAAAAATATGGCTACTCCACTTCAAAGGAACATTCTTCCCCTTTTGAGTACATTTATATCTATTAATAAGTGTATCTAAAGAATTTTTTTTCCACAGAGGACAATGTTTTCAAATAATCTAATGAATGCCTTTTTTTGTCATTGTTTAAGAATCAGTTAACCAGTCTAGCGCTTTGAGAATAAACTGTCCAACATCTTCTCTTAAGAACCCTTAAGTAGACCAACAAATTGATGGCTAGCATTTTGAATACGATGGACTTAAAGGCTCATTACTTGTTTTCTATGCTATCATCATTTTTGACACACATTCTTGTGTCATGGCCCTATTTCATTATAGAATGGCATTGTGGAGTAAGGATGATATTAAATTTTAATGTTATTGCTATTATTACTGTTGACCGTTTTTAGCATAAGTATGCCTGGTTCTTTAATTCCAGCTTCTGCAGGGCCAGAAAATAGAAGTGAGCATAAACAGTCAGGAAAATTACTGTATACCCAGGAGACCCAGCATCGCGTGCTCTGCCTGTTGTGAATGAGGAATCAAAATGGAAAGGTTATCATTTTCATTAGCTAGGAAAGAACAAGACCATACTTTTCTCCAAGTGTAATTACAGCGGTTCACTGGCAACATTACACTGCAGTAATTAGTCTAAAGGTGTATGTGAGGGCAGGCTTTTGCACAGACACTAGAAATATTATTTCAGAGTTGAAGGTCACAGCCTTGTATTTAACATGTTCCAGGCAGCTTAGGGGGGAAAAAAAAAAACTAATTTGACTGGAGCTAAAGAAAGACATTTGACATTTCCCAGAGTCATACATTCAGAAACCAGTCAGGTCGAAAAATTGTATTTTATTTTCTACAATAAAAGGCAAAACTTAGCTGCAGAAATAGCATGTCAGAATATTCTGTAGGATAAGCACAGATAAAATTCAAGTTTATTAGAACCATGATGTAAATGATTACAGGAACTTTTGATATGTGTGGGGTTTTTTTTGTTTTTTTTTTTGAGACGGAGTCTCATTCTTGTCGCCCAGGCTGGAGTGCAATGGCGTGATCTCAGCTCACTGCACCATCTGCCTCCCAGGTTCAAGCGATTCTCCTGCCTCAGCCTCCCGAGTAGCTGGGATTACAGGCATCTGCCACCGCACCTGGCTAATTTTTGTATTTTTGTAGAGATGGAGTTTCATCATGTTGGCTAAGCTGGTCTTGAACTCCTGACCTCAGGTGATCCACCCGCCTCGGCCTCCCAAAGTTCTGGGATTACAGGCGTGAGCCGCTGCGCCCGGGCTGATATGTGTTTTAATCTTTGCCTTAGGAAGAGAATGGACAGAAAAAATAATTGTCAGCAGCTCTTAAAGGGAAACAAAATAGTTTCTTTCTTCCTTAACACCATTTTCAAGAAACAAATGTCTATCTTACACAGGTCCATATATCTACGTCCTTTGTGAATTTTTTGTTACTCTATTTAAATAGTAATATTGAAATCTTTTTGTAACTCAGCATCTCAGAATAGAAATTGATTGACATTATTTTCCAAAGCCACGTCAGGCTTTCTGTTTAAGTAAAGTGAAAGTAAGAAGAAAAAAAAGTTATAAAGAGAAGAGCAACTTTACATACAGTTTATGTTTAAAGCCATATATGAGTTTAAGAGAAACCTTTTGCTTTTTCTAGTCCAAAGAATACTTTTGCAAGCAACATTTCTTACTGAGTTAAAAGTATTAGCCCAAATACCCTGATGTCTTTGTTTAATTTGAGTAATGTCTGCGTTTCTTCACACAATTCTGTTTCTCTCTTTATATCCTTATATAGCCTTGTAGAATATTGTTTGTTTCAGGGCAAATGATGACTTAGAGTGTACTTGAGGACCATTCATTCAGCAACCAAATTCTGTTGGAAACCACTGCTTTTTAAATGCAAGTGTGTGTTTTATCTGCACTCTCTGGCCATATGGTTAGAACTGATGTTTTTCACAACTTCAGGCACTTGGGAAATTTAAGCATAGATGTGACACAAATGACACAGCTAGCTGATTATGTAACTTACTGAAAAATCTACCCCAAAATTGAATTTAAAAACATTGCTATTTGTTTGTCACAGACGTTTCTCTGCTCAAGGAAAAGTCATACACTGCAGAATTAGATCCGTGATGTTGTAAGTTTTCCACAGCTAGCAATTAAATAGGAAGCATTGAGTAGTGGGAAGAGTTCAAAGACTTCCCTTTCTTCTGCCACTGCCACTGCCACTGAGCAAATCACCCATCTTGCCAGACCTTAGTTCTCTCCCTGTGAAATCAGAGAGATTGCTAAGCTCCCTCCAACATCTTACTTTCTTTGTCTGTCTAGGGGAATACTGCTTTTATTTTCTGCCTTTGTGGTTTTCATTAAAAAAAAAAAAAAAAGTATAAGAGCTTTTCTCATATCTTTTCAACAAGGCCTAGAAAATTGTAGCACACTCATTCTTTCACAGCTGGGGGCCGTGTTTCCCAGCAGCCCTGAGAGGTCAGCAGTAATGCAGGGTCTTGTAGAGACGTTTCCTGCGCCTTCCTTCACTTTAGTGACCGAGTCAGAGAAAGCAAGGGATAGTTTTACAGGAATATTTTTATAATTCATTTTTCTTTTTTTTTTTTTTTTTTTTTTTTTTTTTTTTTTTTTTTTGAGACGGAGTCTCGCTCTGTCGCCCAGGCCGGACTGCGGACTGCAGTGGCGCAATCTCGGCTCACTGCAAGCTCCGCTTCCCGGGTTCACGCCATTCTCCTGCCTCAGCCTCCCGAGTAGCTGGGACTACAGGCGCCCACCACCGCGCCCGGCTAATTTTTTGTATTTTTAGTAGAGACGGGGTTTCACCTTGTTAGCCAGGATGGTCTCGATCTCCTGACCTCATGATCCACCCGCCTCGGCCTCCCAAAGTGCTGGGATTACAGGCGTGAGCCACCGCGCCCGGCCATAATTCATTTTTCATAAAATATCTTTAAATAACGTTAAAATGATGAAATGAAGTTCTGTACATCCTAGGAAAAAATTACTTTCTCTACTTACATTTGATGAATAAATTGTAAAGTATGCCTAGCTTGTTAAAGCAGGTGCCAGAACCAACAGCCACTTTCAAAAGTCCATAGAACTGAATTCAGTAAAGGAATAAGCTCTGAAGGTAAGAATTGTCCCTTACTTCAGAGAGCTACAATCAAGTTACTACAATCAGTTACTTTCCTGACAGATCTCTTAAAAGGCAAAGCTTTGTAAATGGAAACTGAGTTTCCCTTGGAAATACTATAGCATTTGTATTCTCAACAGAAGCTTTTAACCTCTAGCATGTTACAGAAATTAAATAAACATCATTTTATTTAACCAGCCATAAACTATATGCCTATAAACAAATCAGAAGGAAAAGGACATCTTTCTTAGGATTACAAGAAAATACTTTGTTGAGAGTTCCTTTTTTTTTTTTTTTTTTTTTAGAGATAGGATCTTTCTCTGTCTCCCAGGCTAGAATGCAGCTGTGCAATCATAGCTCACTGCAACCTTGAACTCTTGGACTCTCAAGCAATCCTCCTGCCTTAGTGTTCCAAGTAGCTGGGACTACAGGTGTGCGCCACCACACCCTGCTAATTTTTTTTATTTTTTTGTAGAAACGAGGTCTTGCTATGTGGCCCAGGCTAGTCTCTAACTCCTGTCCTCACATGATTCTCCCACCTTGGCCTCCCCGAATGCTGGGATTACAGGTGTGAACCACCACCACACCCAGCCAAGCTTTGTTGAGATTTTGGCAGGCTTCTTTAAGGAAACTTCAAGACACTCAATAGCCTCTTGAGACACCTTGTAATTGTTTCCTGGCAGGTACTGTATTGAAAATCAAGTTGTTGGTTTAAGTACACCAAGAAGGTAGCTGTAATTTGCAGAGGGCTGTAAGCATACATTTACTGTTTAAAAAGAGAGAGAGAGAGAGAGAACAAGAGAGAGACAGGCTTGATTAGAGTACATAATTTCCTTCAGCTAATTCCTATGAAACCTTTGGATGTGCTGATCCGCAGCCTACAGATCTACCTTCAACAATGACTTAAACTTCACAATTGAAAGATCTTTAAATATTGTAATCCACCTCCCCTTCAACAGCCCTACTCTCTTCTCCCTACTTCCGTCCCACTTCTACCAACCTCTCATTTTTAGATGAGGAAAGTGAAGGCCCAAAACATAGTCAGGTCTCTTTCATCTCAAAAATAATCTCACTCAGACCCTGTGTCTTTGTCCCCTACTGACCAATCCATATATGTGGCATCTGTTGATTTCAAAGAACCCTCTTCAGACTTTTTTCCCTTGGGTTCTGCTAGAACTGTGTGCTTCTGCTTCTGACCTTTCATTGTCCATCCATCACTTTCCCCTTTCTTCCTATCCTTGAATGTTACAATTCTCTTGACGCCACCCACCAGACCATTCTTTGGACTTAGAATTTCAGTTGTATCTTAAACATTTCTGCTGAACAATTACATTGTGCTCTGTCTTAGTTCATTTTCTGTTGCTATAACAAAATACCCAAGACTGGATAATTTATAAGGAAAAGAAGTTTATTTGGCTCATGATTCTGGAGGCTGAGAAGTCCAAGATCAGGCAACCCATTTAGTGAGGGCTTCAACTCAGCAGAAAGCAGAAGGGCTTTCAAAGAGACCACACACGAAAGGCAGCCTCACATTATAACACCAGGCTCTCATGTGAACTTACCCATTCCCTCAAGAACTAACTCAGTCCCTGGAGAAAGACATTAACTGATCCTAATGACCTAATCACATCTTAAGGACACTGCCTCCCAACACTGTTACATTGTCAATTAAATTTCAACATGAGTTTTGTCAGGGACAAACCATAGCAGGCTGCCAGTCACACATTTTATGAGAACCATGGTTTTCAACCTCTTCCTTACTTGCAGGATTTTGTCCATTTTTCACAGTGATGTAACCTTTTCCTGTTGGTAGTTTCAGCTGTTAGGCAAGGATCTGTCAGTGACGGTGAGGCAGCCATAGAAGTTTGCTTCTCAGATGAGTGTAGAGTCTCTTTAAGACAAATTCTGATCCCTTCTAGTGGACTACCTCTGCCATTAGCATAATAGATAACTGAGTGGTGTGGTCTTAGAGTCCTGAAGATATCTGTAGCCTTGCCACTTTTCTGCAGATGCCCTGCCTTAGTTCTATGACTAGAACTTCCTTACTCAGATAGCAGAGGCACTGTTTGGATATGGCAAGCCAGGATGATTACTCTCAATTTTGTTATGTGAGGGTCTTTAACCACACACGGCTACCATATGGGGTGGGAGAGACAGCATCTAGAAAGTGTAGGGGAAGTGGCTCATTTTAAAAAGAAATTTGAGGCTTGTATATGTTTCCTTAGCCCACAAGTTCCTTTGCAACCAAGGTGAAGTTGCATCTTCCAGAATGTCATCTGAACTCATTCTTCCATAACTTCAGTGTTGACTTTAATATTATTTGGAATAGTTGTTTCTCTTAAAGGTTGTATTTGATTTTCACTTCAGTGTGACTTCATTCATTAAAAAATATTGAGGGAAGCATTTATTATTTTTTGTTTGTTCATTTGTTGAGATAGGTTCTCACTCTGTTGCCCAGACTGGAGTGCAGTGGCATGATCAAAGCTTACTGCAGCCTCCAACTCCCGGGCTCAAGCAAGTTTTATATATTTATAATATATATGTATGCATATATTTATTTTAAGCAGTGGGGACGGATTGCAGCAGCTTTTGATCAAAGCCCTAGCCTTCCTAGGCTCAGTTTTTTTCCGTATGCTCTGGAGATTTTGTTTAGAGACAGAGTCTCACTCTGTCACCCAGGCTGGAGTGCAGGGGTGCAATCTCATCTCACTGCAACATCTGCCTCCCAGGTTCAAGCAATCCTCCCACCTCAGTCTCCCAAGTAGCTGGGACTACAGGCACATGTCACCATGCCTGGCTAACTTTTGTATTTTTAGTAGAAACAGGGTTTCACCACGTTGGCCAGGCTGGTCTCGAACTCCTGGCCTCAAGTGATCCACCCGCCCTGGCCTCCCAAGGTGCTGGGATTACAGGCATGAGCCATCGTGCCTGGCCTCTGGAGATGTTTTTTTTATTTATTTATTTATTTATTTATTTATTTATTTATTTATTTATTTATTTGAGACAGGGTCTTATTCAGTCACCAATGCTGGAATGCAGTAGAATGATCACAACTCACTGCACCCTCAATCTGCCAGGCCCAAGCAATCCTTCCACTTCAGCCTCTCGTGTAGCTGGGACTATAGGCACACACCACCACACTCGGCTAATTTCTGTATTTTTTATAGAGACGGGGTTTTGCCATGTTACCCAGGCGGTCTCAAACTCCTGGACTCAAGTGATCTGCCCACCTCTGCCTCCCAAAGTGCTGGGATTACAGGCATGAGCCACCGGGCCCGGCCACTCTGGAGATTTTTAAGGGCCTTGCCAATGAGACTGGGGACACAAATAGGATGACTCCTCAGTTGAGGACACAAATAGGATGACTGAAAAGGTGTTTGCCACTATGAATTAGTGCACATTGCGGTTCTCCTGAGTCTCTTTGGCAAATAATAGTTAAATACTCACCTACAAATAGTTCTCTTATGGTTGATTAAAAGCCCAGCTTTCTACTATATAAACATAGCAAGTCTTTTTAACTCTGTATATATTACTGTCATTGTTATCATCTCCAGATGAAATAGAGCAGCCCAAACATGATGGGCCTTACTCTCCACGTTGATTCTAAGAAGAAGAAAGAAGCAGCATAGTTTTCAGTGGCTCTACAATTTCACATTGTTGTTAATTTCCTGAAAACTTGATGTTAAATGAAGTGTAATTGCAGATTTCCTTAAGAACCATTGACAGATACTTATCCTAAGTCATAAGCAACTCACACTGTGAAATGTGTGCAAACATTCTAAGTTTTCTTCTAGAAGAATATACTTCAGTGATACCCAATATTCACCAGCCCTTTTTGATAAACAGAGCCATTGAAGCTCAACATGGAAGTTGGGGGAAATTTCTTTTTTTACACTTGATTTTTTTAAGGGGATTAATGTTGCCAGAACTTCCATTGTTTTTCAGACAGTGAAAAGAGTCTTTAGTAAGTGTCATCTCAGAGACCTTACAACTTTTGGCTAAGAGGGCTATATTTTGAATGAGATAGTAAACTAGATAGTAAATTATGGTGTATTTAGGTACTGGCATTGTATGATAGAGAGGGGAGTTTGATTTGTTTTTTAATTGTTAGGTGGTCTATTTAGTGCAGCTGTGTTTATGTTTCCTTCATGGTAACCGCCTGAACATGGTGACAAGTCCCTACAAATGAGAATAGGAATTTTAAAAAATTATCTTGCCAGTGGGCTTTAATTTGGGGGGGTCATAATTATTAAGTAGCATTGGTAAAAATAATCCCCGGCACAGTCATTCAGTACAGTTGTTTTGCTGTATCAGACATTTTGACAACCTTGTAAAAAGAGTAACTGAGTCCAGGCATGGTGGCTCATGCCTGAAATCCCAGCACTTTGGGATGCCGAGGCAGGCGGATCACCTGAGGTCAGGAGTTCGAGACCAGCCTGGCCAACATGGCAAAACCCCGTCTCTACTAAAAATATAAAAATTAGCCGGGCATAGTGGCGCATGCCTGTAATCCCAGCTACTCGGGAGGCTGAGGCAGAAGAATCGTTTGAACCCGGGAGGCGGAATTTGCAGTGAGCCAAGATCATGCCACTGAACTCTAGCCTGGGTGACAGAGTGAGACTCTGTCTCAAAAAAAAAAAATAATAATAATAATAATACTTGATACCTTAAGTGCTGCATTTCACAGTAGAATAAACTTGGAAATTATAGAATTTCCTTAGAATAGTCACACTTCTTTACCCATTGTTTTGGCTGATTTACTTCTTTGCTATTAAAAATGGGTGCCTAGATCATAATGTACATCAATTCTGTGGAAAATTAGCAATTCCATGTTTTTGCTGTCTTTCTCTTTAAAAAATAATAAATGAACATGGGGTCATGACTGCAGCAAAGAGACAGTTGCCTGTGACAGAGAAAATGTATATAATAAGTAAATAGCTCTGTGAATTACTCAGTACTTTCAGAATTGTATGTAAGATATGAAATGTGGAGGTGCAAGGTCCTAATGACTAGTTTTCCGAGGCATTTTCTTTAGTGTTACATCCCTCATAACTCAAATGAATGTTTATTACTATTCTTTCATATTGCCAAAATATTTTCATGAATTTGGATTAGAAGCAGCTTGTTCTGGCTTGTTTTGCAACTTTGTTTCAGGAAACAAAGTGATATTTAGAAGATTTTTGTATGTCATAGAAGCTTTAATTATCTTACTTATGTTGAAGGAGATCAAATTCTGTTTCAGAGTTATGTAAGAAAATAAGAGTTTATACTATGCTAATTTTATGTTGCCAGATAATTAATGTCTTTCAAAAAATTTGAATCCGTGATTTGAACAGGGTTCGCTGTTAAATAACCAGCAATGTAGAGTCTACTTTAAATTCAAGAAGACGCTACTTGGTCCAGACCTACCTGGGCTAGCCTTTATTTTTATTTTTGGATTCACAGGTGTTTACCCTTATCTTTCCTTTCTTTCCCTCCCCTTCTCTCCACAGATTGGTGAAAGACAACAAGTGTTAGTAACAGAAGAATCTTTTGATTCCAAGTTTTATGTTGCACACAATCAATTCTATGAGCAGGTAAGAGGCACTTCAGTATTCTTGAGTTTTCTCCAAAGTGAGAAAGAGTTCTGAAAGTTTAAGCAAAGGGCATTTAAAGGGGAGAGTGTTGAATCTTGTCACAACAAGGCTGTTTTATCGCTTCAAGCCAGCCAGGCTAACATGGACTTTATCTTTGTGACTTACTCTACAATATGTTCTGTACAAAGGAATAGGTGTATTTAGTCTATTTTAGTTCACATTAATCTTTGACAGGACCAGCTTTAGGCTTTTGGGCGTTTGGAACCAGGCAATTAGCACTGCCAGAATTCCCACACCCTGGCAAAGCAGGGGGGAAAGTCCTGCTCAGACCACAGGAAGGATGTCTGCATGGGCGACAGCAGCATGAAAGGGCAGGGATTTCCTCTCGCTGGTACATCACCCGGACAGTTTTTTTAGTTGGTTGGTTGATTGGTTGGTTGGTTGGTTGGTTTTTTAGTTTTGTTTAGTTTTAGCATCTGTTTTTTTAACTTCTACCTTAATAAAAATGCTGGGAGCAGAGGAAAAGGAGTCTATTCCTTGGACTCAACTCTAATTGTATGAACAACTGTGCAGACCAGTGTGAGGATCAAACCAGCTTCACTGTGAGAGCTTTGAAGGCCATCCCTAGGGGCGCCCCCAATTACTAGCCCTCCTTCCCTGGCCATCTAAGTTGGCCTGCCTTTGCCCACCGAGGAGCCTGACTTCTGTTTCAGCATCAGGGTTTCTACTCCTCCAGGTGGGAGAGCAATTCAAAAGTGACTGAGGAAAAGAGAGTGCCTCTTTCAGGGTCATTGACCCTGGCAAGGGCCAAGGCCAGGGAAGAGATGGGATACGCCCTCCTCTCCCATCTTATGGTAGCCTGTGTCTCCCATCTCATGATAGCCTGTGTGGGAGACTGTCATGGGCGTACGGAGATTTTCACTGATCATTCTGGATTGTATTAAAATCAAATGGAGCTTCCTACTTTTTTGCTTCTTTCTTATCAGATAAGAGGTGAAAATGTTTGCTATGGATCATGGCTGGAATTAGAGCTTGAGAAGATGCTGAAGGCCAAGGTGGACAAGTCGGATGAGGGATGGGCAGAGGAAGCAGGCTGCCTGTGTCAGAAGGCAGGAAAGCAGGAGCTGAAGAGGCCCCCAGCATTGACATTCCCCAGGGAATCATCTCAGACTGGGCAGTGCGTCCCCAGGAAACAGGGGAGCTTTTCAAAGCCCAGACTAAACGTGCTCTGTTCAGTACCGGTGGAGACTGCAGTTGAGGAAGGGCTCCCAGCACTCCATGTCTGGCCTGCATCGCTTCCCCATTTCCCCATCTCATTAATATACCCCAGAGGGCCATTTTCCTATTCAGGCCAACCTTCTGCTCAGCCCTGGGGAGGAGCTTGATTGCATTTTGGTTGCCTCTTCTCTCTCCTTTCTCTTGCCATCTGGGTTTTGCCTCAGCAGGGAACTTTTTTCCCTTCATTTTAAAGGCAGTGGCATGCCTCGTTAGCTGCTTCCTCCAATTTAAAGCAGTCGGGCTTTTTCCAATTATTAAAACTGGAGGAGGGGAAAACACTGAGCCCTTCATTCAGATCAAGGCAGCAGATCAAGGAGGGTTATTTTTCCCCAGAATAGTACCAAATCTCCCAGGGTTAGTTTGGTCTAGAGATTTTCTTATTTTATAAAAACTGATTTAAATGGGCTTTTTATATCCTAACACTAAAGCTCTTTTAGTTCTTTTTGCCTGCCCTAAGTAATTCACCACCCAGGTGACCTTTTTCTTCTACTTTGATGAAGCAGTGTACTCAGTGGTCATAAAAATCAAACTCAGACCAAGATTCAATTTTGCCTTTCAGAGAGATTGGCTGTGGAACTCCTGGCTCTCATCTGACTTTTCTGTCTCTATAACTAAGCATATCAAAGATTTTCTAGGAATTATTTTTCTAAATAAGATGAGTTCCAGAGATGAAGATTGTATCTAGATATCCAAGTATTACTGGATTAGAACTGGTCTATTTATTTTGGATTCTAACTTGAAAAGACTGGCAAGTCGCTGCAGTGCTAAAATAGAAGTGTAAGGGAGACATCACACACACAAGCTACCTGTGGGTCCCAAAGGAAGGGAAACGTTTGCTTGAAGTAAACAAGTACTTTTATCAGGAATCTCTAGTGGAAAGAGACCACCTGACAGTTTCCTGTGAACAAGCCAAAGTACCCTTCAGAGGACTGGTTCTAGATGGAGGTAGATTCCCAGGACTGACAAACACATGCCTTTTCTAACAGAGCAAGGGAAATGAACGGCAGCTGTTAGTTTCAGGAGTCATTTAGCTCCAAACAGCAGTGTACAGTGTTATTGGAAGGTTCTTTTAAATGTACCTCCTTCTCCCTCAAAACACAGCACACACATGCACGGACACAAACACGCAGGCCTGTTTGAAGTGTCTTTTCAAACCATTACTCTGACAGCTCACTTGGAAAGTATTAAAAGTATAAGGCTTTCATCAGTATTGTCTCGGTTTTCCTCATTGCATGGAATAGCCAAAAGCAAGATATCAAAGGCCTGTCCAGAAGTGGCTGGCTGATTGCTGGGGGATTTCCCAGGTCTGCCTTCCACGTGCCTCAGGACATCAGGCACATCCTGCACTGGAAAAGCACTGCCCAGGGGCCCAGGAGCCCCTCCCAGGAGTGCCTTTCCTTCCTGCAGGCTCTGCAGACCCTTGAGCAGCTAGAAGATAGAGTCCACTTTGTAGGGGATCCCAGAACAGAAAAATGACATTGAGGGACAATGAGGAAACCTGGATAATTAGGTATGCCTTCGGTTAATAATATTAATATATCAATTTGGGTTCATTAATTGTGGCAAAAGTGCTATACTAATGTAAGACGGTAAATAATAAGAAAACTGGGAGTTAGGTATACAGGAGCTCTCCATACTATCTTTGCAATAATTCTATAAATCTGAAACTGTTCTAAAGTAAAATGTTTATTTTTAAAAATTAAGCCTCTGAAACAAATGTGTTTAAGGTTTTAGTGCCAAAGAACCCTGCGTTCATGGGGAAGATGGTTGAAGTGGACATCTATGAATCAGGCAAACATTTTATGAAAGGGCAGCCAGTATCTGATGCCAAAGTGTACACGCCCTCCATCAGCAAACCGCTAGCAAAGGGAGAAGTCTCGGGTTTGACAAAGGTAAGTAAAAGATGCTCTCCTCTCTACCCTGCTAGTAAAACAGCAGCTGTGGAAGCACAGTGATTCCAGGCCATGTTTCTGTTATCATTTATAGTTCCCTTTTTATGTATGCATGAGGCTTTAATCCTTTCTGACAGATTGAAATCTGAATTAGAAAGATGTGTTTTTGCTGATGCCGATAGCTTTGCTTCTCTGGCTGTAAAGAGAATAAGCTCTTTCTGCTTCCAGTTTAGAAGCAGGGGGTAAAAGCCATTATTTGCAGGTGAAAATGTTGACACCAAAAGATGATCTGATCCAGTATGTTTCTATGTCAGTAGATCCTGAGTGGAAGGGGATGAAGAAAGGGGTGTTTTCTTGCTTTACAAAGCTGTTTATACTGTAGTAAAAACCTACAGCTGAACAGGCACTAAACCATATCATATATGCAGTTATGGTGCCTTTCAGAAGGGTGTTAGCTGGATATCTACTTTAGTCATGTGGAGTGAAAATTAAACATTTTTTTCTTTCTATAAAAAAGTAACCTGACCCCTATTTTATACCTTGGTAAATATGGCCGTTTGCCAAGCTCTCTCACATTTCATTGAGCTACAGTTGTAAAAGCTGATGGAGTGTGAAATGAAAATGTGTATCACATTTCTAAGCATCATTTGATGTCCTTTCTCCAACACAATTGTTAAGCGCTTAAAAAAAAAAAGCATATAACAGTGATTTAACATATGGAAAAAAATAACTGATATTTATCTGGCCATGTAATTCCGAAATTGTTTTAATCTGTGCATAATCTTGTTCCTCAAAATAAATTGCAAGGACATGTTCGTTAAAATAAAGGGAATACCGCTTCACTCTGGCAATAGTACCGCTTCACTCTGGCAATAGCAACAAAGACAATACTATTGTCTGTGTTCTCACTGACTGTGGCACTGGATTCTTGTGTCCGACAGCAGTGATAATTCACATGTGCTTCACAAGTGCCCATGAAGGATCTGCGTGCATGGCCGTCTAACCCGTACTGGAATGGTATAGACCAGCTTTTGTTAAAATCCTACCAAATGCATCAGCCTGCATGATCAGGAGATAACTCTAAAACTTGATAAACATAACCATTCATTTTTGCTGTTTATTAAAAAAAAAAAAATTGTACTTGGGGGATAGTATGGGTGGCCAGGAAGGAGCAGTGTAACCTGGCATTTAAATTATATTGCTAGAGATTTGGCTTTTGATATGTTAGCCAATACTTTGAAAAATTTTTTAAGAAGTCAGCTTATTTTTTGTTTTGTTTTGTTTTTCCACATAGTGTGTTTTACAAGGTTAATTTTAGATTGCCACAGTGAAAAGGGTTTCTCAGCAAGTAGCAGTAGTGGGGAAATTATTATTTCAAAGACTCTGCCTGGTTTAATTCCTTCATGTTTGCCTCTTGGAAAGGGAGTATTGTAAACATCACCATTGATAATACATAAACAAGGAAATGTAGTGTCCCTCTATTCGTTCCTTAACTATAGTGTTACTGTCTAAAAGGGCAGTTCCGTTTAAATTCTCTGGGGCACCCTTTCTACTCTCCCATCCTTTCCTCTAGCCTAGAAAATGGTGTTATCAGTTCTACCACCAGCCCAGCTCTGAACCAGAATGGCCCAAAAGTCCCGGATAAGATGAGGAAGCCAGTTGGTTGCTGGTCTGTTAGAGCCTCTAGAAATAGTGTTGTAGCATGAGGCCAGTGGGGTAGGAATATTGATTTGGGTATTTACATTAAGAGAAACAGTAAGGCTTTTGTTGGTTCTTGTTTGTTTGTTTGTTTTGAGAGAGGGTCTCCCTCTGTCACCCAGGCTGGAGTGCAATGGTGTGATCACAGCTCATTGCAAACTCTGCCTCCTGGGCGCAAGCAATCGTCCCACATCAGCTTCCTGAGTAGCTGGGACTATAGGCATGCACCACCATCCTGGCTAATTTTTTTTTTTTTTTTTTTTTTTTTTTTTTTTTTTTTGAGTCAGAGTCTCACTCTGTTGCCCAGCCTGGAGTGCAGTGGCATGCAGTGTCAGCTCACTGCAGCCTCCACCCCCCAAGTTCAAGCAATTCTCATGCCTCAGCCTCCTGAGTAGCTGGAATTACAGGCATGTGCCACTACGCCCGGCTAATTTTTTATTTTTAGTAGAGACAGGGTTTCACCATGTCGGCCAGGCTGGTCTCGAACCCCTGACCTCAGGTGATCCGCCCACTTCAGCTTCCCAAAGTGCTGGAATTACAGACATGAGCCACTGTGCTCGGCCCCAGCTGATACTGTTTATTTTTTCTAGAGACAGGATCTCGCTTTGTTGCCCAAGTTCGTCTTGAACTCCAGGCCTCAAACGGTCCTCCCACCTTGGTCTCCCTGGCATCTAAAGCAAAATACTGTGCTTTGGACTTATTTTGTCTCACTTGACCTCTTTTTTTTTTTTTTTTTTTTTTTTTTCCTGAAATGAAGTTTTGCTTGTCGCCCAGGCTGGAGTGCAATAGCATGATCTCACTGCAACCTCCACCTTCCAGGTTCAAGCGATTCTCCTGCCTCAGCCTCCCGAGTAGCTGGGATTACAGGCGTGCGCCACCACACCCGGCTAATCACTTGACCTCTTTTGATGAAATTGATGAGAGGTACAACAGATTAGAAGGGTGTTATCAAAATGATGGTGGGAATGGGTGAAGGTTATATGCACATTTTTAGTGAAAGGGGCAGAAGAATAGGAAACTTGAGAAAAACACAGTTTTAAGATGCTAAGAACATCAATATTTTTATCTTGTGCTCACATGCAGCCTAATTTTTCCTGAAGAAAAACTGTAGATAGACAGGACGTGGGGTCAGCAATACCAAATCCATGACCATGTAATAGTTTGAAAAATTATCTGAAAGCCATCATCAAAGATTGGGATCAAGGATTTTTTTGTTTAATTCCATTATGGAAATCTATTTATGGAAATTTTATGAACATTTTCAAGCATACACGAAAGTAGAGAGAATAGTATAATAATCCCACATACCTATTACCCACCCTTAGCAGTCATCAGATGACAGCCAATCTTATGCCATCTGTGTTCTTATCTACCCCTATTCCCCCAACCCTGATTATTTTGAAGAAAATCCCATTTACATTTTATTTCATCTAGAAATATACTAGTAAATACCTCTAAAAGATAAAGATTCCTTTTACAAACATAATCCCAATATATTGTCAAATTTTAAAATCATTACCCATAATTGTTATTGGCTAAATACTCCATACCTACTGCTAGGACCCTAAGTCAACATTTATGGCGTGCTTATCGTAGCCAAATACCATGCTAAATATGCTACATGTGTTCACTCATATCGCCCTCATAACCCTGAGAGGAAGGCACTATTATTATCCCCATTTCACAAATAAGGAATCTGAGCATCCATAATTCAATAAATAGCTTATCTGGAGTCACAAAATTTGAAGGTAGAAGAGGGAAGCCAGGATTTATATCCCCACTTTCAAGCCTTTGTTTTCGTTTTTGTGTGTTTTAATTGTGGTAAAATATACGTAACATAAAATTTCCTGTCTTACTCATTTGTAAGTGTATAGTTAGTGGTGTTAAGTACATTCTCATTGTTGTACAACCCATCTCCAGAACTTTCCATCTTGCAAAACTGAAACCCTGTACTCATTAAACAATAACTCCTCATTTCCCCCTTCCCTCAGCCCCTGGTAACTTCTAATCTACTTTCCGCCTCTATGAATTTGATTACTTTTGGTACCTCATATCAGTGGAATCATATGCTCACCAGTGTTTGTCTTTTTGTGACTTGCTTATTTCACTTAGCATAATGTCCTCAGGGTTCATCCATGTTGTAGCACGTGTCAGAATTTTCCTCCTTTTCAAGGCTAAATACTATTCCATTGGATGTGGATGCCACATTTCATTAATTCATTCATCCATTGGTGGACATTTAGGTTGCTTCTACCATTTGGCTGTTATGAATAATATTTGCTATGAACATGGGTGCACAGATATCTCTTCGAGTCCCTGCTCTCAATTCTTTTGGATATTTGTGCAGAAATAAGATTGCTGGATTGTATGGTCCTCTATTTTTAATCTTTTGAGGAGCTGCCATACTGTTTTCCATGGCAGCGGTACCATTTTACATTTCCACCAATAGTGCACAAGGGTTCCAGTCTCTCCACATTCACACCAACACTTATTTTCTCTTTTGTTTTGTTTTGTTTTGTTTTGATAGTAGCCATCCTAATCCGCATGGGTCAAGCCTGTTTTGTTTTGTTTTTTTTGAGACAGAGTCTCGCCCTGTCGCCCAGGCTGGAGTGCAGTGGCCTGATCTCGGCTCACTGTAAGCTCCGCCTCCTGGGTTCACGCCATTCTCCTGCCGCAGCCTCCCGAGTAGCTGGGACCACAGGAACCCGCCACCACGCCCAGCTAATTGTTTTGTATTTTTAGTAGAGACGGGGTTTCACTGTGTTAGCCAGGATGGTCTCGATCTCCTGACCTCGTGATCTGCCCGCCTTGGCCTCCCAAAGTGCTGGGATTACATGCGTGAGCCCCCGCGCCCAGCCTTTTTTTTTTTTTTTTTTTTTTGAGACAGAGTCTTGCTCTGTCGCCCAGGCTGGAGTGCAGTGGCGCGATCTTGGCTCACCACAAGCTCCGCCTCCCGGGTTCACGCCATTCTCCTGCCTCAACCTCCCGAATAGCTGGGACTACAGGCACCCGCCACCGCGCCCGGCTAATTTTTTTTTTTTCTTTGTATTTTAGTAGAGACGGGGTTTCACCATGGTCTCTATCTCCTGACCTTGTGATCCGCCCGCCTTAGCCTCCCAAAGTGCTGGGATTACAGGCGTGAGCCACCACACCGGACCAGTCAAGCCTGTATTTTTAAGCCCAGGTCCATACTGCCTTGCCCATTTTAATTGCAGGAGTCTTATTCGATAACTTCTGGACACCAGTTTCTTTTTGTATACCAGAGTAAACTTACACTGGATACAAAAAAATAATAAGTAAGAGAGAGAGGGAAAAAAATGAGAAAATGGGCAGTTTTAATTATCTTCTCTGTGGGTTCAGTTAAAAATGGCATTAGAGATCTGTCTCTCTTAGGAATATGCGACAATGTGAACATTACTGCTGTCTGTTTTAATAAAGGCTAACTAGTTTTACTACTAATGTTCTTTCTTCTTGTCTGGCCTATGTTATAACACATCGCTTGAATCTTACCATTTCTAAGATTGATTCTTAAGAAGTCAGAACTATTCTTTGCCTGGTACGAGATAGAAAAGAACATTTTCTCTTCTAATTTTAAACTTATGAATAGTTTGATTGCAAAGTTTTTTTTCATTGAATTCATTCTTAGTAGTAAAAATTGCTTTAAAGAAAGAAGTAGAGTAGCATCGTGGAAGATTGAAAGGATCTGGAGTCTGTCAGGTTTGGGTTCTAATTACAGTGACAGTTGCTATGATCAAGTACAACTTTCTTGACTCACAGTGTCTTCATTTGTATAATGGAGCTAACAACTGATTTGCAGAGGATTAAGTTAAATCATGTAGACAAAGTGCACCATGCATAGTAGGTATATTAAATATTTTAAAGAAAGAATTCAGTAAGTATCACTTTAAAAAGCAGTGGTTTCCTGGCTTTTATTTTGATTTCTTTTACTTTAATTTCTTTTTTTTTTCTTTTTAGACAGAGTCTCACTGTGTCACCCAGGCGCGATCTCGGCTCACTGCCACCTTCGCCTCCTGGGTTCAAGTGATTCTCGTACCTCAGCCTCTGGAATAGCTGGAACTACATGCATGCACCACCACACCCAGCTAATTTTTGTATTTTTAGTAGAAACAGGGTTTCACCATGTTGGCCAGGCTGCTCTCAAACTCCTGGCCTCAAGTGATCCACCTGCCTCAGCCTTCCAAAGTGCAGGGATTAGAGGCGTGAGGCACCACACCCGGCCTACTTTAAATTTTTTTTTTTTTAAGTACTTTGCAGCCTGATGCAGTGGTTCACGCCTGTAATCCCAGCACTTCAGGAGGCCAAGGCAGGAGGAGTGCTTGACCCCAAGGTTTAAGAACAGCCTAGCACCATTGGGAGACTTCATCTCTATAACAATTTTAAAAATTAGCCGAGTGTGATGGTGTATACCTGTAGTCTCAGCTACTTGGGAGGCCGAGGTGGGAGGATCACTTGGCCCCAGAGGGTCGAGGCTGCAGGGAGCCACTGCAGCCCAGCCTGGGTGAAAGAATGAAACCTTATCTCAAGCAAAAAAAAAGTACTTTGCGTTCATGGATTTCACTGTACATTATAGTATAGCAATTAAGAACATGAATTCTGGATTCCGATTACCCAGGTTTGAATCTTGATTCTACTATTACAAAAAATATGATCTTGGGCAAGTTACTCAATGTCCCTCCACCTCAGTTCTCCCTATGTAAATGAGTGATAGTACTACCTGCTTCATAGGATATACATGGAAATGGCTTAGCAGTCAATAAATATTGACTACTATTTTCATTATTAATTTGTGGTGCATGCCAAGGCATTATTTTACTTTAACTTGTGAAGTAAAAGTTGCCCAATATCTTATCATTTCAAATGTTGTATTCATCAGCCATAGATTTCTGACAATGGCAGATGAAACCAGACCAACTGCTGAGATTCCTCCATGAGAATGACAAATTAACAGAAGGAGATTCCAATAATACTACTACAGCGTTGGCCATTCTTACGGACAGACATTTCTTCCTCTTACTCTTTATGTCTTTTTTTTTTTTTAAAGAGAATATTCTAGAATGGAGGCCTGGACTTACCATTCTCTTTCTTACAAGTTAAGAGAAGGCTGCCCCAGGGTGCCTCAGTGCCACCTGTTTCTCATCTATTGAGACTTTGATCCTGAGAATGGATTCACTTGAGCAGTTAGATAGCTCAGCCCTGACACAGCCGACCGCGCTTGGAAAGGAAGCAGAAGTTTTAAAGGGTGGCATGGTTTGCTTCATTACCAGACAAAGGCCAGCAGGATATTCAGGTGTACTGAGTTTTATGTACAAACTATACTATATTCTCAGAGCTTTGACCCTTGGAAAAACACAGTTAAAATGTTTTCCTCTCCATCTGACATTCATTTCCAGAACCAGTGAAGTGAAAGGGTCTATTAGTTCAAGGCCAGATTTGAAAGCACATGAAAACTACATTCATGAGGTTAAGAAATGGCTTAATAATTAAGTTAAAACACTTGAAAGTGGGTCTAATTTCAGACAGGTCAGCTAACCGTGCTAGAAGCAAATGAGGGCGTGTTTCTTCCTATTTTTCCTTCCACCCCCAAGATAACTGGCTCCCAAGCAGTTTTTTCTGTTCCTTTTTTTTCTTACTAAACTTTATGTGAGACTAAATTCTTCATCGCTGCTAAGTTCACGTCACAAACAATTAAAACCATAGTACGTTTAATATTTTATGCATTTTTCTTTCATTTTGTATCTTGTTAGTTTCTTTTACAGACTGGTTAGGACGTATTTGAGTTTCACAGTCTAGATACATAGCTTTTATTCTATGCTGCTGAGCTATATTTTATTGACCGTTGCAGCTGAATTAGTATGACTGTCACTTCACACTGTGTTTAGTGTGTTTACAATACCTTCCGTGTACCAATTTGAGTACCATCCAAAGTATCATCAGAGCAAGCTGATGCTAAACAATTAGCTTTCATTTCACTTGCATCACTAATTGTGCAATCACTGATGATAATTCTCTTCCTCCTGAGGGTTGTAGCTGGAGCATCGTGAGGGAAATTGCATGCATCAGGGAACTAATTGTGCCTTGATAATAATAATAGCTACCATTTAGTGAACCACTACTATGTGCTTGGTATTGAGGCTCTTTACTCGTATTACTTCAGTTTATTATTCTAGCCTGGCCTAGGGCAGCTAGAACACGATGAAGTTCTTTATACAGCTGTACACACCCACATAGAGGCATCATAGGATGGGACTGAGCAGGCATTTTCCCCACCTCTCCATCCTTTGTCCACGTTCAAGATAGGAGGCAGAAGGAGCAGTGAGCCTGGGACAAAGACGTGGACCGACTTCCCTAGCTAAGCGCTAAGGAAAAGAACCAGGCCCCCGAGCCTGAATTACTTACATATGCAACATGCAGGTAGCACCTGGCCTCTTATAATATGTTTCAATGTTTATTATCCAGGAACGGAATGAAATCTTAGAGATGGAAATAATGAATATGGGCTTGGTCTTCGAGAAGTTTTTGGTCTTGGCTGTTCCTCTGGTAATACTGCTAATCAATTGTGACCCTGGTAGGGAGGGATTGGTGTGAGGGAAGTGGTCTTGTATAGGTATGCTAGCTCACCTGTGCGACATAATTACTCCTGTGGTTAAAGTTTTATGGATAATTTTCCCAAATCTAAAAGGGATCCCTTAAGAGCAAAAGGGATTCTTTATCATGAAAGCAGTGAATGGAAAAAAAGCCTCCTTAGGAGAACCAAAGATATATTTCAGCAGCAGCAGAACCTGAAAGGTCATCTAAGCCCAGCCACCTATCCCTGCAGGATGGGACTAGGGAGGTTCCAGAAGACCATGATTTCCTGTGATGATTTGAACCCAGGTGTTGGGAACCACTCTTCCACACTCACATTTTCACTGCACTATTTCCCCTTCACATGTCTTTACCTTTTCACTCAGTCAACAATTATCAATGACGAGTATGACACTGTATGCATCAAAGAACTAATTGTGCCTTGATAATATCTGTCTGTGTCAGGACTGTCTGCATCAGTCCTGGTTTATACGTGTTGTAATAGTATTAATAATATGCCCTTATTCCACTCCTCAAAGTATTCTAGTTTGGATGATAAATTATATGGTCATCCTATAAATTCCAAAAGTTGAGCCAGCGCTGTGTCAAGCACTGCTTGGGATACAGAAGTTGGAGATACCATCCTGCCCTCAAGGAGATAAAGTCTAGTTGGGAAGAGAAGATATGTGCTGCTGTGGTCTGAATGTTGGTGTCTTCCCAAAGTTCAGTGTTGAAACCTAATCACTCATGTGATGGTGTTAGGAGCTGGAGCCTTTGGGAGGTGGTTAGGTCATGAGGGCGGAGCCTTCATGATGAGGATTAGTACCTTTATACCATACTAATGAAGGCTCCAGAGAGCTGCCTTGACCCTTCCATTGTGTGAGGACACAGCAAGAAGACTCTGTCTATAAACTAGAAATCTGGCCCCCACCAGACACCAAATCTGCTGGCACCTTGATCTTAGATTTCCCAGCTTCTAAAACAGTGAGAAATAAATATCTGTTGTTTAAAAGCTACCCAGTTTATGGCATTTTGTTACAGTCACCGAAACGAACTAAGACAGTATGTACATATGAAACAAAATCTATAATATGTCAAATGTTAAATTGGTTGGCGTTAGATCATAAGAAGTTGGAAGATAGGAGATCTCTGATGACTTGAGGTATCAGGAAATGTATGGGTCAGGATTCTTTGCAGACAACAGAGAGCAGTTTAGTTAAACAGGAAGGAATGTATGAAAGGATGCTAGATGGCCCACAGAATTGTTAGAAGGGCCAGGGACCAGAATCTTTGCTGAGTTTTCCAGAAACAACACCCAGAACCACACAGGAGCTTCTGGTAAGAGGTGTCGCCTCTGCTCCACCTCCCCCAGCAAGGCAGAGGCCCCATGCCCCATCTGCTTCCTCATGAAGCTTCCCAGTCAATGTCTCACATATATCACATCTGACTGTGGAACCCAAGTCTCACATTTACACCCTGGGGACAAAGGAGGTTGGAAAATCATTTTTGGCATCTGTAGTCATGGGGAACTGTCAATGTGGAGAGGGTTTTCAGACAACTTCTACTACAGAGAGTTTCATGGATATGGACTTTGAAGGTGAGAAGAACTTAATCAGGCAAGTAAAGAAGGAAATTTTTCTCACTGTGAAAGGAACCAACGCAACGTGACAGAATGCACAGACTAAGAAGTTGTGGGCAGTTGGAAGGCACAGGGAAATCACCTTTAGTATAAAGACTGGGACCTCTGGGTTTTGAAGTCAAATAGGATTTATACCTAAGACATTAGACAAGCACATATATTCGTCCAAGACAGGTTAGGCTGCGCTTCGGTAACAAATTAACCCTGAAATCTCAGGGCTAACATAACAGAGGTTTATTTCCTGCTCACACTGAGCATCTAAGATGTACCATTTAGTTTGTAGTTTAGAGTCAGGTAGTTGTCTGCTCCACACAGTCACTCAGGGACCCAAGTTGACTGCATGTCTCCATGGTAAGGAAAGACGATTGCCGGTGAACCAGGCTTTTTACTGCCTCAGCACAGGAGTGGCACATGGTATTTGTATTCATATTCATTGGCCAGAACATCCACATGGCCCTGTCTAACTACAAGAGTCTAGAAAATACCTACTTTTGTTTTAATAAGAAGGAGAAGATATGGGTGAATACTAGAAGTTTCTATCATGCATGTGGGAATATTTTGTTTTGCTTTGTTTTTGAGACAGAGTCTCATTCTGTCACCCAGGCTCTGGAGTGCAGTGGTGCAATCTTGGCTGACTTGTAGTCTCTACTTCCCGGGCTCAAGTGATCCTCCCACCTCAGCCTCCCAAGTAGCTGGGACTTCAGACATGCGCCACTGTGCCTGGCTAATTTTTTTTTTATTTTTTGTAGAGATGAGGTCTCATTATGTTACCCAGGCTGGTCTCAAACACCTGGGCTCAAGCAATGCTCCAGCCTCAGCCTCTTAGAGTGCTGGGATTACAGGTGTGAGCCTCCGTGCCTGGCTACATGTGGGAAAGTTTTTGGGCATGAGCATAGTATAGTGAAAGTTTCTATATGAGGGAAAGCCCATGAAAGCAGGCCCCGCCTGACTGGTCTGCCCACGACTGGCTCCAGGCCCCAGTGCAGTGCCTGTTTCATGGTTATTGAATGAACTTGGCTCTCGGCGATATGCAGGGTGGAATGGATGGGTTCTCCACCAGAGGCAGGGAACCTACATGATAGGTTGAAATCCTCTGTTACTCCAGCTGATGAGGACATTAATATATTCTTCAATGGTTAAAAAAAAATCACAGTCAAGCCACTCAACCTACTCTTTGAAGTCATTTGACATCTTGATAAGCAGATTGCAAAAGCCCCTTTTTAAACTGATAGTAATCTTGCAAATGGAAATTCTTTTCATGGGAACTATGAGGATGAGTACTTTAGAGCGAGTTGCTTCTAACCATAAATTGTAGTTTCCTAGTTTCCCTTCTCACTTTCTAATGATGAAAGTGACAGCCTATCTCTCCTATGAGACTCAGAGTGTGGATGTTGCATTGTACCTAAAATAATAGAACATTATTTTTAAATAAATAAAATAGAATATGTTCAAAGAAATAGAGTGTGTTTGTTTTCTAACATAGTTTATAATGTTTAAAATTTTTTTCATTATTTTTAAATTTTTATGTATTTAGGGGGTACAAGCGCAGATTGCTTATATGCATGCAAGCAGTGTTTTAAATTTAAAGGGCTTTGGGGAAACAAATTTTCTCCTGTCCCTCTCTCTCCTGAATGCAATTCTATAAAATTATTGAGAAACAGAAATTTTCAATCCATATATCAAATCAGGTATCTAGGGCAGTTTTCTGATAGGAAGCCAACCTAAAAATTTAAGATGTAGCACCTTGCAAATTTGCCAACCCCTGAGAAGGAAATTCAAAAGGCAATAAAGGCAAAGAACCATCAGCCGACTTTATCAAGATCAGCATTTTCCCTTCCACAGGCCCCTGGCTCCCAGGGCTTCCTCCTTGAAAACATCCGTTTTGAAGGAATAGAGTAGCCCTTACGCACATCAGGTCAGACCGTGGGTTTGGCATTTTGGCTCTGTTCCTTACTAATTGTGATCACTGGTCACTTACCCTCTCTAGGTGTCTTTCCTCATCTATAAATTGGGAGGAATAGAGTCCATTTGATAGGATGGTTTTGATGTCGAAGTGAGATAAAGCTTGGGAAGCCCTGAACGCTGCCTGACACGTAGAAGTGATCAGTGAATATGTGATGTGGAGTGGGGGGCATGGTGATAGTGAAGATTTACTTGGGGCCTGGTTGATCAAGATACTAATAATATCTCGTTCATGAACATGGATGATGTTTTGCCCTAATCACCTATATGCCATGAGACGAGGAATTGGTCATTGGTCTTTTTAAACATACAGTCTTTATAAGCAGCAATAGCATTTGTAAAGGATAGCTGCCTGAAATAAATTCTTTGAGTTTTTCAGTTCCCCCTTTTCACTGACTTTGAGTAGCTGTTTCTTTTGTTATCCTTCATGTGAGCACAGTTCCTCTGAACAATCACAAAGCATCTATGGTGTAAGATAGTGGCATTCACTACAGGTCTTCTTCTCTTAAATATTCTTGTGGGAAGTGATTTCCCCTGCCGTGTACTATATTATCTGAAAATGAAACAATCTGCCTAACGAGTCTCCCTGTTTCTACCCTGAATATAAACCAGATTGTGTCTCTCTCCTCCTCAAAACCATCTAGTGCTCCATATGACTCAGAGCATTCCGTATATAGCCAACAGAAGGGAAACCAGGGACTCAGATACTTATATCCCAATATTCATACCAGCATTATTCATAAATAACCCAAAGGTGGAAATAACCAAAGTATCTATCAACAGATGAATGGACAAACAAAATGTGGTATGTAGTAGAATGGAATTTTATTCAGCCATAGAAAGACATGAAGTTCTGACACATGCTACAGCATAGGCAAATCTGGAAACATGATGTGAAGCAAAATAAGCCACACCAGAAAGGGCAAATATTATATAATTCCACTTATGTGAAATATTGAGAATAGGCAAATTCATAGAGACAAACTAGGTTAAAGCTTACCAGGAGCTGGGCGTGGAGATGGGGAGTTCCTTAAGGGTTACAGAGTTTCTGCTTGGGGTGATAACATTTTGGAAATAGTAGTAATGGTTGCACAACATGGTAAATATAATTAATGCCACTAAATTGTGTACTTCAAAATTGTTCAAATGTTATTTTATATATATATATATACATACCATATAAAAATTTTTACAAAAATCATCTAAGGTTTCCCAGCATGTTCAGAATGAAAGCCAGAGACCCTACAACAGCCTCAAGGATCAAGGTCCCATGCCTTGACCTCTCTCCCCTCGAGAACACTGGCCTCCATGCTGCTCCTTGAACATGAACACACGAGGTCTGCTCCCTCAGGAGGGCCTTTCCAACTGCTGGTCCCTCTGCTTGGAATGCCCATCTCTTAGATGTCCCTGGTACATACTTCATTCAGGTCTCTGCTGAAGCACCAGCTTATCAGTGAGGTCACCCTGGGCAGTCGTCTATAAAACCCCAAGCCCTCACCATCCAACACAACCTAGTACTTCCTATTCTTACTCTACTCTATTTTCTCCATGGCACATTTTATCACCAGACATATTAAATATTTACATGTTTCTTTTGCCTCTAGTTACCAAAATTGAAGCCCCATGAATGCTGAGACTTTACTTCATTCACCTTTGTGTCCTTAATGACTAGGATAGGGCCTGGCAGGGAGCAAATGCTCAGTAAACGTCTGTTGGATGAATGAATGAATGAATGAATGAATGAATGAATGAATTTGTTCCGGAGATATATGTATACCCCTTACTGAAAAGGACTGCAAGACCAAAAAGCTGGTTATCCTAGATATGGGTTATCTTTTGCCATGATAAATGCCCTATGACAACCAACCACAGAACTGCAGTGGGGCTCAGCTGATCTCAGCCTGGCTCACTCACACATCTGCAGTGCACTGTAGGGTAGCTCAGCAGCTCTTCTAAGCTTGGTGGGGCTTCCTAAAATGTATGGAGGTTCAGCAGGCATTTGGTGGATCTAGATGGCCTCAACTGGGACTCCGTGGGTGAATCAGCCCTGCTCCGCATGCCTCATCCTTCAACTGGCTGACCTGAGCATGTTCCCGTGGTAAAGGCAAAGGAATAGCAAACAGACATGCACAAGTGCTTTTCAAGCCTCTGCATGCATGATGTTTGGTAGCATCCTGTTGGCCAAGTAAATCACATGGCCAAGACCAGGGACACACTACAGAGTTATGTGACAAGAAGATACAGATACAAGGAGGTATAAGGAATTGGGAATATTAATGTATTCAGTCTACCACACCCTATGAAATCTTGGTGTTTTTGCCTGTGATCTGCGCAACTTTCCTCCTCCTTTTCTACGTCCCCAGAAGACATCACATTCAGTTTCAACCTGAGATCTAATCCTTTCAGCTCTACAACTCAGTGTCTTGTTTTTAGGTAGTGAGTTGTAGAGCTGGAAGGGTTGGATCTGGTAAAAAGAATCTGAAATCTAAACGTTAATGGAAGCTAAGGGACCTTGTCATAGTCTTTTCTATGAGGAAATGTCAAGTGCTCTAGATATCCGGTGCTTTTCTCTGAGGTACAATTGTACCCAGCAACTCAACAGTATCACCCTGGGGACCTGTGGTAGGCAGAATAATGCCCCCCACTTCACCCCCCAAAGGTGATCGTGTCCTAATCCCTAGAACCTGTGAATATGTTAGATTACATGACAGAGAGAATTAGGGTTGCATATGGAATTAAATTTGCTCATCAGCTGCCCTTAACATAAGGAGGGTATACTTGATTATCCAGATGGGCCCAGTGTAATCACAATGGTCCTTAAAAGCAAAAGAGAAAGGCAGGAGAATCAGAGGTCAGAGTGATAGGAATGCTGACTTCGAAGATGGAAGCAGGCTGTGAGCCTAGGGATGCAAGCTAGAAAAGGCAAGGCAATGGATTCTCCCCTACAGCCCTAGAAGGAGTCCACATCACACTTGATTTCAGTCCATTGAGACCCATCTGACTTCTGAGTTCCAGAACTAAAAAATGGTAAATTTGTATTGTTTTAAGCCATGCAGTTTATGGTAATTTGTTACCGCAGCAATTGGAAACTAATTGGGAACTTATCAGACTGATTTTATCCCATAGAATCCATGTAAAAAATGAGAAGGTGTATATTGGCAGGCTGGGCATAGTGGCTCACTCCTGTATTCCCAGCATTTTGGGAGGCCAAAGTGGGAGGATCACTTGAGCCAAGGAGTTCAAGGCTGCAAGTGAGCTATAATTGCACCACTAAACTATAGCCTGGACCACAGAGAAAGATCCGGTCTCCAGAAAAAAAATAATAATAAGTGTGTATTAGCAACCAAGTGGCTGTTCATGTCCCATCTATTTTCCACATTGACCAATCATTTTAAGAAAGGTGTGGTGGATGGGTGGGGAACACCTAAGGCATTGACAGGCGGTAAAGGAAACGTGCTAATGGAGAAGAGGGAGGTTAGCGACTGGGGCCCATCTAAGAAAAGAAAGAGATTCTTAGGGGACTGCTTGGAGAGTTAATGTTTGCAGGAAGCCCACCCACAGGTCTTGAACCCCCATCCTGGACCACTTTTTCTTCCTTTGACCAACCCTTCCCCAACCCTCATCTCCAGCCCAAATCTTGCTAGAGCTTCTAACTTACATCACATCAGCTGTGATGAGGACTTGGTGTGGCCACTTATCTGCAATCATTTCTCTAGTCTGGGTGCCATACCTAGGAGTGGCATTGCTGGGTTGGCCAGAGTGTACAGCTCCCACCTTACCAGGTAATGCCCTCCTGTCTCCCACAGTGGCTATGTTAATTTCTGCCATTACCAGCAGCAGTGTCATAGTGTTCTGGATCCTCCACATTCTCACCCATACTTGATATTGCTCATTTTTTTTACTTTTTCCAACCTGGTATATGTAAGCTGGTATTTTTGTATTTTTAACTTGTATTTCTCTAATTACAAATGAGGTTGAGCATTTTTTTTAAAATATATTTATTGGTTTTATATATATATACACACATATATATATATTCAGATTTTCTCTTCAGCAAAGAGTCTGTATAAAAAGTCTTTTGCCCATTTTCTTCTATTGGACGATACTTTTTCATTGATGTTTAGGATTTCTTTTTCTTTTTTTTTTTTTTTTTGAGTCAGGGTCTTGCACTGTTGCCCAGGCTGGAGTGCAGTGATGTGATCATTAGCTCACTGCAGCCTTGAAATCCTGGCCTTAGGTGATCCTCCCACCTCAGCCTCCCAAGTAGCTGGGACTATAGGCATGCACCACCATACCCAGCTAAGTTTTATTTTTTATTTTTTATTTTTATTTATTTATTTTTATTTATTTATTTTTTAAGATGGAGTATCACTCTGTCCCCCAGGCTGGAGTGCAATAACACGATCTCGGCTCACTGCAACCTCTGCCTCCCAGGTTCAAGCAATTCTCCTGCCTCAGCCTCCCAAGTAGCTGGGATTACAGGCGTGCACTAGCACGCCTGGCTAATTTTTATATTTTTAGTAGAGACAGGGTTTTGCCATGTTGGCCACACTGGTCTCGAACTCCTGACCTCAAGTGATCCACCCGCCTCGGCCTCCCAAAGTGCTGGGATTACAGGCGTGAGCCACCACATCTGGCTATTTTTGCAGAGACGGGAACTCGCTGTGTTGCCCAGGTTGGTCTCAAACTCCTCGCCTCCAGCAGTTCTCCTACTTTGGCCTCCCAAAGTACTGGGACCACAGGCAAGAGGCACTGTGCCCAGCTGGGATTTCTTTATGTAGTCTAGAGTCAATTATATGTGAAGCAAGTGTCTCTTCCCAGTTTGCAGCTTGTTAACCTCTCTGGTTAGAAGTTTTGTTCTTTTGTTTAGAACTTTGTATATTTTTGTGATTTGTTTAAGAAGTATGTCCTCCCTACCTTGTGGTTAGAAAGGTTTTCCTCCCATATTGTCCTAAAGTTTTTCTAGTTTTTCCTTAGCCAGGTAAATATTTAATATATCTGAAATTGATTTGTAAACATGGTAGGTAGGGGTTAAATTTCATTGTTTTATCTGTGTATAAGCAACTGTTCCAGAAAACTTTATTGAAAGTCTGTCTTTCCTATTGGTCTTCAATGCCTCTGTTATGAATCAGATTTCTAAGTATGTGTGAATTGGTATCCAGCCCTCTACTTGGCAACTTTTTGTATTAGTTATCTGTTGCTGTGTAACAAATTACTTCAAAACTTAGAAACTTAAAACAACAAACATTTATTACCTCACAGTTTCTGTGGGTCAGAAATCTAGGTGCAGCTTCTCTGGGTGCCCGTGGCACAGTACTGCTCCTTCGGCTGCAGTCAGGCTGGCAGCCGGGGATGTGGCCTTAGCTGAAGGCCCAACTGGGGAGGATCTGCTTCTAAGCTCACTTTTATGGTGATGGCAGGATTCAGTTTCTCATGGGTTGTTGCTTTAAGGTCTTAGTCCTTGGCTGGCTATTGGTCAGAGGCCTCCTTCCATTCCTTCTCCTGTGGACTTCTGCATAGTGCAGCTCACAGCATGGCAGCTGGCTTCCCTCAGAGCAAGCAAGCAAGCAGAGAGAGAGAGAGATGGAAGCTACAGTACTTTGTAACCTAATTTTGGAAGTGGCATCCATCATTTATGTTGAGCATTAGAAGCAAGTGAGTACATTCAGACCATAGCCAAGGGGAAGAGATTACATATGGGTGTGAATACCAGGAGGCGAGGCTCACTGGGGATCATCTTCAGGGCTGCCTACCATACTTTTATAGTAACATAAGTAATTAAGTTTTTTAATATTAATCTAATTTTAAGTGCCTTTCCATAGGATCATTATTTTTTACTTTTAAAAACTATATTCAAAATAGAAAGGGAGAATGGGCATGTCTTGGAACAGATTTTTGGAAGAAAGCATAATAGAACTTTGGGAGTGATAGGAAAATATGTAGAGATGTGATCTTTCTTCAGATGGTTGGGTTCAGTTTAGTGTAATTATAGTAAGTACAGTCATCTCTTGGTATCTGTGGGGGATTGGTTCCAGGACCCCCGATGGGTACCAAAATTCATGGATGTTCAAATTCCTTATATAAAATGACATAGTTTTACATATAAACTACCCACATTTTCCCATGTATTATCTCTAGATGACTTTTGATATCTAATACAATGCCTACACATCTCTTCAGATTCATGGATTCAACATAGTATTCAGTGTGTGACAAATTCAAGTTTTGCTTTTTGGAATTTTGTGGAATTTTTCCCCCCTGAGTGTTTTCTATTTGTGGTCAGTTGAACTTGTGGGTGTGGAACCCACAAATATGGAGGACCAATTGTATAAACCATGTAATTTTTCCTAACTAGTTTATCTGCATTTTCCAAGCTGCAAAACTATCATGGTGATATGTAGGAAACATTTTACATATTAGCTTCTCATTTATGAGATTCTTTGAGATAGAGAAAAGCACCTGCCGTCTCCTTTATTCGTTTTATGCAGTTTATAGAGCTCAGTGATGCTGAAACCGTATTTCCAGTGTCACTGAAAATGATACTAAGAACAGGATGAGAGGGTTGTATTGTAATAACAGCTAACATCACACATGTCTTCTTTTTCATTTAAAATACAAACCAAACATCTGCCAACACACTTTCATGGTTACCTAGTTGGAATGAAACCCTTAGGAACAATTATTTTGAGTTGAACTGATGACTTAAAGATGAAGTTTAATACACCCAATTGTTATGTTTGTGAACATCCTGGCTCAGTGCTTCCTGTGTGCGCTGCATGGAATGAGAATGGTTTCGGGTGTGAGAGACTATTGAAAAGATTTCTTCATCAGTAAAGCATCTTGACCCAATTCACCTTTTATTTCTTCAACTTTGCCACACCTGTGGGGCAGCTTTCATTCATACTGATGCTTATCTCCAGCCACTAATGAGGAATAGATGAGTTCAGGTTTCTACTACTATCATGAATGTTGGGATTACAGGCTTCATGGTTCTAAGTGTGCCTCTTGGTTCCTTTTTTATGTTAAAGCTCGTGCGTGCGTGCGTGTGTGTGTGTGTGTGTTTGCGAGCACATGTGCACTTGTCCATATATCTTAGGCTGATATTTAGTTAGCAGAAGAGACTTAAATGACAAGTTCTAGAATAATTTCCAAATTTCCAAACTTTGACCCAGTAAATAACTAACTTGTGTTTTCCTTATGTGCAGTTACTAAGAGAACCTTTTCTACGTACCTCTCTTTGGAGAAAAAAATTTAAACAATGAGGAAGCAGTAAAGATAAATGTATCTCCAGCTAAGGTGCCAGATCTCTGATAGCATACCTTCTTGGCAGGGCTTACTTTGTGGAATTGGAGAAGTTATGTATAAACAAATGCCAGCGCACCACTGTTGGCAAAGATTTCTATACTGTGTTATTAATTCTAGATCTGGTTCTTCTGTCCTACACCCTCCCCTTATTTTGGTAAATGTAACAAGCCAAAAATTAGGAAACTATTATAAGCTCATTTGAGTGAATATTTGTTACTAAGCCAAAGATTAAGACAGCTAAAAATGAAGGTATTCAGATAGAAGCCCACAGCTGGAGTGTCGAGAATGCATTACAAAGCCTGAGGGGCCACCTTTGCTCATTCCTTCTTATGAAGGTCTGATGCAGCAGTTCCTGTTAGGGATGCTTACCTTAGGAGGTGCTTCCTGAAGTTTATACTGGAGAGATTAAAATATAATTGTGGGCCAGGCACGGTGGCTCATACCTGTAATCCCAGCACTTTGGGAGGCCGAGGTGGGTGGATCACCTGAGGCCAGGAGTTCAAGACCAGCCCAGACAACATGGTGAAACCCCATTTCTACTAAAAATACAAAAATTAGCTGGGCGTGGTGGCACATGCCTGTAATCCCAGCTACTCGGGAGGCTGAAGCAGGAGAGTCACTTGAACCCGGGAGGCGGAGGTTGCAGTGAGCCAAGATCACACCACTGCACTCCAATCTAGGTGACAGAGCGAGACTCTATCTCAAAAAATAAAAATAAAATGTAATTGTGATAGAGATAGCTTATAATTTTGTATTCAATACCAGAATTTTTTTCATGGAGGGGAAACAAGGTCTTTCTCTGTCACCCAGGCTGGAGTGCAGTGGTGCCATCACAGCTCACTGCAGCCTCCACCTCCTGGGCTCAAGTGATCCTCCTACCTTAGCCTCCCGAGTAGCTGGGACTACAAGCACATGCCACAATACCCAGCTAATTTTGTATTTTTTGTAGAGAGGGGGTTTCGCCATGTTGCCCAGGTTAGTGTAGAAGTCCTGGGCTCCAGCAGTCCACCCACCTTGGCCTCCCAAAATGCTGGGATTACAGGTGTGAGCCACCATGCCCAGCCAATTTCAAGATTCTTTTCTATAGTATACTGTACTGCATAATGTATGTTTTAAGATTGTTTCCTTGCATTGGTCACATATTTGGTTTCAGTAGGTTTTCTGCAGAGCCCATATGTTCAGGCATGGTGGGGGGAAAAAAGCCTGTTCTAAACTCTAATTTATCCTGAGATCTGAGCTATCAAACAATTTTTTCTTCATCCCTGTTAGATTGCACTTCAAGCTCTTAACAGTGCCTCTGAGCCATGAGAAAAATTTACACATGAGAAATGTTTTGAAGCCATTAAAGTAAGTTCAGAGCTTAAGAGTTGCTTTCACATCTCTTGAGTCAGATGAAATGCGGGCTTACAGAGAGTAATAATTAGGTGATGGGCAGATGCCAAGCTTTGTTTTTTGATACGATTATCTCTGTCTTTCATTTGGCACCGTTCAAGTCTGCAGGTTGGGCATTCTGAAAGAGAGGGATCACTGAGACCACACAGGGGCACATCAGATCTGTTCCTTTGGTGGACGTCAAGGCAGAATTACTCAGAATATAATCTGAAATGCATTTGATCATACAGTAGATAGTTTAATAATTTATGTTCAGACTTATTAGCAAAGCCTTGTGTTTACTCTGCTGTCACCAAAATAAGATAAAAACCCACCCGTGATATTAAGATTAGACAGTTCGCATGTGTATGTATGTGTGTGTTCAAGTTTAAAATTTTTGTTCATGATTGTAATGACCTGATAGCAATTACACATTTGGGGTGAAAGGGGTAAGGGAAAAATGTCGCATGAATAATGTCTGATGTAGAATTTCTCATTCCCAGAATTGAAACAGAAAGGCTGACAGTATTGCGCTCTAATTGCGTGACTGTGTGACCGAGGTCTTATAATGGAAATGTTCTTCCAAAAGAAATGGAAAGGAGCGATTAATTCCAACTTCAATTTGTTGATCCTGTTACATTCCAGTGTACCTATAATGCTGATGGACTATGCATACAACATTGTTTTAACTGACTTCAAGATAAAATACTGGCATTTTTGGTTTGGAGATAATTGGGTACAGCTACTTATATGATATTAAAGAGCTCCCAATTTGGGGAATGTCTAGAAGAATAAAGGAGAAAGATAGCTTGGCACCCTTAATCCCCTGTATGTCCTGGTATCTGGTAATAACATGAAGCCCAGGGACAGGGTTGTCTTGTCAATTCAAGGAAGGGAGCTGGCATGTGGAATGTGATTGCAGGGCCCTGGTAACACCTGCAGGTGTCAGGGACAGAAGAACTCATTTGGAAGCTGCACCGCAAGATGGGAAGACAGGTGGCAACTCTCTTACAGGGATATCTTTTATTTGAGCAGAACCAGACCAACTGTTCCTCATTAAAACACATTTTGCAACGTGTTCTCATGTGAGCGCATCAAGTGTGTGTGCATGTGTGTGTTCAGAGCATACTCAGCGATGTGCCATCTACAGGTCACAATTACAAATTCGCAACGTGGCTCAGAACTGCAAGACAGGTAGCGTGAAATGTCTCTGCATAACATGCGGCTGACTTTTCTGGAATGGCCTCTGTAGGGAAACTCAAAATAACACCATTACCTCTGTGAGGTGCAGGGGCAAGTAAAATGGATAAAATCTATTTGGTGGGACTGTTGATCTTGATAGTCATTGTAATAACTATGCAGTGCCCTTGCTCTTTCTCATTTGTATGGAATTATCAATGTATCTCAGAAGTGTTGCTGTGGGGCTGTACTTAGTATGAGTAAAGCCAGGCCACTCATCTGCTTCACCATTTATACTATCAGAAATTTGGGCAAGTGACTTAAAGAGAGGGTTAACTCCTATTAGCTACTTCACTGAGTAGTCTGAAGGATTAGAGAGCACTTAGCGTCCTGCTGGGCACATGGTGAATGTTCTCTAAATACTCCTTCTACTTAGTATTTTCACATAGAGCCTATCCTCTGCCTTTCTCGCTGAATCCTTGTGCTTCTGGTTCTCCAGCCAGGTACCATATTACAACTTATCAATATTTTGTATGAGAAGGAAGAGGACTTGGAAGAAAGGCCTCTAAACAACATGACTTCCTTCCATTGGAAGCCCAAGCCCATCCAGCCCCCAAGAAGAGAATACTTGTAACTAGGTGAAGAAATGACTAAAGGAGGCAAAGGAATAAGTAGAAATGCAAATACCAGTTCAGAAAACATTAACTGATCATCTCTTGGGTGCCCTTTCCCTCGGAGTCTTGTCTCTTGGGGCCAAAAGACCTGTGAGGAGGACACATCTGAAGGCCCTGGAGGCCTGTTTCCTCCCCATTTTCTTAGGAAGCAGCTAGCTCAGCAAGTCTGTTAGCTCAGCAGAAGGAAAAGGCCTTAGCAGAGGCTCGGCCGTGGAGGTTTGCTGTCCTCTTCCCCCAGGAAACTTCACGGTCAGCCAGCCACACAGTCTCCTAGAGGCGCCCTATCCCTCTTTCCTTGTAAACGTGTAGAGCATCACACTTCTGTCAGAGTGTGTTCTCTTGGGCAGCTAGTTTAGCTCTGCCTGAACTGAGTACGCTTTCTGGTGGGATGCAAGCTTGGGGGCTCACATATGTCAGGAGTGGCAGGCACAGTCATGTCCCCCACCCAAAGATGTCCATATCCTAATCACCTGAACCTCCAACGATGTTACCTTACATGGCAAAAGGAACTCTGCAGATGTGATTAAGATAAGGATCTTGGAATGAGAGGATTATTCTGGGTTATCTAAGTGGGTTCAATGTAAATCACAAAGGTCCTGATAAAAATAACCCTATGATCACCTGAGGTCAAGAGTTTGAGACCAGCCTGACCAATATGGTGAAACCCCATCTCTACTAAAAATGCCAAAATTAGCCAGGCGTGGTGACACGCGCTACTCGGGAGGCTCAAACAGGAGAATTGCCTGAACCCAGGAGGTGGAGGTTGGAGTAAGCCGAGATTGCGCCACTGTACTCCAGCCTGGGTGACAGAGTGAGACTCTGTCTCAAAATAATAATAAACAATAACAATAATAATAATAGTAACCCTATGCTACTGGCTTTGAAAATGGAAAAAAAAGGGTCACAGGCCAAGAGATGTAGGCAAATTGTAGAACCTGGAAAGGGCAAGGAATCAGATTCTTCCCTGGAGCCTCCAGAAGAATGCCTCCCAGCCAACACCTTGACATAGAACTTCTGACCTCCAGAATTGAAAGAGAATAAATGCATATTGCTTCATGCCCTAGGTTTGTGGTGTTTTGTTAAAGTAGCAATAGAGAACTCACATAACATGCTGTTTCTCTGCTGGTAAGGTTTTTCCCTAGTAACCCTATTTCATATTTATACTATGTAGTATTGGTGATGTATGACTCCTTGTCCCATTTACTTGTCAGTCTAATAAGAAATGTAAGAATAGGTAAATGGCAGTTCATATGGAAGGGATATTTGCTCCTATATAAAATGTGAATATATGGTAGTAAGTAACAGGTAGCAATGGCAGTATGCATTCAGCTAACACTGGCCCCTCCTAGGTACCAGGTCCTGGGCATCTATTGGAGAGAAAGGCCACCCCTGCTCAGAAGGAGCACGCTTAGGGTGATGCAGGAGCCAGGATCCAGCAGGGTGCTCACCACTGTTGACACGCGCCATGAGGAGGGCCAGCTGACAAGACGAGCAGGCCCACACGGGGTGGGCAGTGGTTGAGAGAGGTTTTCCTAAAGCAAGTCCTGTCTTAGTTGAGGCCTGAGCAAGCAGTAAGTAGAGGAGGCAGGGGCGGGTGATGGTTTTAGTTCGGAGCTTTCCAGGAGGTGCACTCCACCGGCTTTACCATCTCAGAGCCCGGGGAGTAAGAGGTGCTGACTTCACAATGGACGTAGCTTCTTCCTCATGGGTTAGTGAGGAGGTGCAAGGCAGGACGCTGTCATCTCAGTGTTGGTAGTAAGTGCTGTGGGAGGCTCTGGCCTTCTCTGTTTTTCAAGCTACACTCCTGTGACGTCACCGTCACAGCAGCCCTTATTGTGAACCTTCTGTATTCCAGGCACTCTGCCCGGCTGTGGGCACATTACTTCTATTCCTTCTGATAACTTCCTAAGGTAGATGGCTTTCCTTCTTCACAGAAAGGATAGCCAGGCTTAGAGAGTTTAAACTACCTGCCTAAGATCACATGGCTGTCTGAACCTGCGTTCAGTTTGGTCTGCCACAATTCAAAACCCATGCTCATTCATTATAGTGTGTGCCTCTTAATGGTATACATAAGGAACAAAAATAGCACGGGTCAATTCTATTTTAGAAGCAAATAAAATAATGACTTTGTAATTTACAAAAAGAATTTCTGAGGACGTTTGCGTTTTTCATTAGAACCACAGAATACCATGGAATAAGTTAATCTGAATTGACATTTAAATGTTCAGAACACTTAATCTATATATATCTAATTTAATCCTCATAAAAACCCTATGATGCACAAATACTAGCAGTATCTCCATTTTACAGGTGAGGAAATGGAGGCAAAAAGAGGATAAAATTTGCCTGAGAATCCTCAGATGGAGCTGGGATTAGAGCCCAGAGCTCGAGGACTTACTGCTCCTAGAACCGGTTCCATCTGTGCCTTGTGGCGTGAAACATGCTCAAGTTAAAAGCATCTCTTTCCTTTCCCCAACAATACGTGCACAACTGCTAAAGACGAAGGAAATAGAGATAGACTGTTGTTATCATCCCAACTGTCTGTATTTATCTTTAACTGATTGAAATCTGATCCCTAAAGTTTCTGAACATGAAAGTTTTTTTTTTTTTTTTTTGAAATTTTGGTATCCATACTTGGTTCTGCTTTAACAGATTGATTACTTTGATAGGATTTGATAAGCTACACTTTTGAAAATTAGTAGATTATTTTTAAGAGTTAGCAAGTAAGTAGATTTAGAAATTAATCAAGGGAGCAGTGAGATTTACAAGGGAAGACAAACCCATGTTAATCAAAGTTAACACAGAATGCACGATGGGAATTTTAGTGCGCCCCTTAGTCTTTATTATAACAGGATAAATAACTCCATTTAACAGATAAATAACGCCTTTTGCGTAAGCAAAGGTCATATCCTGCCTTGTTTCAAATTTCTGTTTTTAAAAAAGCATTTCTGAGTAGAATTTGAGTTCTTAAAAATTGTCTGAGTTGATGTTCCAGCTTGTTTTTTTTGTTGTTGCTGTTTTTGTTTTGTTTTGTTTTGTTTTTGAGATGGAGTCTCACTCTGTCACCCAGGCTGGAGTGCAGTGGCGCGATCTCGGCTCACTGCAAGCTTCGCCTCCTGGGTTCACACCATTCTCCTGCCTCAGCCTCCCGAGTAGCTGGGACTACAGGCTCCCGCCACCACGCCTGGCTCATTTTTTGTATTTTTAATAGAGACGGGGTTTCACCGTGTTAGCCAGGATGGTCTCATCTCCTGACCTCGTGATCCGCCTCGGCCTCCCAAAGTGCTGGGATTGTAGGCGTGAGCCACCGCACCCAGCCCCAGTTTGTTTTAATAAGCAATAACATTATTCGAATTTGGTGTATGATACTTTGAGCGATGCAGATATGTATTGAATTTCAGGAATTGACAATCTTGATAAGGTTTTAAAGGTTTAGGGAAGGTCTGAGCCTCTGTTTACTTTCTAGAACTACGCTTGTCGTGTGTGTGTCGACTTTTTCTATCGGCTGTTTATAATCACTTCGCCTATAAGCACTTTTTATTACATTATTTTCTATTCATGATCCCTGCTTTCAACTGGTATGGTTGTACATTTACATGTTTGAGCATCTTGGACTTTATAAGATCTCATATTTCCCATATTTCTAAACTACTTTTTCTTAAGTATCTCAGTGGTAGTGACAATTGAAATGTGCAAAGCTAGCTAGCTACTGATTATTAATTACTCTGTCATCTGAGAAACTTTAAAAATATTATGTTTAAAAATAGTATCATCAAAATCCTTTTATCAAGATCTTGATTTGGTAAAAGGTGAAAATAATAAAAGGGCACAGCACAATAGAGACAGGATGCATTTACCCTCTCCTGCTCCGCGGTCACGCTCCCGCCTTGATCCTCAAGAGAGTGGCAAATCTTGTGGCTGCATATGCATGCTTCTGCTTCTCTGCAGGATGCAGGGTGCAGACTTGTCCAGCAGGCACAGGAGGAAAGCTCAGCACCAAAATACCTTTATGAATCAGTTATGTTCAAATATGTTAAACATCTGAGGGGTGGAGAGAAAAAAAGGATGCCCGAGGAAGAATGACTAAACTTAACATGACCACAAATAATCCTCTCCGGTAGTTCAGTAGGTAACTTTATTTTGAACAAAATTTTATGGCAGATGAGTTGAAAGGAGAAGAAATTTTCTGAAATTGTCATCAGAAGTCAAAGAGTTTTGCTTTTATTTTAACCCAGGCCAAGAAGGCGCAGTACCTGCACTGCTTCATGAAACAAAAAACAAAACGTGTTATCAACCCAACTAAATGCTTAAGATTTTAAGACTCACCTAGTCCTTCCCCAGGTCAGCCTGACACCTGGCCTGGCACCACTAATCATGGCACAGGTTCAGAACCAAGGTCAAGCATTCTGAACTGGGGATAGGGAAAAGGGTGGATTTTCCCTGAAGCTCGTGTAGCCAGTTTCGGGGTCTCTCAATTTGAGGGGCCCCTTCCAAGACCCTGTACCTAATTTTGTATTCATTATTTTTTTCTTAAAGAGAAGGCTTCAGGACCCACAAAATCTGGGTCCACTCCTGGGTGAAGGTATCTGTGAACCTCCTGAAGACAAGAGTGTGAGCGAGGCTGTGTGGATATGTAAATGTGCTTCCATATTTTTCTGGAAGGGTCTGTGTAGTCTTCTCAAAGCCATCTATGACTTACAAAGGTTAAAGAACTCAGGCCTCGGAGAAATTAATCAACCTCTTAATTCTGGTCTTATAACACCACACTTATAAAGTGATGGTTTAATTGCTAGAGGCAACAATTTGTGACTCAAGTAGAATAGCTTCCTGAATGTATCACAGGACACATTGATCACCAGAGACATAGATGAGAATGTTCTTGATGGTTGCTCATCTCATTGGAATACACACTCTCATATTATTCACTCGATCAGTCATTCATTCATTCATTCCTAAACACTTACTGAGTACCTGCTCTGTGACTGCAGCCTGCTAGGTTCCAAGATTTCAGAGATGAATTAGGCAGACTCGCTGCTTTTGAGGAACTCACATAGTTCCTATCAATCAATTCAGCTGAAGGACTCTGCATTCTTTCTCCAGGTTCCCACATATATGTGAGTGCTGTCCTTGAGATCTTGAGGCTATTTTAAATAGAAATGGAAGCTCTTCAGCATAAACCTCACTCCAAAATATTACGCAAAAAGCCACCCTCATAAGAGAGCTGTCTCCTGGGGATGGGGACAGGTCTTCGTGCACCACTGAGCTCCAGCTCTTGCCTCCCCCTGCCATGGGAAGGATGGTCCCATTCTGTCCAGCTGTGTGCCTCCTTACGAAGGACTCAGAGTGCAGGGAGACCAGCAGGATATCGGCCCGGATACCTGAGGAGTGCAGCAGTAAATAATGCTTCCACTGTCATTATGGTTGAGAGACTTTTCCTTGTGGCTAACAGCTGTGTTAATTCTGCTGTTAGCCTTCTACAGACAGAGCAAGAATTCTTCCCACACAATCACATATAAATAGGAGCCTGTGGAAACTGGGCTGTAGAAGTTGTTTTCATTTCCCCATTCCTATTCTTTGTGTCTTGCATTACCCAATCCTTTGAATTCAAATCCTATTGATTCTACATCAAAAGTCTGTTGTTCCCTCTGCCGTCATCCTGATAGAGGTCCTCATTATCTCCCATTTCATCTGTTGCTACAACTTACCACTGGATTTTCTACCCCATTCTCCTGCCTCCCTTCAGTCCACCCCACACATTCCTGTTCCTGTTACCTTCTGCAAAGCACCATTCCAGTGTCTCTCCTGTGCATGCTGAGATGCAGCTTCCCAAACAGAAGCCAAAGAGGTACCAGGAGGTTGCTAGAGCGCTTGGAAGGGAAGACTGAGCAAAGTACCATGGTTGTTCAAAGATACTTTGTGCTTCTGTGGATTTCCTGTCCTGTCCTGCACCGCCTCTGGGCTGCCCCTCCGCCCTAGCATTTTTCCTTCCATCTAGCATTTCTCATCTGCTCCTTCCACACCCCTCCTTCCATCTCTCAAAATGTTATTCAGGTTTCAACAGGGGAGTCCCATGTTATTGGGGGAGGCACCGATTCTGAAGCAGGTACACGAGGTGAAAATATCATCAATTGTGCTTCGAAACTAGAGCCACCCTGACAATAGCCAGGTGCTCCTCTCTCCGCTTCCCTGGACACCAGCTAAGAAGCCGGTGAACAGAAACCACTGAGAAAAGCTGCACAGTCAGGTCCCCAGCTTCTCAGCTCTGCCCAAGCAGGGTTTCCCAACCTGTTCTCTATCTGGCATGAAGAGAAAATGATGATAGTATTTGTATGGCACACAAGGTACTTTGAGGGGACTGAGTGTGGGGTTATGTGGGGTGGGTCACTCTTGGCGCAGCCCTCCTGTGGCAGCAGACCAGCTGGGAATCTTTGTCCTAGGGATGTGTTTGCTGAATCATGGCTTCCATGGTTGTTGGTTGGTTTGTTTGTTTTTGAGACAGGGTCTCACTCTGTTGCCCAGGCTGGAGTGCAGCAGCGCAATCTTGGCTCACTGTAGCCTTCACCTTCCAGGTTCCAGCAATTCTCCTGCCTCAGCCTCCAGAGTAGCTGGGACTACCGGCACCTGCCACCACACCCAGCTAATTTTTATATTTTTAGTGGAGACGGGGTTTCACCATGTTGGCCAGGCTGGTCTCAAACCTCTGACCTCAAGTGATCAGCCCGCCTTGGCCTCCCAAAGTGCTGGGATTACAGGCGTGAGCCACCACACCTGGCCCATGGTGTTTCTTTGTCATTCTTCCATTGCTGAGAAGATATGGTTGCATCTCTCTAAGAGTTAAATATGTCTGTGGTATGACTCCACTTTACACAGATTCTACCCTTCATGAATTCTGCCTTGATTTTCTATAAACACGGCCCGTCTTTCTCATACAGTTTATGTGTAGTCTGGAGTCATGAACTTGGCCTGGCCCTTCAAGGAAAGGAACTGACTCATTCATACCTACCTTGGGGCCACCTGGCCCATGGTGGGTGTTCAAACGTGTCTCTGTTGAAGGAGTACATAAAAGGCGGCACCTTCTGGAACCCATTGCTTGATTGATATCACAACAGGGCTTTCTCTGCATCTAAAAATAATTTTTTCCTCTGTTTCTCTCTTTATAGGACTTCAGAAATGGGCTTGGGAACCAGCTGAGTTCAGGATCCCACACCTCTGCTGCATCTCAGTGTGACTCAGCGAGTTCCAGAATGGTGCTGCCCATGCCAAGGCTACATCAAGACTGTGCGCTGAGGATGTCCGTGGGCTTGGCTCTGCTGGGTCTTCTTTTTGCTTTTTTTGTCAAGGTCTATAATTAGAATACAACTAATGGAAACATCTATAAAGAAGAATACATTTCTAATTAAAATCTTCAATGAACAGGAAAGCGACATCTCCATTCTCCAAGGGCAATAATTTGTACTGGTCATGCTGCCTCCTTCTCAGCCACTCTTCTTAATGAGGCTCCCCCTGTCTCACATTGAGTTGGGCCCATTGGTTATTTGACCTAAAACCTAATCACCGCTACCATAGCACATCCTTCAAATTAAACTGCTTTTGGTTTACTTTTAGCAAGAAATGCAAGCGGTTGCATTTTTTTCTGTTTGTTTCAATCTCTAATCTTTAAGTCAGAACCTAATTGTACAGTGGCTCTGGCCATCTTTTCCTCATGTGGAAGAATTTTCTATCTTTAATAAACTTTTTCTTTGTTTTTTTTTTCCAGATGGAGTTTCGCTCTTGTCCCCCAGGCTGGAGTGGTGCAGTGGCACGATCTCAGGTCACTGCAACCTCTGCCTCCTGGGTTCAAACGATTCTCCTGCCTCAGCCTCCCAAGTAGCTGGGATTACAGGCATGCGCCACCAAGCCCAGACAATTTTTTTGTGTTTTCAGTAGAGACGGAGTTTCACCATGTTGGCCAGGCTAGTCTCGAACTCCTGACCTCAAGTGATCCGCCCGCCTCGGCCTCCCAAAGTGCTAGGATTACAGGCGTGAGCCACTGCGCCCGGCCTCTTTAATAAATATTTTTAAGTGCATCTTCCCCTTCAGGCTTTGTTTGGAGTCCCAGTGCTACAAACATTGTATTTTTCACAGCAGATGTGTTCCTGAAAAGTGTATAGAAACCTGTTCTGGGAACCTGAATGCTTTTGGAATGCACGGGGAGAGTCTGCCAGCTAAAGGACTCCTGGCAACATTCTGTGAAATATGAAACTGGAAAACTGGATTTGTCGAAAACTAATTGTGCCCATTTTCTCACATTTTTGATCCATTGGGGTTTTTTTTTTGTTTTTGTTTTTTTTTTTTTTTGAGTCAAGGTCTCACTCTGTCACCCTGGCTGGAGTGCAATGGCACTATCTTGGCTCACTGCAGCCTTGACCTCCTGGACTCAAGCAGTCCTCCTACCTCAGCCTCCCTAATAGCCAGGGGCTACAGGCATATACCACCATGCCCAACTAATTTTTTAATTTTTTGTAGAGATGAGTGTCACTATGTTGCCCAGGCTTGCCTGGAACTCCTAGCCTCAAGCAGTCTTCTTGCCTCAGCCTCCCAAAGTGCTGGGATTACAGGCGTGAGCCACTCCACCCAGCCCAGATTAAATGTTTTTATTTCTACCTGCCATCATTGGTCTTTACTAAGTGAAGTGACTTCTTTCTTTAACAATAAATAGAATTGGTATACTAAGCAAATCCTATGTTTTTGAGAATTTATTTGGATTGCATAGGTACAGGAAAACCAGGTACCGTGTAGTTACCATAGGATATTTTCCATCTCGAAACCCATACCCCTCTTCAGCTCTTACATTTAACTCAAAATGTTTGTGTTTTGTGTGTCTTTTAAGGAACCCAAATTAAAATTCAGTCATGTCCTAGTTGGTAAATTATAAAATATATATGCTTTTAGTGTTAGTACATTTCTCCTGGAACTGGTATGTGCTTCTAAGAGGTGCTCACATTTAGAATGCAAAAATCCTCCTGTGCTGCTTCTAGTCCTGCAGTGAAACATCCACTTGGGAGCACCCCTCACTTCTTAGCAGGAATGAGAAGAGGACAAGAACCTACCATGTGCCTCCCTTCTTGAGCTCTACGCAGTCATTTCTTTGTTAATAAACAGTGGGTTCCAGTGTGGTGCTCATTTAACAAAAACCTAGCAGAGATAAAAATGCCATCCAAAGCCTAGAGTTGCACTAGATCAGACATAGAGAAAGCTTTACACCTGTAACTGATTGGAGACAAAAAGGATTTTTTCTACCTCCCTTTTCTCTTTCCCTACTCTTTTCCTCACTCCCTCATCTGTTTATTTCCTCCCTTCTAGCTCTATGCTGTCCTCGCCTTTTTTCATTTTTTTCTTCCTGTAAGAGAATGATACACCCAGTCATCCAAATTCCCCCCCTGCTGCTCTCACCTACCATGGCAGGGATCCTCAAGGATCGTTTCAGCTGTACAGGATTCTCCCTACTTCCTGCTGTGACTGTTATTTACCCTCAATTTGGCTGCAGCTTCACTCTGCCGTTTGACCCAGAAAGGGACCGAGGTCACTGCCCGCAGCAGACGCTGGACCTTCATGAAATCAGTCTCCATACTGGCGACCAATTGGTGAGAGGGGTAGCAGTGTTCTGGAAATCCAGGGTTTTTCTTCCCCCTGTGACCTCCATCTCTAGGGAGGGGGAGGGAGAGAGCAGAGAAGGATGCAGTGCAAGTTAAAAACAGTTTTCTTAAGCCCTGGACTCTGAATGGGGCTGAGTCTGGGAACCACGGGAGCAAGTGTGATCATGAGTAGAGCTGTTACTTTTCCAGCCTGTCTCCTTCCTGCCCACAGTGCAACTGCGCTTCTCCCGCCCCGCTGAAGTTAGGCACGAAATGTGAAATGTGAGCGGAAGGGTCACGTCCTTCTTCGGGGCAGACATGTTCAGAGCTGGTGTACGGTTTACTGTGTGCTCTTCCCACTGCTGTGGTGATCCTGGACCCATATGTCAGAATGACGCCTCCCCGACCCTGGGTCCCTGAGTTAGTACAGTTGAGTAGGGCTCCTGGCCAGCATGTGCTACATAGGCATCAGGAACCAGAAATATATTGTGGTTGTGTTAAGCCACCGGCATCTGGGGGTCGTAGCCGTAGCATTCGTAACCTGATTTATACGAAGTGTCAGCCGTGATAGGATGCTTGACCCGCAGATTGTAAATGTAATTGTTATGTTTTCTTTGTATGCTTTTGTATGCTTTGCATTAGTATCAAGGGGTGTGTGTGTGTGTGTGTGTGTGTGTGTGTGTGTGTGTACTTCTCTGCTGAGAAGGAAACCTATGAAGTGATCTTTTCAATGCTTTGGCCAATTTTTTTCTTAAACTCTTTACTAGAATAAAACATACATATGAAATGGACATAAATCATAGGGATACAGGGATTTTTAAAAACTGAGCAAGCATTGTAGCCAGCACCAGGAGGCTCCCCATGTACCCTCCTAGCCATTAAGTCTGCCCCGCAAGGAGTAACCAGTATCCTTATTTCTAACATTACAGATTGATTTGCCTGATTCTAAACTTTCTATAAGTGGAATCATGTAGTATGCACTATTTCATGTCTACCTTCTTTTGTTCTACAGTGATTGTGAGACACATCCAGATTATTGTGTGAGCAGTAATTACTTCACGTTCATTGCTGAATAGTATTTCAGTGTATGAGTACACCACATTGTTCATTCTACATTTGAGTTCTTTCCAATTTTTTGTCTATTATGAATAATGCTGCTATAAACACGTTTTGTTAAGTGTTTATGTGATGATGTGAGGAGTACATGTCTAGGGGTGGAATTGCTGGGTCATAGCATTTGCATATGTTCAGCTTAGATACTGCTAAATGGTTTTCTGAAGTGGTTGTACCAATTTACATCCCCACCAGCAGTTGACATGAATTCTGTCATTCTCCCACTATTTTTTCTCTTTGGACCTTAGATATTCTTCAGCAGACCTTGTCTCTGCTGTCTCCCTTCCACAAGTCATTCCTATTTTAATAGTAATGATAATATTGACAACCATTAACTGTCTAGTCCTTAAATGAAATGCACTGGATGTTATACTTTGCACTTAACAGGTGTTAATCAGTCCTGAAGAAAAAATTTTGAGATACGTATTGTGATTCCCATCATACTGAGAAGAAAATCTAAAACTCAAAAGACTAAGTAACTTGTGCAAGAGGCACAGAGCTCTTAAGTTTAGAGGCAGGACTGGTACACAGCCTGACTCCAAAGCATATACTCCTCTTCTGTAAACTCCTCCTGCTCCTCTGTCCCATCTTTGACTTAAACTTGACCTGTGCCAACAGATACACATTTAGGATCAATCCTGTGGATGCCTGAGCTTGGGGGCCTTCAGCCTTTCAGTCTGTGTTGTCCTGCTCCAAGAATGTGCATGGTACTTGATATACTTTTTAAATAAAGATTTACTAATCAAGCTTTTTTCTTTGCCCTGCCCCCTCCTTCCTTCCTTCTTTCTTTCCCTCCTTTCTATTGTCCCTGCTTCATCTTATCATCCCTGCTTCCTTTCTTATCATCCCAGCATGAGATAGTCAGTTTGAGAATGTAAAGAATTCTTGGGTTAAAACTTTGCTTTGTTGCTGGGAAAATGTGTCTAAACATCAGATTTCCATATGTCATTCAGTCAAAACATATACTACTTCTACTGACTTCACTCCAGGTTGAAAATTTCAGTGTATATTGTAAGATGTCATGGAGGGAGAATTAGAGTTACAAATCAAGCTTCAAGAGGGTTTGTCATCATAAAACAAACATAGGAAAAAAATGAAGAGAGAGAGGGAGGGAAGAGAAGAAAGGAGGGGAGAGAAAAGGAAGAAAAAGAAAAGGAGAAAAGATATTCTTAAGGCTTGCAGCAACAACAAAAAAGGTAATCATATGAGATGATGGGTATGGTAATTCACTTGACTGTAGCCACCATTTTGCTGTGTATATGTGTATCAATACATGTTCACCTTAAATACTCACAATAAAAAATGAATATGTACGTTTTCTAAAAGGTTTGCTGGTCCCCCCAGGCACCCCAGGATGCTGTGGCACATTCACAGGAGCACCCTGGGATTCCTTAAATTTTTGGAGGGAACACAGCAACATCTGTCAGATACCAGGCCAACTACCAGCTCAAAATAGTTCACAGTTTTCAACGTTAGATTTCACAAATTTTGATGACACCATGTCTTTATAAAACTGGATTTTCAGCAATTGCTGTGATAAAAAGCAAGTATCAAGTGAAAATCAATGTGGAACAAGAAGTGAAAATTGTGATCATAGTCCAAGGTTTGAGAAGGGGTGCTGTACCCAACAGATGCACAGCTGCCATTAATAAGTAAAATTAATATGAAATAAAATATTAATATTTTTATCTAAGTTACATGTATTATTTTTTCAAACGGTTCTCATAAGATAGTAGGATATAAATGCTTATTCAGTTGTCAGGATTACCTATTTAAACAGAAGGTTAGCTGCTGCTTTTGGCCTAGGGGTACAAACAATCAAGAAAGTTTGAAAACCTCTGCTCTATGATACAACCTAATTTAAAGGATCCATGTCAAACTTATAATCTGGAGTCCTAATCCCTTCTCAAAATATTTTCCCCTTACTTTAAAGTTAGATTATCCATAGCATGTGTTTGATAAATTTACACTGGACTTGCCGTTGAGTTTGATTTTTATGATGTTGAAACTGTAAAGGAGTTAACAATCAGAATCACTTGGATTCAGCTCTCAGTTGTTTCCAATACAAATTTGAGGCAGAAAATATAAGGAAAGACCATGAGATTTTTGACATCAGCAAAACTTTAAATTCCAGCCAGACCACTTTTTCTTTTTGAGCCACATCTCTAAAACAGGAACAAGATTCCATTGTGGGTCATTGAAAGATAAGTGAACTCATGCATATAAAATACTGTATTCTTGACACATGACATTTCCTCCTCTTTTTTGATTACTGTAGCCACTTAAAGGTGAAAAATACCTTTATAAATAAAGTTAGGTGTTTTAAATTCTGATATCAACACATGACCACCCAAAAGATTTATATATGGAATAAAAAGATTCCTACCTTGAGAGAGATAGAGTCTGATTCTAACAAATGCAGCAAAGGAAGAAAAATTCAAAGGCAATGGACTGCAGCTGTATTTGAGGAGATCAAATTAATGAATAGTGTGGAGCACAGATTTGGGTGGCCAATCTAAGATCAAGAAGGAGATTTTCCATGGCCAAAGATGAAAAGAGCAACCAGATTAATAGGGAGGCCTAGAAGTCATGCCCTCCCCCATCCTGCTTTGAGACTAAAAGGAAATGCAGACACTATTATTCTTGATTAGTTTTCTGTCAATTATTTTCTCCCAGTACTGTTTCCTAGAGTTCTATAGCCAAAATATCTCAACGGTGTAGAAGCTGAAGCAAAGGATGTCACTTGGTGTCTCATGATCTTCCTAGCTTCTGGGTATCTGAATACATTTCTGAGCACTAATGATGCAAGTTCTCAGGAAAAAAAAAAGCAGGGGGATGGAGGAGAACAACCTTGGGTCAAGGTAAAGGAAAACTTGGAGTTCAGAAAAACCTAAAGAAGTATGAGTTTTTAACTCCGAGGTTTATCTAATCTGCTTTTAATATGCCCAATTAATCACAAACCAATAGATGTTATACTAGACAGTCTGATTCCAAAGCCCAATGCCTGCTTTCACCACTGCTGTTTACATTGTACTGGGAGTTCTAGTGAGAACTATTAGACAACAAAAAGAAGTAAAGGGCATCAAATTGGAAAGGAGTAGGTAACACTATCTCTATTTGCAGATTACATGATCATATGTATAAAGCATCCCAAAGAAACCACAGGAAAGCAACTAGAGCTAATAAATGAATTTAGCAAAGTTACAGACTATAAGACCAATGCAAAAAAAGAAATTCATTTGTGTTTTTTTACACTAGCAATGAACAATCCGAAAAGGAAATTGAGAAAGCAGTTCCATCTACAATAGCAGCTAAACAAATTAAACACTTAGGAATATATCTAACTAAGGGGGTAAAAGATTTGTATGCTGAAAACTAAAAATCATTGCTGAAAGAAATTTATGAATATCTGAAAAATGGAAAGGTATCGTATGTTCATTAATAGGAAAACTTAGCATTAAGATGTTAATACTACCCAAAGTGAGCTACAGATTAAACACACTCTCTATCAAAATTCTAACAGCCTGTTTTACCAAAATGGAAAAGCCAACCCTCAAACTCATATGGAATCACAGGCAACCCCAAATAGCTAAAACAATCTCTAAAAAGTAGACTAAAACTGGAGGACTCATGTTTTCCAACTTCAAAACTTCCAACAAAGCTACAGTAACTACAACTGTGATACCTGCTTAAGGACAGACAGAGACCAAAGGACTAGAGTAGAAAGCCCAGAAATAAATTCTCACATATGTAATCAATTGATTTTCAACAAGGGCGCCAACACCATTAAATAGAGAAAGGACAGTATTTTCAACAAATGCTGTGGGGAAAACTGGATATCCATGTGCAAAAGAATAAAGTTGGACTTCACCTTATACCATGTACAAAAATTACCTCAAAATGGATCAAATACTTAAACTTGAGTTAAAATTATAAAACTCATAGAAGAAAACATTAGGGAAAATCTTCATGACATTGGATTTGGCAATGATGTCATAAATATGACACCAAAAGTACAGGTAACAAAAAAATGGACTTCATCAAAATTAATAACTTTTGTGCATCAAAGAACGTTATCAAGAAGGCAAAAGACAACCTACAGAATGGGCGAAAATGTAAATCATATATCTGAGAAGGGATTAACATCCAAGGTAATTCCTACAACTCAACAACAACTACAACAAATCACAAACACCCTAATTCAAAAATAAGTAAAGGATTTGAATAGATATTTTTCCAAAGAAGATATACAAATGGCTAATAAACACATAAAAAGATGCTCAACATCATTCATCACTGGGGAATTGCAAATTAAAATTATGAGATATTATCTCACCCATTAGGAGACTGCTATTTAAAAAAATAGAAAATGGTAGCTCTGTTTAAGTTCTTTGAGAAATCTCCAAACTGTTTTCCACAATGGCTGAACTAATTTACATACCCACCAACCAGAGTATAAGTTTTCTCTATGTTCTTTGCAGTCTTGCCAGCATCTGTTGTTTTTTTTTGACTTTTTAATAATACCTATTCTGACTGGTATGAGATGGTATTTCACTGTGGTTTTGATTTCTCTGACAGTGATGAGCATTTTCTCATGTGTTTGTTGGTCTCTTGTGTGTCTTTTTTTGAGAAGTGTCTGTTCATGTACTTTGCCCATTTTTTAACAGTTTTGGGGTTTTGCCTGTTGATTTAAGTTCCTTATAGATTCTGAATATTAGACCTTTGTCAGAAATATAGTTTGCAAATATTTTTCTCCCATTCTGTAGGTTGTCTGTTTACTCTGTTGATAGTTTCTTTTGCTGTGCAGAAGCTCTTTAGTTTAATTAGGTCTCACTTGTCAATTTTTGTTTTTGTTGCAATTGCTTTTGAGGACTTAGCTAAAAATTCTTTGTCAAGGCCAATGTGAAGAAAAATATTTCCTAGGTTTTCTTCTAAGCTTTTTGTAGTTTGAGGTCTTACATTTAAATCTTTAATCTATCTTGAGTTCATTTTTGTGTATGGTGAAAGAGAGGGGTCCAGTTTCATTCTTCTGCATACGGTTAGCCAGTTATCCCAGCCGAATTTATTAAAAAGAGATTCATTTCCCCAATGTTTGTTTTTATCTGCTTTGTCAAAGATCAGATGGTTGTAAGTGGGTGGCTTTATTTCTGAATTTTCTGTTCCATTGGTCTACGTGTCTGTTTTTGAACTAGTACCATGTTGTTTTGATTACCGTAGCCTTGTAATATAGTTTGAAGTCAGGTAGTGTGATGCCTCTAGCTTTGTTCTTTTCACTTAGGATTGCTTTGGCTATTTGGGCTCCTTTCTGTTTTCATACGAATTTGAGTATATATACCCAAAGGAAAATAAATCATTCTACCAAAAAGACACATGCACTTGCATGTTCACCATGCTATTCACAATAGCAAAGACATGAAATCAACCTAGGTGCACATCAGTGGTGAACTGGATAAAGAGCATGTGGTACATATACACCATGGAATACTACATAGCCATAAAAAGAAACGAAATCATATCCTTTGCAGCAAATAGATTGCAGCTGGAGGCCACAATCCTAAATGAATTAATGCAGGAACCCAGAAAACTAAATACCACATGTTCTCACTTATAAGTGGGAGCTAAACATTGAGCACACATGGACATAAATATGGGAAGAATAAATACTTCAGACTACTACGGGGGAAGGGAGGGAAGGGTCATGAGTTGAAAAATTACCTATTGGGTACTAGGCTCACTACCTGGGTGACAGGATCCATACCCCAAACCTCAGCATCATGCAATATACCCATGTTACAAACCAGCACATGTACCCCTTATATCTAAAATAAATTTTGAATTAAAAAAAAAACAAAATAACAAATGCTAGTGAAGATGTAGAGAAGTTGAAACCCTTAAACATTTTCTGTGGAAACGTAAAATGATGCAACCACTGTGGAAAATAGTGGTGCCTCAAAATTTAAATCGAGAACTACCATATGACCCAGATATTCCACTCCTAACTATATATCCAATGGAATTAAAAGCTTTAACTCAAACCGATGTCTGTTTACCAATGTTTATAGCAACATTATTCACAATAGCCAAAAGGTGGGAACAACCCAACAGTCCATTGACAGATGAACGCATAAACAAAATGTAGTATATCCATACAATGGAATATTATTCAGCCTTAAAAAGGAGTGAAATGTTACAACACAGATGAACCTTGAAAACATTAGGGTAAGTGAAATAAGCCAGACACAGGACAAATATTGTATGACTCCAGTTACATGGGGAACCAGAATAGGCAAATTCATAGAGACACAAAGTAGAATAGAGGTTATCAGGAACTGAGGGGAGTGGGAAGAAGGAGATTCTATTGCTTAATGGATACAGAGTCTATGTTAGGTATGACTAAAAAGTTTTAACTGCAGTAATATACAAGGGAAGTGTCTAGTAGACTAAGAAATAAGTTCAGGTCATGTTGTGAAAGGTTTTGATGCCCTGCCAAGGAATCTAGACTTTATTCAGTAGTCAAGGGAGAGCCACTACAGGCTTCTAAACAGGCTTGTAAACATTGCAGGCCATGAAGAGATTCATGTTTGGAAAGATAAGCAGCGACAATATGGAGGTTAGCTGGTTCTCCTATTGATAATCCCGGTCAATGGGTGCCCTTACCATACCCTATATTGACACTTTTGGAAACATACAACATAGTAGTCACTTTCTCAGGCTTGGGAAAAGTTAAATTTCTACTGTTGAGCTTCCAAATGTGTCCATTTCCAGGAGAGCTATTAGTAAGCCTCAACTTAGCCAGTTGGTGGTGGCTTTTGTTCTTGTCATTGCTATTACTGATCCTAGATCTTATCTTACTGTTGCTGATAATGGAGTTTTGTTTTGCAATAGTTGCTGTAATACATAGCTGGAAAGGATGTGCGGATCCCTTTGTTGTCTTAATTAAGAAAGTGCCTCAGTAAGAGGCAAGCTCCTGTCTTTGTAGTTCAGCATCTTTGATCCCCACTTAATCTTCGCTTGGACACTTCCACACTGAATAGCTTCTGGAAACCTAGCAACCCTCTATCCCTCCAGCACCCGCTACCTTCTCTCCTTATCTACTGCAATTTAAATAATTGACTCCAGCTTTCTGGTTTTGATTTTCTGTGTCTCAGATTCTCTTACTACATCTGTTCAGTTAACAATTCATATGCTCTATTCTTAATAAATGGATGCAAATGCTTTACAAAAAAGCCACTCGTGATAACTATCTCAGGCTGTGATCTCAGAAGGCAGATGCTTCTGGTTTTTTGTTTCTGTTTTTTGTTTTTTCAACCCATGTGATTTCTGCAACCTTACTTGGTATCATTTGAGATGTAAGGGAAGAGTTTCTGCTACCATAGACACCACTTCGTGGTTCACTGTGCTTAATTCCAAACTTCACAGGAAACCTCTAAATTTCTGATCATTGGCCCATTAAAGTGTTAAAACTTGGTGTCCACAAGACCAGAAAAACTAGACTATAATGTGGTCTCAACCCTGTGTTTTGGGCCTGAGTAAGTAAACCTGATCATAGCACAGTCTCTCACCCAGGAAACAATGGTGAATAGTCAATATCACATCTCATTTGGTTCCATAGTCAAGAGTAAAATAAGAAGTCAAACAGAAAATGAACCAGGAGATGGAGCTTATAGAGTCTGGGTCCCAACCACAGGAAGTAAAGAATCTTTTAAATTCCACTTAAAATATAAAATATAAAAAAATTAGCCAGGCGTGGTGGCAGGCGCCTATAGTCCCAGCTACTCGGGAGGCTGAGGTAGGAGAATGGCGTGAACCCGGGAGGCGGAGCTTGCAGTGAGCCGAGATCACACCACTGTGCTCCAGCCTGGGCAACAGAGCGAGATTCCATCTTTTAAAAAAAAAAAAAAAAATATATATATATATATATATATATATATGTATGTATAATATAAATGTTTTATATGGAGAAACATTCAGGACAGGTTGGGTTTGTGTCTTTTTTAACAGAATGATCTGCAGGCTCTCAAAGAAAGTTCTGGAATGGCTGTTACCCTTGACTACTTCCATATTTCCCTGATTTCATCTTTTCATCTTGATTCTCTGATAGTTTTTCTTCTCATACATTCCTCTAACCCCATATATGCAAAGTCAGATCCCAAGCCTTAAATTGGGATCCCTCTTCTCTTCTTCCCTCTTAACCCAAAATCCTCCAAGATTTTTGAAGGCAGAAAGGTTGAAAATTTCAAAGCAATCTTTAGAAAAACAGAAGTTGGTTGGATACCAGTCTAAAAATTTTAATCTCATCAAACCAGATTGCCTTGTGCCATCAGAATTATAAAAAGCTACAAGAAAATTCAGTAGCTAAAAACGTTGCAGTTTAGTTAGAAGAATATTTTTAATGACTCTAGACATATTAGTCAAAAAGAAAGTAGGGGAAAAAGGCAATTTAACACCAGCTTTTCCTCACGTTCCACGGCAAAGTCAAGCTGTATATCCGAGGAGCGGCAGTATCTCCAATTAATATTAAATGAAAAACCTGTGGCAACCTAACATCGAAGTCACAAATTTAAAGCCCCAGAAAGTCACCACCGGCTGCCATCTGGTCATCAATCCTAAACAACCTCTGTTCCTCTGTAATGTGTCAGGGAATTTAAATTTTCTTATAGTAATATTTAAAATTTGAGTTAAGATTTGAGTAGGTTGTACAGAAAGACTGCTCTTTCTCCGTGCTCAATGAAAGGGAATTGTGTCTGTTTCATCTGGAGCCTGGTCTTTCTTGAAAAGGCAGGAGTGGTGAACCCTGCACGTCAGCCTAGAGTAAGAGCAAGAGGGGCTCATAGAGCATGGAGTTGGACTCCTTTATTTTACAGATGGAGAGACTGAGGTTAGGAGAGTTTAGTGACTTGTCCGAGGCCACCCTTCTAGTTTAGGGCATTTCTGAATAAGAATCCTTAACGTTCTCTTTGGTGTTGAGATGTTTTGGGGCAGGACTCTGGACTTACCTGTTCAGTTGTATGTAGTGTATTCACCGTTGTGTCACTTGATTTATCCATGCCAGAGTGGAGACTCAGCAAATGAATAAATAAATGAAAAATGGGAATGAGATCCCACCATATCTAAATACCAGATTGCCAAAAAGTGAGAGCTGAATTGCCTGAGTTTTCAAAGGTTCACTGAGAAATGGGGAAGAGCTTGGCATGGCCTTTGAGTCTAATCGTGGTGTCTCTTCTTCACACCAAATATCTAGGCAGACCCTAGGAATTTGATTACAGTGTATCTGCACACATATTATGCAAAGGAACCACTTGGTCTTTCACTGTGAAACAAACAAAATCCAGCATACCTCAGCTGATTTGTCAATATCATTTTTTATGTATTCTGGGGCCCATTCTAATGACCCAGAGAAATCTCTCACAAACAAATTGGGTTTTTATAAGATTACATTGGTGATGGGAACAGAAAAAACAGGATTTAAAAAAAAAAAAAGGCCAGGCACGGTGGCTCACGCCTGTAATCCTAGCACTTTGGGAGGCCAAGGTGGGCAGATCACGAGGTCAAGAGATCGAGACCATCCTGGCCAACATGGTGAAACCCTGTCTCTACTAAAAATACAAACATTAGCTGGGCATGGTGGCGCATGCCTGTAATCCCAGCTACTTGGGAGGCTGAGGCAGGAGAATCACTTGAACCAGGGAGTCGGAGGTTGCAGTGAGCTGAGACGGTACCACTGCACTCCACCACTGCACTCCAGCCTGGCGACAGAGCGAGACAGCAAACAAACAAAAAAAACCTTCCTGGCCTGATGCTGTGGTGCATACCTGTAACCCCAGCACTCTGGGAGGCCAAGGCAGGCGGATCACTTGAGGCCAGGAGTTCAAGACCAGCCTGGGCAACATGGCAAAACCCCATTTCTACAAAAAATACAAAAATTAGCTGGGTGTGGTGGTGGGTGCCTGTAATCCCAGCTACTTGGGAGGCTAAGGTGGGAGAATCACTTGAACCCAGGAGGCGGAGGTTGCAGTGGGCCAAGATCATACCACTGCACTCTAGCCTGGGTGACAGAGTGAGATTCTGTCTCAAAAAAACAACAAACAAACAAACAAAAAAACAAGCCCTCTCCCCTCCATCTCCCTAAAACAATAAAGAGATTTTGTTCATTGGAAGAAAACAAAACAAAACAAACACTCCTTGGCAGCCAAAGGAACTCGGAGGAACACAAAACTTTACTCGGTACAGGAAGGTAACATACCATCAGATTCTCAATTACTTAGTCAACCTTGGTTTACAACAATTGACATTAAGACAGCACTCAGAAATAACAATAACGAAAACAAACTCAAACACTTGCCACCTCCTCTTATGGAAAGACAGCAAGGGGTGGGCGGTGGGCACCAGTCAGTACCTTCCAAGGGAACATTTCCTTTACCTGGAAAAGGAATTCTAATACATGAAATTTGCTCTAAAAATTATCAGATGAGGAAAAGTAAAGCCTGCACGTGAATTTTCTCTAATGCCTACAGCCAAAAAGCAATGTCCCAGACTGGTAATATTTTTCTAAGAAATTATATTTAGCCCTTTCTCTTTCCTTTTTGACCTTCAGGAGAGGGAAAACAATTAATTTCAGAACCCACTTAATACTGGTCAGAACTTCCTCTGTTTTCAGACAGTGACAGGTACCAGGTCCTCCCTTCTGCAGACAATCTTTCCTGTCTCTCTAAATGTTTTGTAATCAGATGTGGTAGTTCCAAATTCTCTTTATTCCAAACAGAGCCAGGAAGTAATTTCTCAGGCAGTTTAACTTTGATAGCAGGTAATTTTAATCTATCGCAAACATCAGCCTGACATGGACTTGTTATCTTCATTATTTTAATTACTCTTTTGGGCCACTTTTTTCCCTCATTCCTTCCAGGAAGGAGTGAATAGAAATTGGCAGCTTTAATCTTATCATGCCATGGACCAGATTTTTTTTTTTTTTTTTTTTTTTTTTTTTGCTTACTAATGGCGTCATTTAGCCATGTATCTTAAGTAATGAAATTTGTTTGTGAAACTCTTTATCTTAATAAAAAAAGGGAAAAAGTTACCTTTTCTGATGGGAAGTCACCCACCTCTGTCACACTGCTGTCTATGCTGTTCTGAACAGCTGACAGTTTCTGTTAATTTACTTTAACTCCCCAGTTCAACTTTCCCATATGGAAAGCTGGAGTGATTTTTGAATAACAGCAAGTAATATCTGATGTGGCAGCAACTGGCAGCTCTGACATTGAGCTTGACTGTGGCCATTACCCAGGATTCCCCGCTTCTCCTTGAGAAGCAATTACAATTTCACAGGATGGAATTAAAATTCCCTGTGGTAAGCAATAGAGCAACCGACACTGTCAAAGTGATTTCAAGCTGCTAATCTCTTGCTGGAGTATGAGTGAAAATAGAGTTCCTCTTCATGGAAACCGAGGCCTGACAACTTTAAAACTCCGAATCTTTGATATATTTTAATTAGCTCCAAGGTCAGCCAGCAGTGACCCAACAAAATTTGTTATAGCACTAGATGGTGGAATATAGGGGCATTTTCACTGAAGTAGGGTTGGGAGGAGGCAGAAGAAGCATTTGGACTGAGAATGAACATAACAAAAAGCAGGCCCAGCTTTTGTATGAACCATATGAGGAGAGAAGGAAGTATACAACAACTTCTGAGATCTAATCTGGGGAAGGACACAGAGGATAAATGCCTTCGGGCCAGGTTCTCCAACTTCTTTCTGGAGATCCTCTTCTCACAGATCAGAGGGTGCAGCCCCCACTGTGCCGGGAAGAGCACCGAGGCAGTGTGCTGTATCAGAAGGCTCAGAGCTTTGGGCATGACACCTGGGTTCACACCCTTCTCCACCCACTCACTGTGTGATCTCTTACGATGAAATAGAAAGTCATCGAAACTCAGCTTCCTCATTGGTAGAATGGGCTCAAATATACCCACTTTGCAGAGTTGTGATGGATCAGGTATGAAAAGTGCTCTTCCCAGCGGCCCATACATCACAGATACTGATTAAATATTAGCTATTATTAACAAACAGAAAGGTCTTGTCTAATCATGAGGTTCCCCAAACCTCATAACTTTTGTCATAGCCAATGACCGTCGACAGAATTGTTTACTCAATGGTTTGTTTTCAACGACTCACTTTGGAAACTTTAGGAACACTTTATATCATGAATGGGAAACCTATATCTCTTGCCATACATAATTACCATTTAAAACAATGCAAAATAAGAAGAGTTAATAAACTCTACTTAGCATTGCCTGAAGAAGGCTATGGTATTCAGTTAACAAACAAACAACAAAAAAGAAGAAACAGAACTGGTAGAGAGATCGGAACCAAACTAAGCTGAGGTCTCAATCCTTATCAACCTTTACCAATCGCCCACCTGTGCCTATCTTTGGGGGCCTGGTCCATTTTTATTAGCCTACTTGTTTCATTTCCTGTAGCCTCATTTTCTTCTTACATTTGAAAATAGTGAAGGATGTATACCTAGCAGAGAAGCAAGTCAACCCCTCTGAGTTTTTCTATTACTTGACTTCCTGGATGCTGATTTGAGTTTACAAGCGTAAACACATGGGTAACACTGATTTTCTTTCTTCCTCATGAACAAAGAGGCAGCCCCTATGAATGAGTGTTGGTAGGAATCCAGCAATACCCCTCACTCATGAATTTCATGATGGTCAGGGGCACTGATGGAGCAGAGCCAGTCTCTGTCCTGCCCAGCCCCTGACCTCTTTCGTTCCTTCTGAGTGCCCAGCCCTGCGATGCAGGCGTGAGCTCAGGAGCCTCTGATTAATTTTCATGTTGTTCCATGGTGCCCTGGGTTATGTTTGCTCTGACCAGTTTTTCAGAGGAAAATTACAAAGCAGGTATTTTTTCTACAGCTACCCAACCACATTGTGTGACTTTATCCTTTTCTTTTTCAATTTAATATTTTTCTTTTGTTAAAGAGTTTTTCTAAAGTCTTCAAGCTAAGCCTGTGTCCATTCTTGGAATGACAGGTGTTTCAACTACATTTTAAAAACTGCACTCAATAGAAAGATCATCTATAGGTAAAAGTCCAGGGCCAGCCTTAGAGCTGGTACATCAATACTCCTGGAATAAATGAGTTTTTAGAAGATGAGAAATCTCCATTTCTCCTGCAGCCTTTTTTTTTGTTTGTTTGTTTTTTTTTTTTGAGACAGGGTTTCACTCTGTCGCCCAGACTGGAGTGCAATAGTGCTATCTTGGCTCACTGCAACCTCCACCTCCCAAGTTCAAGCAATTCTCCTGCCTCCGCCTCCCGAGTAGCTGGGATTACAGGTGCATGCCACCACGCCTAGCTAATTTTTGTATTTTTAGTAGAGACGGGGTTTCACCATGTTTGTCAAGCTGGTCTCGAACTCCTGACCTCATCATGATCCGCCTGCCTCGGCCTCCCAAAGTGCTGGGATTACAGGCGTGAGCCACCGCACCCGGCCCTAGTTCCAAAACTTTTTTATCACCTGAGACAGGAATTCAGTACACATTAAATAATAACTTTATTCTCCCAATCCCAGCCTCTGGTAACCCAACCTTCTGTATCTATGAATTTGCTCATGCTAGATACCCCATATAAGTGGATTCTTATAACATATGTCATTTTGTGTCTGGCTTATTTCATTTAGTGTAATGTTTTCAAGGTTCATCCATGTTGTAGCACATATCAGAACTTTATAATTTTTATGACTGAATAATAGTCTATTGTATGTACATACCACCTTTTGTTTATCCATTTACCTGCTGATGGACATTTGGGCTGTTTCTACCTTTTGGCTATTGGGAATACTGTTGATAAGAAGATGTCGGCCGGGCGCGGTGGCTCACGCCTGTAATCCCAGCACTTTGGGAAGCCGAGGCGGGCGGATCACGAGGTCAGGAGATCGAGACCATCCTGGCTAACACGGTGAAACCCTGTCTCTACTAAAAATACAAAAAATGAGCCAGGCGTAGTGGCGGGCGCCTGTAGTCCCAGCTACTCGGGAGGCTGAGGCAGGAGAATGGCGTGAACCCGGGAGGCGGAGCTTGCAGTGAGCCGAGATCGCGCCACTGCACTCCAGCCTGGGCGACAGAGCGAGACTCCGTCTCAAAAAAAAAAAAAAAAAAAAAAGAAAGATAAGAAGATGTATGTTGTCTGTGTTTGTTTGAGTAGCTGCTTTCAGTTCTTTAGGATGTATAACTAGGAGTGGAATTCCTGGGGCATGTGGCAATTTTATGTTTAACTTTCTAAGGAAACACCAAACCATGTTCCTAGAAGTTCATCTTTGATGACTCATTCTTTTGGACTATGCATCTCCATTTCCTTACATCCTTTCAAAAATTAGTTATAAAAATTTTCAAACGTTCCAAAAGTTGAGACTACCACAAGCCCCATGCACCCACCACTCATCTTCAGCAGCCATCAGATTTCTGCCATACCTGTTTCATCTATATCCCTCATCCACACGCCCCTTTTTAATTTTTGCTGAAGAATTTCAAAGCAAATACCAGATATTCTGTAATTTCTCCCCACAAAACTTAAATATACAACTAAAATGGGGAGCAGCATCTTCTTACATAATCACCTTAATAAAATTAAAACTAATTAACTCTTTTTTTCTTTTTGAGATGGAGTCTTGCTCTTGTTGCCCAGGCTGGAGTGCAGTGGTGCAACCTTGGCTCACCACAACCTCTGTCTCCTAGGTTCAAGTGATTCTCCTGCCTTGGCCTCCCGAGTAGCTGGGATTACAGGCACCCACCATCATGCCCAGCTAATTTTTTGTATTTTTAGTAGAGATGGGGTTTCACCATGTTGGCCAGAATGGTCTCGAACTCCTGACCTCAGGTGATCCACCCACCTCGGCCTCCCAAAGTGCTAAGATTACAGGCATGAGAGTCCCTGGCCCTAATTAACTTCTTAATATTAGTCAATGCATACTCTATATTTACATTTCCCTACTAGTCTTAAAATAAAAATACTGTCTTGCCTTTGATTTGTTTGAATCAGGATCCAAACCAGGTCCATTGTATTTGATTAATTTATCTCTGGAGTGTCCTTTAAGTTGGTTTTAATCTCTTTCTTCTTTATCTATGCTACGGGCTTATGAAAGAAACCAGGTCAGGGGTCTTACAGAAAGTCTCCCGTTCTGTAACTGGCTAATGTCTTTCTTGTGGTGTTGTTTATACACTCTCTTAAAGTAAACATTTTGTTTCTGCAATAGTAATATAGTCAGTTCCTGTGGCTGCCACTCTCAAGCTTTAATCCCAACCATAATTATCACCACAGATACTTTTTTAAAAATTCAGATTCCTGGCCCTTGTGCCCCTCACTCTCCAGGCTCCCCTCCCCACCCTAGAGGGTTTGATTGGGAAGTTCTACATTGCAGCCCAGACATCTGCATCTTTAGCACACTTTTCAGGCAATTTGAATGCAGGTGGTCCCTAATTACAAGGTAGAAGGACCAAATCTTCTAGCGATGGAGTTTTATCGATCACCTTTGCTTTTTATGACTAAAAAAACAGCTCCGTTCTGCTGATGGAATCCCAAAGGTGTCCCAGGGGCCTAGCAGAGAAGACAAAAACAGGTTTTACCCTCTTCACAATTTGGCCAACTTTGGCCACCTCAGCCAGGGACCATCCTTATGACAGGTTAAGCAATCAGGGGCCCACCAACTCTGGGATGAAGACCCCCTTTGGGAGGAAGTCACTATGTGCAGCCCACTCTTAAGAAGTAAGCAGTCTTGTTCCACCTGCCTGAGAGTGGATATACAAGCGGACTTCAAAAAGTTCATGGAAAAATTGAATTAAGATACAAATTAAAAATATACACTTGATATAACCTCCATCAGGTTCAACACACTTTTGTAAGCAGCAATACCAGCCATTTAGTTCACTTACTCAATGCAGTCATTTTTACATGATTAACTGAAGAGAAATGGGTGCCCTTTAAAGATGTTTTAAAGATTAGGAAACAAAAAGAAGTCAGAAGGAGCCACATCAGGACTATAAAGTGACTAATGATTTCCTAATGATTTTCCATAGAAACTCTCGCAGAATTGCCTTTGTTAATGAGAGGCACGAGCAGGAGCATTGTCAAGGTGAGGAAGGGCTCTCCGGTGAAGCTTTCCTGGGCGTCTTTCTGCTGAAGCTTTGGCTAACTTTCTCAAAATACCCTCATAATAAGCGATATTATCTTTCGTTGGCCCTCCAGAAATTTAACAAGCAAAATGCCTTGAACATCCAAAACACTGTTGCCATGACCTTTGCTCTTCAGTGGTCTGGCTTTGCTGTGACTGGACCACTTCCACCTCTTGGTAGCCATTGCTTTGATTGTGCTTTGTCTTCAGGATCATACTGGGAAAGCCATGTTTCATCTCTTGTCAGAATTCTATAAAGGAATGCTTCAGGATCTTGACCCTACCCATTTAAAATTTCCATTGAAAGCTCTGCTGTTGCCTGAAACTGATCTGGGTGCAACAGTTTTGGCACCAATCAAGTGGCAAGTTTGCTCAGCTTTAATTTTGCAGTCAGAGTTGTGTAAGCTGTACCAGTTGAGATTATTTATGGTGTTGGCTATTGTTTGTGCTGTTAATTGTCAGTCCTCTTCAATTAGGGTATGAACAAGGTGAACTTTTTCTTCACAAATTGATATGGATGGTCTTCTGCTGTTGGCATCATCTTCAACATAGTCTCATTCCTTCTTAAAATGAGTTATTCATTTGTCAAATGCTAATTTTGGGGATGCATTGTCCCCATAAACTCTTCATAAAACATCAGTAATTTCACCATTCTGCCACCCAAGCTTCACTATAAATCTGATGTTTGTTCTTGTTTAAATTTTAGCAGAATTTATGCTCTGATCAGGGCTCTTTTCAAACTAATATCTTATCCTTAGTGCCTCAAAGTAGATTCTGTTCGGACATGTTATAACAAATTATATGAGTTTATTTTGGTGCAAAAAACTTTTGAAATCCATGCATAGTTTTTTCATAATATTCATTTTCCATGGATTTTTGAAACCCCTTGTATATATGAATTATTTGAAATTCTTTGGCATAGGAAATTAGTCTTTTCTCCCTATGTCATTTATTTATTTAATCATTTATTTATATCTGTATGGACTTATGGATACTTATTTTATACTTTGGGTTATAATCTAATACTACTTCATTTTGCTGCTCAAATTATTCCAGCTTTGGCCATTGGGAGATCTTTCAGGTGATTGTGTTTCTTTAATATATACCATCAGTGTGGTAATGTTTTGGTTTTGATCCCTTTACTTTCTGGCACAAGATACTCCAGTCACATCCTGTATATTTCCTGCCCCCATCCTAGGATCAGCCATTTCTCCAGGGAACCCTGGTTATTTTTATTAGACAATGCTATTAGAAACCAAGATCTGGGTGCCAAGTATGCTTGTTGCTGTTAAGGTGTCATTGTTTTTAGACCCTCTCAGCTGACAGAGCAAGGAAATGTATGTGTGTATACTAAATTGTATATATACACATTTCTATAAACATTTCTATATGTAATCATCTGTATCTGTATTAAGCTAAACATGAGTTTATATTCATGTCTCCAACTCTAAGCTATTACCACGTGTATCCTTCTAGCTGCGTTCTCTGCAAATCCCCACTCTAACACTGGGAAACCTGACTCCCACCATCTGCTAGCCATGTACTTAACTGTTCAGTTCCATATGTATGTAGAGTAGTATCAGAATTGTTAACCTGTAACCCTGTGGAAAGCAACTTTATTGATTAGAGTACAGTTCTTTTGTACAGTTCCTTTTGCCTTTAGTCTTACAGACTCTGCTCATTTCCAAAGTTAGGTTAGTACCTTATTCTGCCATGCCCTTCAGTGAAGTTGTTTTATACATTTGGATTCTTTTGCCACATTTTGCATTCCATCATAACTTCCAAAATGATTTTTAAACTTTGCATACATTAAGGTTTATTCTTTGTGTTGTATGATTTTATGGGTTTTAACAGATGTTCAATGTCTTATAGTCACCATTACAGTATCATACAGAATAGTTTCACTGCCCTAAAAAACAACAACAAAAACAAAACAAAACAAAACTATTCTTCATCTATTCAGCTCTCTTGCCCATTTCCTGGATCCTGGATTCCTGGGATCCATGGATCTATTTCTCATCTCTCCAGTTTTGTCTTTTCTAGAATGTCATGTAGTTGGAATCATGTAATCTGCAGCCTTTTAGGCCTGGCTGCTTGCACTTAGGAATGTGCATTTAAGATTCATCCACATCTTGTGGTAGCTTGATAGCTCATTTTTTTATCATTGAATAATATTCCATTGTATGGATGTACCACAGTTTGTTCACTCAGTTGGCTATTACAGGACATTTTAGTTGCTTCTAGATTTTGGTATATATGTATAATACTGCTATAAACATTTGTGTACAGATTTTGCATGAATTTAAATTTCCAACTCATTTGGGTAAGTACCAAGTAACAGTAAGTGTGACTGCGGGATCATACAGTAAGAGTCTGTTTAATTCTGTAAGAAACTGCCAACTGTCTTCTAAAGGGGCTGTGCCATTTTGTATTCCCACAAACAGTGAAAGAGTTACTATTTTACAGCCTCCCCAGCAGTTGGTATTATTAGTTTTTTGGATCTTATCCCTTCTTATAGTTGTACATTGGTATCTCATTATTGTTTTAATACATTCTCTTTTAAAGGGAAACAACACAGAATGGTCTTCTATTTCACAGAGCACACAATAGTGTATGAGCTCTGGAAACTGAATCAATATGAATGAGACTGGCCGGGCATGGTGACTCACACCTGTAACCTCAGCACTTTGGGAGGTTGAGGCAGGTGGATCACCTGAGATCAGGAGTTCAAGACCAGCCTGGCCACCATAGTGACACCTCGTCTCTACTAAAAATACAAAAATTAGCCAGGTGTGGTGGTGCACACCTGTAATCCCAGCTACTCAGGAGGCTGAGGCAGGAGAATCACTTGAACCTGGGAGGCGAAGTTTGCATTAAGCCAGGGTTGCACCACTGCACTCCAGCCTGGGGGACAGAGAGAAACTCTGTCTCACAAAACAAACAAACAAAAAAATATGAATGTGACCCTCCCACCACCACCACATGGTCCTACCTTCCTCACATCTCACACCCTCAAGTGGCACAAAGAGAAGGGGGCTTTTATTGCTAAGGAAAACTTACTGAAATGGTCTGGGATGTGGCACACATTTAATATAAAAATGTCTGAAGACGTTTTATTCACAATAATCAGAGTAAACAATGGTAGAAAACAGTCATATCTCACAGTTCACACCAGACTCACAAAAGCCCCCCAGTGGCTCCTTCAGCCTGTCTAGACAGCAGTTTCCATTACAAGTGTCTTATGCTGTGACAAACTATCACAATCATGAGGATAGCTATTGGAAAACACTGAACCACTCTACAGACAGCCGGTGTTCCCTCAGCCCTATACAGTTTTCTCCAGAGTGTGCACACTTTGAGAAAGTAAAGTACAAATCGTTCTATCACTTGCACACTAAGTGAAAAATGCAAAAATCAAAAAAGAAGGAAACAGGACACAAAATCTAAAAGCAATAAACACTATCTATCCAAATCCACATATTCAAACAAAGAAGTTTGTAGAAGTTCCTTTAGCAAGCCACCAGTTACTTAGCTAACAACACTGACTCACTCTCCTTCCCTTTAAGTCATGTACCAACCGAGGACCCGAAAATAACTCTGGAAACTTCTATACAATGCCTGCACTTCTGCTCCCAACTGATGGGTCAGTTGTTTGTCCCCCTAATGATATTTTACTTACAACTATGCAATTTATTTAAATAATATTACGGAAGTGAAATGTGAGTTTAGAAAGAAATAGACTTGTGGTCATGGTTTCAATGAAAACCAAATAGAATTCTTTGTAGACACATGATAAAGGTGAGTTGCTAACAAAAATGGTAAGATAACTACCAAAGAGGAAAATGCTGTGCAAGTGTAGAATAATCTTGCACCCAGATTTCTTCACAAGTGACCAAATTCTCATTCCTCCTTAGAGAAACAGAAACTGGGAAGTTGTATTAGTCCATTCTCACACTGCTGATAAAGACATACCCAAGACTGGGTAATTTATAAAGGAAAAGAGGTTTAATGAACTCACATGGCTGAGGAAGCCTCACAATCATGGTTGAAGGTGAAGGAGGAGCAAAGGTACATCTTACATGGCAGCAGCAAGAGAGTGTGTGCAGGGGAACTGCCCTTTATAAAACCATCAGATCTCATGAGACTTATTTGCTATCATGAGAATAGCAGGGAAAAACTGACCCCCATGATTCAATTACCTCCCACCAGTACCTCCCACAATACATGAGGATTATGGGAGCTACAATTCAAGATGAGATTTGGGTGGGAACACAGCCAAACCATATCAAAAGTGAAGATGTTGTTTATGGATATGCTTGATACAAAAAATATAACCTGGCCAATTCCAGTCAGTACACCCATACTCAAAGAAAATTCTCGAGTGTGAAAGGAAAAGATTGCCAAATGAATAGACATTTACATGTTTTAAAGTCATTTTTTCTTTCTCAACTTTAACCATAGTATTATTTCAGTTATCCAACCAACTTGACCAAGTATTAGAAAGATATTGCTAATGTAATGCTACCTTAGATAAACCAAAAAATAAACACCCACCATCCCCTGCTCTGATTTAACCATACTTTAAGTTGCCCACAATTTCATTGTCCAATAAAATGACTAAACTCCGGCTCCCACCTGGGCCTACCAAAATATTGACTTCCTCAGCCATGGGAAGTGCAGGGAAGTCCTGGGGTAGCTGACCTGGCTTCTCAGTGTACCCCAGTATGCTGTACTGATATTGCCATTTTGTCTGTTTTTGTCATTTTTGCATATGTTGATGTGAAATATGTCAGAAAGCACTGGAAAGGGTGCTAAGTCAATATCTGACAGATGAAGCTAGCTAACTAATTTTCACTCTCATTCCATATTAAAACAAAAACAAGGCAATAAATAGGTTATGTCAATCAATGAGGACATCAAATGTCTTATTTTGGACACTGATACATTGTCAGCTTCTTTTCTAAGTATTTGGAACTAGCAACTGTAAATATTCAGTGGTTTTCAGGTATTGTACATTTTTATCTGTATGTCCTAATCATGGAAATTGGCATTGTATAGTTGTGTAACAGATTATTTGGAGTACCTTAACTAAACTACACTTATTATAAAATGATAGCGTTTATTGTCTAGCCACTATTGTTCCTTTGTTAATTTGTTAAATCATTGCCCCATTCAAAATTGCTCAAATACTTTTACTAAAAAATACGAATCTTATCATTCATTTTCTGTGAATGAATGCAATATGTGAGTTTTAAAACAGCTTTGGGGATACATTTCAAATTACTAATGGAGATTTGCTTTGAATTGCCTGATTCAGTTTTCTGGGTGACCATTTATTTTGATAAATTCTTAAAATTAATGATACTCTTTAAAATAAGTTTTCTTAAACATCAGTATTTAAATTTTATAGTTATCAAAGAACAATCCCTATGTGGACATTTGCCATTACTGTGCAACTATGGACTTTTGAAAAGAGAATGATCTATGAGTTCATGATATTCATTTAACATTAATTCTCCTACCTGCTTCTAAAAGGATCTGAGTTTCTTGAGTCATTGTGTCTTCCCATAATTACCATCTCTAGCATTTACGAAATAATGAGTTTACTTTATCTATTCATCATTAGCTTTTTCCTAAGAAGTTTCAGTGTTTCTCTAGAGCAAATTACTTATGTCATAAGCCACAGAAATTTAAGAAAAAAAGAGGCCATAAGTTTACTTCCCATTCACATGAGGAAAGCACGTCCCAGGCTTTCCTGGAGACCAAGGCTCACTATCCTTCATGAAGACGTACTGGAGCTGTTGTACTCCCAGCTGTCAGCCACTTCCTAGCTCCCTGTGCTATGATTTACTATCATCAGTCATCCTATTGTCAGAAAGGATTCAAGAAAAAGAAAGAACTAATGTGGTCAGGCATGGTGGCTGATGCCTGTAATACCAGCATTTTTGGAGGCTGAGGTGGGCTGATCAGAAGTTCGAGACCAGCCTGGCCAACATGGTGAAACCCTGTCTCTACTAAAAATACAAAAATCAGCTGGGCGTGGTAGCAGTTGCCTGTAGTCCCAGCTACTCAGGAGGCTGAGGTAGGAGAATCGCTTGAACCTGGGAGGCGGCTCCAGCCTGGTGACAGAGTGAAACTCCATCTTAAAAACAACAACAACTAATGAAAAAGAGGAGAAAAAGGGAACTATCATAAAACTGGAAAGTTTTCCAATTTGCTGTTTAATTTCAACAATTGTTCTTGAGAATTTTTCAAAGAATTCAGAATATCACATGGTAGAACTAGAAGAATCATATCTCAATAAGACTAAGTCCTTGCCACTAACTAGAACCAATGCACAACCACTTCTAGAAGACATGTATTAATACAAATACATAGAAAGAAAACCACATGTGCTTTTTCATTTTGCCAGGCACAATAGTAGGTACTTTATAGGAGAAATCTTACTGAACACAATCAATAGTCTTTAGAGTTATCAAAATTTTGAAATAGTTCATTAATCCACATAGTATTGAGACCAGACCTGTTAATAATTAGACAAAGATAAAATTAAAGATGGCTGTATTTTCTTTAAGAAAATCCCTAGGTATGGCTGTCAAAACTCAGAGAAGAAGCCTAGCAGCAGAGAGAAACTGAACTGCATAATGAAACAACACTATTTACAAAGACTCAACTTTTAAAACGTGCCATACATGATCATTTCACATCCTTTCTGAACACAGCTGCCTTAAACCAACTCTACCACCCATTGGCCAGCACAGAAAGTTGTTTAAAAACTGTTTCCTGGCCAGCTGCAGTGGTTGACGCCTATAATCTCAGCACTTTGGGAGGCTGAGGTGGAAGGTTTGCTTGAGCCCAGGAGTTTGAAACTAGCCTGAGCAACAGAATGAGACTCTGTATCTAGTAAAATATATATATATATATAATATATGTGTATATATATATAGCATATATATTATATATGTATATATATAGCATATATATTATATATGTTATATATATATAGCATATATATACATATATAGTATATATACATATAAATATTAAAAAGAAAGTTCCCCATTAAAATTTTCCTCCCTCTAAGGAAAGGTTCCTGCCCAACTCCTGACATATTCATCCTTCTGTCTTCTTTTCTTCCAAGCATTTAAGGATATCTATTATGTGCTAAGATCTCTTAAGTAGTGGGGATATGGAAGTGAAAGATACAGACACATCCACAAGAAGCTAACAGTGTTTAATAGGAAAGAAAGCCATGTGAACAATATCATTTTTGGGGTTAAAGAATATGTTCTGTGCTGCAAAATGCTAGAAAAACAATGATTTCATCTGATTTGCATGATTATCATTTGTATATGTATGTTTGAAATAAATGGCACAGCCCATAAGTCTAGAGTCATGAAGTAGCTAGACTCAAGAAAACTTCAAAAGGAGTCATGAAACTAATACATGACAAACTAAGAGAGGAAAAAAAAAGAAAAGAAATACTAACATTATCAAAGTAGGTTATCCTTAAAATATAAACATCCTCTGCCACAATATTTCTTTCCCTTCCCACATTGTTTTTGTTTTGTTTGAGACAGAGTCTCCCTCTGTCACCGAGGCTGGAGTGCAGTGGCACAATCTCAGCTCACTGCAACCTCCGCCTCCTGGGTTCAAGTGATACTTGTGCCTCAGCCTCCTGAGTAGCTGGGATTACAGGCATGCACCACTACACCTGGCTAAGTTTTGTATTTTTTATAGAGACAGGGTTTCGCCACATTGGCCAGGCTGGTCTCAATCTCCTGGCCTTAAGTGATCCTCCAGCCTTGGCCTCCCAAAATGTTGGGATTACAGGCGTGAGCTACAGTGCCTAGCTCCACTCTGTTTTAAATTCACACGTTCTGTCTTGACTTCCTTGTTACTTATTCTGTGGATAGTTTCTTTCTCTCATTAGCTTTATCTTCTCCCTTTCTTCTTTGGATGGTATAGCTTCCAATATAAAAATAAATGTATTTTTAAAAGCTTAAACAAATTATGGAGAAAATTACTCACATACAGCCTGCAGATAGGCAGGTATGGGGGCTCCGTGATGACTTCGGGATCTCAAATTCTTCCTAGCTTTCTGCACCAACATTCTCAGAGTGTGATGGTTGCGTCCTCTTGGTATACGAGGGCTGTCTTATCCTCAGCCTCACATTTGTTTTCAGGCAGGAATAAAGACAAAGGCCAAAAGCACTTCTAGCTGAGTTGGCTTTTTTTTTTTTTTTAAATAAAGGTCTTCCGAGAATTTCCGCCCTAAGATTTTCACTGGCCAGAGAGATATCACATGTGCATCCACTGTTGCAAGGCAGGCTGGGAAATGTAGTGGTTTGGAGGCAGGTGCTTTACCACCAGAACAAAATTGGCGTCTGTCAGTGAAGGATAAAGGGGAACATGGAGGGGACTAGCAGTGAATGCCAAGACTGTGTGCATCTCACTCAGGCCATCCAGACAGTTCTCTCCTTTCTACAGTGTTCCTTCACGTGAGTATGTCCTTGTTGATCTTCACTAGCTCCTTGTTTTATCCCGTGGCTCAAAGCTCTGCCTAGGAGACTGTCTTAGGAAGCTTTAAAAATCCCACTGCCAGATCACACCCCAGACCATTCCTATCAGACTCTCTCACACACCGGTTCTCAAATTTGGCTGCACGTTGGAGCCACCTGAGAAGTTTTAAGAACGACTGATACCTGGGTGCCACAGAAAACAATGTGATTGGTCTGGGGTACAGCCTGGGAATTGGGAGTTTTAAAACCTCCACAGTGGCCTGGCGCGGTGGCTCACGCCTGTAATCCCAGCACTTTGGGGGCCGAGGCAGGCGGATCACGAGGTCAGGAGATCGAGACCATCCTGGCCAACATGGGAAACCCCGTCTCTACTAAAAATACAAAAAATTACCCGTGGTGGTGGGTGCCTATAGTCCCAACTACTCGGGAGGCTGAGGCAGGAGAATGGCGTGAACCTGGGAGGCGAAGCTTGCAGTGAGCCGAGATCATGCCACTGCACTCCAGCCTGGGCAAAAGTGGAAGACTCTGCCTCAAATAAAAAAAACAAAAAACAAAAAACCTCCGGAGTGATTCCACTATGTAGCAAAGTTTGAAAACCATTGTGCTAGGTTCCAGCCACAACGTTGTTAATGCTCCCCAGGTGATTCCAATACTCATCCAAGACTGGGAACCGCTGCATTAAGGCATCTTCCTCCTTAGCAGAAAGCTCATTGGTGTGAGTTGGGAGCAGATGGGGGCACCCTGCCTGTTTTTAACAGCTGGGATTAGAGTCCACACCACTTGCACCTGTAGACACACCACAGAGAGGAAGCTATTCAAAGACAGAGATTAAGAAAAGGGAGTAACTTAATCTCTACAGGCTTGTAAGACACTAGCAATCAGCATTTAGATTTGTGAAGATCTTTGTAGAGGATTTCTCATCCTTCCACATTTTTACATCTGTCATCTCTTCCCTGTGTGTGGGCCTTCTCAACAGCTGGGTCAGATTTTCACCTTTTAACTGTGGGGAGTGGAGGGTGAGAGTGCTGTGGGCAGGGTGAGAGGGGCATCTTCCCCGTTTAAGGCTTTTTTGGGTATGACCTGTGAATTCTTCACTCTTACTGAGAATTTCATTTTCCATGAATTCTTTTCTGTGGTCATACTACTCTGTTAATTCTGGATGGGTGAGACAAAGTGTTGTGTTCACAATCTGCCTGTTTTGAGTTGAAAAAGAGGTCAGAACAAATATGAGATTATTTTTTCCACTCATTTATAATTAATAGCAATTAATTCAATGTTATTGCCTAATCACTTATGTTTGAGCTGGATGATTTCACCTACAGCAGAATATATCATTTCAGAGGACTTAGTGATTAAACGAATGCTTTTAAAGCATTTCCAGAGCTTGACCATTTGGCCCAAACAAAACAAAAAAAGCTTGCTGTAGGGATAGGCTAAGCTAAGACCACTTTGCAGAAACAGTCTAGTGAAAAGAGATAAGACTGCAGACTCACTAAGAATTAGGATAAAAGAAAGATTATGTTTGTTTGGGGTTTTTTTGGATGGGGTCTTACTCTGTCACCCAGGCTGGAGTGCAGTGGCATGATCTCGGCTCAATGCCACCTCAACCTCCCAGGCTCAAGCGGTCCTCCTACCTCAGCCTCTCGAGTAGCTGGGACTACAGGCATGCACCACCACGCCTGGCTAATTTAAAAAAAAAATTTTATAGAGACAGGATTTTGCCATGTTGCCCAGGCTGGTCTCAAATTCCTGGGCTCAAGCAATCTACCCACCTTGGCCTCCCAAAGTGCTAGGATTACAGGTGTGAGCCACCACACCTGGCCAAAAGAAGATTTTGAAATTGGGAACATAGATTTGGCTGTCAGAATCCAAGTGACACCAAATATAAGGTGGGAGTTTCCTAGACAATTCTCCAAAATGTCACCCTAATACACTTTACATGTAGGTTGGTCCTTCTTGAAATTCATCCAATGGTATCAAAAAGAGTTTGTTATAATAATAGGCACCATGTATTAAGGATTGACTTTGCACCAGGTGCTATTCTAGGCCCTTTCTGCACATTATTTAATCCTTACAAGTCTATTTTACAGAAAAGCAATTGAGACTAAGAGGAGGAAAAATGACTCGACTGAGGTCCCACAGCTAGTAAGTGACAGAGCTGGAATCTGAAACCAAGTCTCACCTTAAGTGTTTCCTTTAATTACATTAGCTAAAGAAGAAGGAGGAGGAGGAAGGAGAAGTAGGAGGAAGATGAAAGAAGTTTGAGAAAGTGTTACAGAAATGCTCAACCATCTGTACCTATTTTCTCAAAATATTTTAATCTGATGACTTCACCTCCACATTTATTTCTGGACACAGGATAATCATTTCATCAGGTAAGATGGGGTAGTGATGACAGGCCCTCACTAAGTATGAAGTGAATGAACGAATGTGGTTTATGCCCCATTTCCTCAGCTATAAGGTGAAAGCAAGTTGTGTCACAGTTGATATGGTTTGGATTTGTGTCCCTGCCCAAATCTCATGTCAAATTTTAATCTCTAGTGTTGAAGGAGGGGTCTGGTGGGAGGTGACTGAATCATGGGGGTGGATTTCCCCCTTGCTGTTCTTGTGATAGTGAGTGAGTTCTCATGCGATCTGGTTATTTAAAAGCATGTTGCGCCTCCCCCTTCTCTCTCTTCTTCCTTCACCAGCCATGTAAGATGTGCCTGCTTCCCCTTCTGCCATGATGGTAAGCTTCCTGAGGCCTCCCCAGCCATGCTTACTGTGGAGCTATAAGTCAATTAAACCTCTTTTCTTTATAAATTACCCAGTCTCAGGTAGTTCTTTTTAGCAATGTGAGAATGGACTAATACAATGGTCAAGCCTGCAGAGCAGTAGGGACACACAGTGCCAAATAATATATGCACAATTTTCACAGCAACAGCTAAGGTAGTGACAGCACCTGTAAGCACAGAGTTGTTCTTTTTGAGAAAATTAACTTCTGCTTGTATCATTGCAGAGCCTCTAGTCTTTAATAGAATGAGCAATGGCAGCTAAAATTTGGAAAAGTGATAAGTGTGGCCTCATCATCTCTTTCCATGATTCCTCTTTTCTGACTTTCCTTGAACTCCTATTCAGTAGGATCTTGTTTATTGTCTTCTGTGTGTCCCGCATTATCCTGGGCATTGTACACAATCTAAACACAATTTCCAAGCCAGAAATGTATTCCAAGTTTATTTCTATTTTTAAAAATCTTCTATGATCATGCCACTGCACTCCAGCCTGGGTCACAAAGTCCCGTCTCAAAAAAACAAAAACAAAAACAAACCCTGAAAGCTAAAGGTGATTTTATAAACTTCTGTTGGGTACTGGTTGCTGACCATATAACATCTAAACTCCTGAGCATATAAGCATAGTGTAAAAAGTTGTCCCTCTGTGCTGATAACCTGCCCTGCCAAACTAATGCTTGCTAGTCATCTCCATTGCAACTCATTCCAGCTCTTCTGAGATTTCCATTATTTTCTGGGGCTTGCTTGGTCAACTGATGACTCTATGCCTTTGCACGAACAATGGGTTCTGCTTGGAATACCTTTCCCTCTTATCTGTGTAGTGTACTCATATTCATCCTTCAAAACCCTGCTCACACATCCCCTGAAATGCCTTACCGACTCTTGGGTAAAGTTGCTCTTCTGTTTTCACAGCTCTGTTCACACCTCTATGACAATATTTCCCGTTGGAACTTTTCCCATAATAGAATTTGAAATCCTCAAGGGCTTGGATGTGTTATCTTTGTCTTTCTCACACCTGCCCGTTGTAGGTGTTTAACGGAGGTTTTGCTGAGTAAATTAATAAAATTACACAAAACGGAAACTGTCAGCTAACCCAGCGTAGGAGGGTACTAGATGTAAGGAGTATTTTTGTAAGGGGAAGGAAAGGTGTTGGAAAATATCTCATTCGTAACTATTTACATTTTAACATATTTAGAGATGGTGAACAGGAAGAAATAACTAGGGGATTTAAATGTGTTTAAAATTAATACATCACATAGCGCTTATAAGTATAATGAAATTCGAGGCGTGGTATCTCTTGACTTGAAACCATTTCTGGAGGCCTCATGAAAGAGGTAAGTTTGCAACCTGAGCTTGAGAGATGAGAAGCAAGGATCTCTTTCGTTCACGGAAAAACGGGCCTAGAGAGCCACTTCCAATGAGGAAAAAGAACATGAATCTGAAAGTCTAGATAAGCTGAGCGCTTGGTACCTGGCAGGTCCTCAAGAGTGTCTGGGGTATCCACCTCGCACCCCTCAACTACTCCAATGTTTAGGTGAAACAAACACAAGATGCCAAACAAGGCACAGCCTCATTACCCAAAGCACACCTTTTCTGAGAAACTGTGGAGGATGTGGCTTCCACATCCCAAACGCAAACCTAAAACCTAAGTTTCAATGGACTTGCTCCTCCCTAAGTCTCAAAGATGGAGGCTGGTTCTCGCCTCCTGGAGAGCTGGGGCTGCTGCAAAGGTTCTGAGCCATCTCAGAGTCTCAGTCGCCCCCGCCTGTGGAAGTGACAACTTGGGGGTCCTAAGGCTGCTTCTAAAAGACAGACCCTGCGCCCTGCACCAAGGGAGAAGTATGGGGTGTGGAAGGAGAAGCATGCGCACTGCCGTCCTCGCCAGACTGTGGGGAGGCCTTGGGAGCCAGCTTCCGGGCCAGGCCGGAACCAAAATGGCCCCACCCACTAGTGCCATGGTCTCCTGCGGCCAGAAAAATGGCTGCTCTTGTGTTCTGGAGGGGTGAGTAGGGGGTCCAAAGAGGGGCCACCAGTGTTTACTCCACACTGCTGCCTCCTTGGCAACGGGGGTAATTCCTTTTTTGCTCCAGAAACATGGGCAGATGTGGTTCGCAAGGTGTGCTTGGAGGCGTGACAAAGGCTGCTCCAGGAAGATGAAGAGGTGGGAGGTGTGCATGGATCGTGGTAGCTGAAGGTGTTGTGGGCAGAAAAGTCCTCAGAGGAGGCAGGGCCTGTCTGGGGTTGGAATGAGTCAGCGTCATCCGTAAAGGCCAGTTGCATCATGTCTAAAAGTAGCCCGCAAGTGTTGGGGCCAGCTCCCCACTTTGAATTTGTGAAAGACTTTGTAATCCCACGTCACCTAGCCACAGGCACTCCAGTATTAGAATCACAATATGTGAGAGCCAAAAGAGACATGAAAATCAACTGTTCAACCCTCTTATTTTACAGACGAGAAAAAAGAGACCAAGAGGGATTTGATGTCAGGCTTACAGTTTGATTACACCCTCCGAAAACATCATAAATTTCTGCTGTTGTTCTGTGGTGACACTCAAAAGACTATCCTTGTCATTTTCAAAAGGTGTCAGGTTTCCTACGTGGGACAAACCTCTAATTTACAAGCTAGCCTCTTCACGATGCAGCCTCTTTCGGTTCATTTTCAGTTCATCGTTGGCCACTGAAAATTTAAGATCCCTGCGGTGTGAAGGAAGTGTTAAACTATACTGTTAGTGGAAGTAGGTTGTGCTAAATTGGATATCTGCAAGCAGCTTTATGAGCCATAAAAGTCAACATCTTTCTTTCATTACCTTTAAAGGCTGTTTACAGAAAAGATAAGGCAGGCCCAGCTCAGGGTACCCATTGAGAATTAGTGGGAGGATCTGGTAGGAAGGGATAACAGGAAAGGATTCAGAATCGATGACCAGGCAGTGGAGACAGTGGCCTATGGACACAGGGACTAGCATGTCATTTATTTCTTCAGGAGCCTGCTTGTCACACTGATGTGGGACCAGGCTCCAGATGAAGGACCCAGTCAGAAAGGCTGTCATAGCTGGCTTCATTCTTCCTAACCCATAGCTGGTTTCACGAGCAGCCTTCCCACCTCGGGGTGGCATTCATTTCATAGATCTTGTCAACACTTGGTAAAAACTTAAAAAACCAGCCTATCTTATGCAGTACATTCTTTCGGGTTCTTCATAAGTCCTCAGTGTTTTCAGTCTGTTTCCTACCTCTCTTAACCAAAGCTGGTATGGTGCGGGTTGCACATTCACTTACAAGGAAAATACACATCCTCCTTTCATTTTCCTGTTCAATGATTTGCATTTCTCTAGAAGACTCCCACCTCATTGGGTTACTGGGGGGAAGGAGAGTGAGTGAGAGAGGAAGGAATACAAAAATGGCTCTAATCCATTCCAAACTAGTGATCTGTTCATAATGATATAAGAGCTAAAAGAGAGCTAAGTATGTGTAAGGTACTCTTAGGCATTTAAAAATGTCAGTTCATTGAACAATCATAACACAATTTTATGGGTACAACGATGAACCTCTTAGGACAGATCAGGAAGCTGAGGCACAGCAAGGTTTTATGACAAGCCACACAGTGAGTAATTGGTGGAGTGGGAGCCTCTTTGATGACACATAAGTGATCAGCCTTTGAGAGTTCCCCTCAACCCCCTTGCTCTTTTTGAATGTGACATCTAGGAAGACCCAGGGTAGGGCTGTAGTGAAAGAGAAGAGGACTGGTCCTTAGATTCACATGGTGGCCTCTGCGTCCTCCCTGGTCTCTGTAGTAGAGTGGTTGACCTCAAGGGCTACCTGGCCTGGGACCACCTGCCTGGCATTAAAAATGGGCATTAGCCCTTCAACAGAAATGGGCCATCTTTACAAATCAACACAACGTGTAAGCACTGAGCTTATGCTCATGAGACTAGCAGAACGTGTTTGGAGACATGAACAGACACTTCTTACAAGACATACAAGTGGCCAAGAAACATATGAAAAATTGCTCATCATTAATCATCAGGGAAATGCAAATCAAAACCACAATGAGATACCATCTCATACAAGTCAGAATGGCTATTATTAAAAAGTAAACAAATAAGAGATGTTGGTGAGGCTACAGAGAAAAGGGAACACTTACATACTGTTGGTGGAAATCTAAATGAGTTCAGCCACTGTGGGAAACAATTTGGAGATATCTCAAAGAACTTAAAACACTACCATTTGACCCAGCAATCCCATTACCTGGTATACACCCAAAGGAAATTAATGGTTCCACCAAAAAGACACATGCACTTGTATGTTCATCACAGCACTATTCACAAAGTGCAAAGATATGGAATCAACCTAGGTGCCCATCAACAGTGAATTACATAAAGAAAATGTGGTACATATACACCACAGAATACTATGCAGCCATAAAAGAGAATGAAATCATGTCCTTGGCAGCAACAGGGATGCAGCTGGAGGCCATTATCTTAAGTGAATTAACACAGGAACAGAAAACCAAATACTACATGTTCTCACTTATAAGTGGGAGCTAAACATTGGGTACACATGGACATAAAGATGAGAACGGTAGACACTGGGGACTACTAGAGAGGGGTGAGAAGAAGAGGGGCAAGGGTTGAAAAACTAACCGTTGGGATACTATGCTTGCTATGCGGGTGAAGGGATCATTCATACCCCAAACCTCAGCATCATGAAATAAACCCAGGTAACAAACCTGTACATGTACCTGCTGAATCTTAGTAAAAGTTGAAAAAGTAAAGAAATAAGTTATTTTTTAAAAGAACATGTTTTGGGGAAATGTGGGCCCTCAAATCTCTATTTCAGGCGAGGTTGAGGTAGTAGAGGAACCCATGGGAATTCTTTGTTTTTGTTTTTGTTTTGTTTTTTGTTTTTTGGTGTTTTTTTTTTTGAGACAGAGTCTCGCTCTGTTGCCCAGGCTGGAATGCAGTGGCGCAATTTCGGCTCACTGCAAGCTCCGCCTCCTGGGTTCATGCCATTCTCCTGCCTCAGCCTCCCAAGTAGCTGGGACTACAGGCGCCCACCACCACGCCCGGCTAATTTTTTGTATTTTTAGTAGAGATGGGGTTTCATCATGTTAGCCAGGATAGTCTCGATCTCCTGACCTCGTGATCTACCCGCCTTGGCCTCCCAAAGTGCTGGGATTACAGGCGTGAGCCACCGTGCCCGGCCCCCATGGGAATTCAAGGATGAGGAGTATAGCTTTCCCCTTACAGAAGTCCATTCAAAATTCACTAGGATGACCCAAGGAGTCAAGTTTCAAGAAACAATGTCTTAAATTACTTAGAAATACTGTAGTATTTGCCACAGGAGTTATAAATGTGTGTAAGTAGAAGACAGAAATCAATTCCAGTTCTGATGTGTGAATAAGAGCAACCTTTGGCAAAGAGGCAGAGGCTACATGTATTCTTCATGATCAAACAAGAATATAACTGCTAGAAATTGTTTGTCAATGTACAGTGGGGTTCCTTCGAGAGAATCTTTGGCTGAGAGGGACCCCATGAGAAGAACCCCATGATTTAAACCTCCAGGAATCTCTTCAAGATTATTGATAACTAACAATTAGATGGTATATTTTGATTCTGAATATGCAAAGAGAAGTACAAGGAGAATTTTACCCACTAAAGAAAAATTAAACATTTAAATCATCGTTTGTATATCCATGTTTATGGCAACATTATTCACAATAGCCAAAAGGTGGAAACAACCCAAATGTCCAAGGGATAAATAGGTAAACAAAATGTGGCATATACATAAATGGAGTATTACTGAGCCTTGAAAGGGAAGGGAATGAATAATAAGGAGTGAAGAAATAATAATAAGGAAGGAAGGAAGGAAATTTGGACACATACTACAACATGCATGAAACTTGAAGACATTATGTGAAGTGAAATAAGCCCGTCACAAGACTAATATGGTGTGATTTTACTTATATGAGATATCCAGAGTAGTCGAATTCATAGAGACAGAAGTGGAATTATAGTTGCCAGAAGCTGAGGGGAGAGGGGAATAGGGAGCTATTGTTTAAATGGATGTAGAGTTTCAGTTTTGCAAGATGAAAAAGTTCTTCTGGGGATTGGCTATACAGCAATGTGAATGTGCTTAACCCTACTGAATTGTGCACTTTAAACATGGTTACTTCGCTGGTAACCATTAAACCACTAAAATGGTACTGAACTCTATAGTTTGAAATGGTTACTTAATGCTATTAAATTGTACCCTTTAAAATGGTAAATTTTTGCAGTGAGCTGTGATTGTGCCACTGCACTGCAGTCTGGGCAGTAGAGCAAGACCCTTTCTCAAAAACAAAAGGTAAACTTTATGTGTGTCTGACCACAGTTAAAACTAAAAAATAAAAACATTCATCTCATCAAAACTGAAATGTGCAGTTAAGATGGTAATAATTTGTTCTATGGTCAAGGAAAATGCCTCCAAGAGTATTTCTCTAGCTCCCTATTCTTTTTTTTTTTTTTTAGATGGAGTCTCACTCTGTCGCCCAGGCTAGAGTGCAGTGGTACAATACCAGTTCACTGCAACCTCCGCTTCCCAAGTTCAAGAGATTCTCCTGCCTTAGCTTCCCGAGTAGCTGGGACTACAAGCACGAGCCACCACGCCGAGCTAATTTTTTATTTTTAGTAGAGATAGGGTTTCACCACGTTTGTCAGGCTGATCTCAAACTCCTGATCTCAGGTGATACACCCACCTCGGCCTCCCAAAGTGCTGGGATTACAGGAGTGTCTAGCTCCCTATTCTTAAACCAGTACATTGTGAAGCATAGGTGATTGCTGTCAATATTATTTCCCAGGAATTTAAGAAAGGAAGTTCTACCTGAATTCAGGTCTATGTAGAAAGTTCTCTTGGTCCTAGCATACTGAGATAGGTGAATTCAGTAGTGAAGGCCTAGTGGGTATTTTAAATTGGTGATCACCTCAGCTTCCTTGCCAAATGCAAGCATCTATATTTTGTACTGCAGTCTCTCTCCTTGGTTGCTCGTCAAACAGTGAACTTCAGGATATGCTAGAGCCTCACCATATCTCTGCTTCCTGCCACTTGTCTGCCATTGTTTTTGTAAATCGCATCCTGGGTCACAAGGGCATCTGAGTGAGAGTGTGGTGTGGTGAGCGCCAATCAGGCAGGGCCAACCATCAGGGCTCAGAAAACTTTGTTCTCTTCTTGAATTAAAGGATGAATGAGGCCGGAGGGTGCATCTTGCACCCATGTAGAAGATGGTCCGTGTCCCCAGCCTGCACAGAGACTGACAGCATCCTTTTGGAGGCATCATGGCGGGTAGTCATGCTCTATACCACAGAGTGTACATGGGCCTATGCTAGCTGAGGACCACCCTCTTGAATGATGACACTTTCACACCAAAAATGACCTCATGCTAGCAACTCCCTACTGATCTTTACTGTCCTGCCAGCCTATCTCCTGCCTTCCGACAGGAAGCGATGGTGGAAAAGCTGTCTCCTCCCAGCACCAGCACCAAGCAGCGTCAAGCATGTCTGCCACGTTGGCATTTGTCTGAGTTGGGCTCAAGTGGCGAGATCGCTTCTTTCTGGGAATACCCCAGTGTTCAGTACGTTTAGAGAGAGATGTTCCTGCTTCATGTTTAAATTGGGGATTGGGCCGGGTGCAGTGGCTCACGCCTGTAATCCCAGTACTTTGGGAGGCTGAGGCGGGCGGATCACAAGGTCAGGAGATCGAGACCATCCTGGCTAACACGGTGAAACCCCGTCTCTACTAAAAAATACAAAAAATTAGCCGGGCGTGGTGGCGGGCGCCTGAAGTCCCAGCTACTCGGGAGGCTGAGGCAGAAGAATGGCGTGAACCCAGGAGGCGGAGCTTGCCGTGAGCCGAGATTGCGCCACTGCACTCCAGCCTGGGCAACAGAGCGAGACTCTGTCTCAAAAATAAATAAATAAATAAATAAATAAATAAATAGGGGATTGAAGCTGGTTTAAATGAATGTTTTTAAAACCCCAAGGGGAAGGTGAAAGTATTTTTAAAGAGATGCTGGGCTGTCCCCTAGTAGTTTCCTAGGGCTGCCATACACATCACCCCCAACTGTGGGGCTTAAACAACAAAACAATTGATTCTCTCTCAGTTCTAGGGGCCAGAAGTCTGAAATCAAGGTGTTGGCAGAGCTGTGCCCTCTGAAGTCTCTAGGGGAAAAAATCTTCCATCCCTCTCCCAGCGTCTGATGGCTCCAGGCATTTTTTTGGCCTGGAGCTGCAGAACTGCAGTTTTTGCCTCTGTCTTCACATAACGTTCCTCCCTGTGTGTCTGAGTCTGTCGAATCTCCTTCTGCCTTTCTTTTATAAGGACACCTGTCATTGGATTTAGGGCCCACTGACCATCCGGGATGATCTCAGCCTTAATTACACCTGCAAAAATCCTTTTTCCAAATAAGATCATATTCACAAGTTCTGGTGGGACGTATCCTTTTGGGGGCAGCTAGTCAAACCGCTACTATTTACAGTAATGTTTCAACCAACATGGTGGAAAATGGGCTAAAACCTTTTTGGAGTGGTATTGGTTCTGTTCTACATTTCTGTGTCCTCCAGGCCCCGGACCTGTCCAGCCAAGGCCCAGAAACCCAGGCACCAAGTCCCATCCCTCCCTTTCTCTCCTCCCCAGTTTCTCACTGCCCGCCCCCCCAACTCTCCCTCCCAAAGCTGAAAATATCCTTTTAAGCACATGAACCTGGAGAAGTTAAGCATTTTGTGCATGCAAGGTTATCCAAGTGAGCAGAGGGAGGGCTGGAGCTAGAGTTCCTGATCCCTAATCCAGTGTCCTCTCTGAAAGAGTTATTCTAGAGTCGAATCGCTAGGTTAGAAAGCGTGGAGAGAAGAGCTTTGGAATTAGAACATGAAGCTTCCCGCACTGCTGGCAGCATTTACGGGCTGTTTCCAAAGAAACCTATCAGCCTGTCAACGTTCCCACAGCCCCTCTTACCTTCCCGGTGTCACAGGCACCACAATGTGCAGACAAATGCGCTTCTCACAACCTCCTCAGCCAGGAGCTATCCAGGCAGTGTTTCATGTCTCCTGTCCAAAGCGTATGATGGCAGCGAGTTCCAGGCAGCTGCACCACGGCACTGGCTCTGTGAACTATGCTGTCAATTTTTATTTTAATCCTCCTTTATTCACAGTTTGATTTCATTTAGGATTGGCCTCACTTCCTGTTCAAATCCCAGGCCTGTGGCCCCACTCTCACTGGCAGAACTGCCTAGTCGTCACTACAAAGAGAGAACTCTGCCCTAGACTCTCGTAGAGGAGTTTGGCTTTTGTGTTAACTCAATCTTCCTGGGCAGCTCGCAGTCCTAAAGCAGAAGTCAAGAGACAGCGACAAGGAATTCCATCTTTGCTTTCTGTTGCTTGGAGCTATGCTGATTTGGAAATATTTATTTTTTTTCTTTCCCATATCTGGTTTGCTTTCTCGTGTACGTGAGGAGTAGGAATAAATACACCACGAGCAGATATCTGAAATGATCACCTCCTTGAAAATATTTGAAAAGGGAGATTAATAAAGCATTCTGAATCTGCCCTTGGGCTGCTTGTCAAGTGAGAAAACACATTTTTTGGTAAAGGACTCCTCTCAGGTCGAATGTGAAGGCTGGAAGCTGATCTTTTCAGCAAACACAAAATGGAAATCTAGTATAGGAAACAGAAGCGGAGCCAGCGAAGCCCACTGGCCTTCATTTGCAGCGTGGCATCCTACAGTGACCAGCAGGAGGAGGTCAGCCTCGGCAGGGAAGGGCCATGAGTGGCTTTCTGTCTGGCTGCCTCAAGGGAACACCCCTGAGAGCTGTGGCTGTTGCACTTACATTCTCTGCTTTATTTGATGTAAACCCACCCTAAATGTCTGCCTCTTTGCAAAGCTCATTTACAGTTGTTTGTTTCTTTGTTGAGACAGGGTTTCACTCTATCGCCCAGGCTGGAGTACAGTGGTGTGAACATGGCTCACTGCAGCCTTGACCTCCTAGGCTCAGGTGATCCTCCTGCCTCAGTTTCCTGAGATTATTGGCATGCACCACCACACCCAGCTAGTTTTTCTATTTTTTGTAGAGACAGGGTCTTGCTGTGTTGCCCAGGCTGAGGCTGGTCTTGAACTCATGGACTCAAGCCATCCGCCTGCCTTGGCCTCCCAAGTGCTAGGATTATAGGTGTGAGCCACTGTGCTGGGCCTTTTTTTGTTTTTTAAACCAGAGAGATTAAAGCCCCTCAAAAAGCAGATGCAA